>NT_187601.1:1208888-1511111 GCF_000001405.40 Homo sapiens
TCTCTAAAGGCGGAAACTTGAGAGCTGATCCCTTCAGGATGACAAGTGGCCGCCTGAATTTTTGAGTCAGTGTTGCTGCAACGGGTGGGTCTTTCTCTGGCCTCCCTGAGCTCTTCACCTTCTCCACCCTGCCGTTTCCTTGCACAGTCCTGTTTAGTTTTGGAACAACACTCCCAAATAATTCAGCAAAAGACTTTGCTGATAAAGCAGCATGATGTAAAGAAGTCAGCCCAAATCCACCAAAACCTAGATGGTGACGGAAGTGACCTCCATCACTCTAGGAATTGTCCACCCCTTTCCCAGAAAACTCGTGAATGAGCCATCCCTTGTTTAGCATATAATCAATATAATACTGTAAGTATTATCAGTCGAGCGGCCCAAGCTGCTGCTTTGCTCTCACTTCACTCTGGATTTGGCTTGAAGTCTTCCTGTGTGAGGTCCAAGCACCCTCTCTTGGAGTCTGGATTGGGACCCCTTTCCAGTAATATACTCCTGGTGAACCATGAAAGGACGATATTGAGGAGACCCCTGAACTAAAGGAAATAGACCGCAACACCAATTGGCTGACTTTGGGTAAGTGGTGGGGTACATTTTACCTGGGTAAAGGATGAGAATGGGTTAGAAGTCCAACTTAGGGGAATTAGAGTCTCTCCTAAGATAGAGCGAGTTAAAGGCCCCTCTTAATAAAAGGCAAGGATGCACAAAGGCACACTTAAAAAAAATTTAGAGACAGGATCTCACTGTGTTGCCCGGGCTGGAGTGCAGTGGCATGATCACAGCTCACTGCAGCCTCGACTTCCTAGGTACAAGCAATTCTCCAGTTTCAGCCTCACAAGTAGCTGGGACTGCAGGTATACATGACAGCACTTGGCTAATTTTTAGAGACTTTTTTAGAGATGAGGGTCTTGGTATATTGCCCAGGCTGGTCTGGAACTCCTGGCCTCAAGTGATCGTCTTGTCTTAGCCTCCCAAGTAACTGGGATTATAGGTGCCAGCCACCGTTCCAAGCCTTAGGCACACTCTTTATCCATATTTCTTTTTATGAAATACTCAATGTCTACTTGATCTCCGGTCTGGGCCTAGCATTAAGGGAGGCAGCAATGAATGACTCCTGACTCGTGTTAGTCAGTTTTACATTTCTATCAAGGAATACCTGAAGCTGGGTAATTTATAAAGAAAAGAGGTTTATTTGGCATGGTTCTGTAGGTTATACAAGCATGGCACCAACGTCTGCTCAGCTTCTGGTGAGGCCTCAGGAAGCTTTTACTAATGCAGAAGTTGAAGGGGGAGCAGGTGTGTCATATGGCAAGAGAGGGAGCAGGAGTGAGAGGAGGAGGTACCAGCCTCCTTTAAACAACCAGCTCTTGCATGAACAAACAGAGTGCGAATTTGTTCATTACCATGGGGAGGGCACCAAGCCACCATGAGGGATTTTCCCCCATGACCTGAGCACCTCCCACCAAGCTCCACCACCAACATTGAAGATCACATTTCAATATGAGATTTGGAGGGGACAAACATCCAAACCATAGCAGTCCTTGATTTTAAAGAGCTCTGAATCCAGCAGAGGAGATAGAGAACAATGTTGCATTGTGGGAAATTCTGTGGCAGAAAGAATATAGTGGACTCACATTTGAGAGCATAAGTGGGGGTATAGTTGCTCAAGCGAGATTGGGAATGTGTGGCCAGGGAAGTCTTCCTGGAGAATATGTAAGATGATGAGGTCCTGAAAATTTTCCTGAATCTAGCATGCAAAGGATCAGAGGCCTAAAAGAGCAGGGAATGACTTCTATTTGTCCCCCAGGACAGAAACGTAGCTGGATATTGGCAACAATAAGTTTAGGGCGAGGCAGAAGCCAGTTCATGGAGGACTTGCTTATCCCATGGGCCATACAAGGCTGTTGAGGGGTTTTAGGCAGATGGATGGGTAAACACCATGACTTTTCCCTGTACCACAGCAGCCAGTAGATACGTCTCCATTCAGTGTTTTATATCCCTGATGCTTGGGTTGCTTCCATCTCTTAGCTATTGTGAATAATGCTGCTACGAACATGGGTGTATAAATATCTATTCAAGACTATGCTTTCAGCCGGGTGCAGTGGCTCACACCTGTAATCCCAGCACTTTGGGAGGCCAGGGTGGGCGGATCACGAGGTCAGGGATTCGAGACCAGCCTGACCAACATGGTGAAACCCTGTCTCTACTAAAAATACAAAAATTAGCCAGGTGTGGTCGCACGCACCTGTAATCCCAGCTACTCAGGAGGCTGAGGGAGGAGAATCGCTTGAACCTGGGAGGCAGAGGTTGCAGTGAACAGAGATTGTGCCACTGCACTCCAGCCTGGGTGACAGAGCGAGACTCTGTCTCAGAAAAAAAAAAAAAAAAAGGCTATGCTTTAAATACTTAGGGTAGTTACTCAAAAGTGGGTTTACGGGATTATATGTTTTATATGATAATTCTATTTTTAATGTTTTTATAGTCCCAGGAGGGATGCAGAGTTCTTTATTAATGCAGCTTTATTCAAACCAGATCCTGAATAAAGTCAAAACTCAACCAACAGGTGGAAGTCCAAGAATCCGAGTGGAGGCTCACCGAGGCGAAGGGGCCAACCATGGGAAAGGAGAGTGGATGGGACTCAGGTGGGTACTGCACATGATTCTGGGGGCTGCTGGTCCTTCCGAGGTGAATGCACTTTGTGTCCCACTCTTCTGACACCAGATTATGTCAACCCCAAATAACAGAGAGGGAGGCTATCCATGGAAAAGAATTATTCAGGAATGAATGACGGGATTTTTAAATCCCAGAATACACATGCCACAGTGGACCATGGCGGGGCCACAGATGTACCCAGGAAGGCAAAGGAAGACAAAGGTTTTTAAAAGCAAAACAAGGAAAGTTACTAAGTGGTTTTGAAACAATGATCCTTGGCTACAAGTGTGGCATCAGCCCAAGATTGAACGGGCAGTTGCTGGGCAGTCATCCATTCAGAAGTATTCTTTATGGAAGGCTGCAGTGGCCTTTCTGCAAGGTTGTGGTTTTCAGAGCATCTTTGTAATAGCTCTTTTCATAGGCATGTGTGCCTGAGAGCCCCTCCTTGGTGGCCTGCCTCCATTTTGTTAGGATTTGGCATAAGCGACTCCATTTTAATTCTGACAACTTTCATAGCAGGAAGGCTTTTGGCCTGAGCTGCTGAGAGGATGGATTCCGGGTTCAGCAGTGACTTGGGCCAGAGCAGAGGCAGAGAGACAAGTTAGGAAGCTCCTCCAGTCATCCCACTGAGAGACGCGGGTGGCTTGGTCCGGGACTGGAGCTGCAGAAGTATGAGGGATGGTCAGACTGGATATTTCTGAAGGTGAATAAGCATTCACGGATAGATTGCTGTGAAGGAGAGAAACCATGTGGAGTCAAGGAGGACTCCAGGCCACTTACCCTGAGCTACTGAGAGAACGGGGCTGCCCTTTACAGAGGCTGGGCAGCTGTTGGAGGGACAGCTTCCAGAGGGGAAATGGGAGTGCACTTGGGTCACTTCATGTTTGAGGTGCTTCTCAGATACCCAAGGGACATGTTAAGTAGGTCTAGGCTGAGCACATCAATCTGCAAGTCACCAGAGTACTTAACACAGTGGGACTGGGTGAAGTGCCCCCAGGTGTGGGGCTAAAGCAGGGGAGTCTGAGGACGGACCCTGGACACACCCACACTGCACTGAGTTCAGGGAGAGGGGCTGAATGAGACTGAGAAGGAGAGGCTAGTATGGCAGGGGGAAATGTGGAGGATGAGGCCAGGTGAGGAAGATGTGTCGGCTTCTAGGGCTGCTGTCACAAAGGTCCATGGATTGAATGGCTTAAAACAACAGAAATTTACTTTCTCACCGTTCTGGAGGCTAGAAGTCTGAAATCAGAGTGTCCCAGGGCCATGCTGTCTCTGAAGGCCCTTCAGGAGAATGTTCCATGCCACTCCCTAGTTTCTGGTGGCTGCTGTCAGTCTTCGACGTCCTTGCCTTGTGGCTGCATCACTCCCATCTCCATCTCTGTCTTCACGTGGGCTTCTCCCTGTGTGACTCCAAGTATCTGTGTCTCTTCTTTTTCCCTTACAAGGACCTCAGTCATATTGGATTAAGGGCCCACCCTACTCCAGTATGACCACATCTTCATTACATTTGCAAAAACCCTGTTTCCAATTAAGGTCACATTCACAAGTACCAGATGTTAGGACTCGAACATATCTTTTCGGGTGATGCAATTCAACCCGCAACAAAGACGTTTTGAGGAAGAGAGAGTAATCACCCCTGTCAAGACACTGCTGAGAGCTGGGAACGTTGAGGCCCGAGAGGGAGGGCTCTGGATGGGCACCAAGGAGGTCAGTGGGGACGTTGTAAGTCCAGTTTCTTGGGGACTGGGTTGGGGAGAAGGCTTATGGGTATGGGTTTGAGAGTGCATGAGAGGAGTGGTGGTGTGTCGTGCCTATACACACATCTTGATGATTCACTCATGTTCTCATGCTTTGCATTAGACCCTCCCACTAACCCTGTGAGGTGGCTGCTCTCATTATCTTACACATTTTATAGAGGGGACAAGAAAGCTAGGTAACTGCTCAAGGTCATGCAGCTCTGAGTCTGGGTGCCTAACCACGGTGCCATTCTGCCTTTCCCTGAATGGACAGAACTACCACAAGGAGCTTTGCTCTAAGGAGCAAAGCAAAGTGAGGTGGCAGCTGGAGGAAGATGTGGTGTGAAGGGAGGGGCTGTCCTTGTTTTACTGGTATTGGGAACAATCCCAGAGAGAGGGAGACTTTGATGATGCAGAAGCGAGGGAGGCACTGCTGGAGCATGACTTGGAGTAGGAATAGCAGGTGGGCCCAGCGCACAGGGCGGCAGGCGCACAAGTGGGGAGGCACACAGGTGGCAGGTGCAGGCACTGCTCATCACAGAAGTGGGAGGGCAAGGGAATGTGGGGGCAGGGGTGGTGAGTGGCAGGGGTAGACTTGCTGGTGAGAGCAGGGGGACGCTGTCTTCTGGTTGCCTTCATTTTCTTGGTGAATTAGGACCCCGACAGAGGCAAGAGAGGAGGTGGTGCAGGTTTGAAGATCCAGGGAGAAGTTGTGAAATTTGCATAATCTCAGAGAGCGGGGAGTGAAAGGAACAGAAAGACACAGAGATTGGAGTGATGCAGCCACAGGCCCGGAGCACCAAGGATTGTTGGCAGCCACCAGAAGCTAGAAGGAGGCACAGGAGGACCCTCCCTGAGAGGCTTCAGAGAGAGCGTGGCCTTGCTGACTCCTGGATTGTGGACTTCCAGCCTCCAGAACTGAGAGAATTGATTTCTGTTGTTTGAAGCCACCCAGGTTGGGGTCCTTGGTTACAGCAGCCTAGGAAACTAAGACAGAGCTCAGAAATCCCAGGGTGACTGAAGAACTCCCAAAGCTTGTGTTAGAGTCAGAAAACTGGAAAGGGAGGAGTTAGGGGCCTCTAGGGGGCTGCTCGCTGTAGGGAGGGTACCATTTTGTTATTAACAAGGTCTAGGACAGAATGCTAATAGAACTAATAGAACCTTCTGTTCTCTGAGCTGTCCATTGTGACAGTCACAGGCTACACGTGGCTCTTGAGCTCTTGAGATGTGACTAGTGCAACTGAGGCACTGAGTTCTAAGTTTTATTTCATTTTTAATTCACTAAACTTTAAATAGCCACACATAGCTAGTGGTTACAAGTGGGCAGCACAGGCCTAGGGTTTGACTGAGGGAATATGGGGCATAGAGTCCAAGATCTTTGGAAGCAAGGAAATAAGAACTGAAAGACACGTTTTTGGGAAATGTCATCTGAGTAGGGATTGATATCATCAAGACAGGTCAGGAGTCGTGACAGAGAGAAAGGGAGGTCCTGAGCCATGAGCTAAAAGCTTCAAGAAATGGCAGGGAGTGATGGGAGGATTGAGGCTGATTTTTGCACCTTCTGTTACTTGGCTGAGACCAAGGCGCCTCTTCCTGGGGAGGTGGCTGAGCTCTTTCTAGCAGGCCCTGAAATCTCCAGAACTTTGGTCCCAGCTGCCTAAGCACCCCAGTCCCTGCCCCCGTGGCAGCCATTGTCAGATGTTCCTGCCAGCCCTGAGAGCTCAACACAACTCAGGAGGCCCAGGCATGCTCTGCCCAGTGCTGCAGGGGGCCCAGCCACAAGGCTGGGCAGAGGAGACAGGTGACTTCTGATGCGGGGACCTGGGGAGGCTTCCTGCAGAAGGTGCCACGTGCAGAGCCCTGAGGATGGGGCCTTCACCTCTGACCTATGGCCTAGGATGAGTAGGGGGCTTCAGAAGAGGGAAAGAATAGCAAAGTTGAATTTGAGATGGGGGTATCAGAGAGTACCCACTCCCATAGGTTTGTGTTTGTTTGTTTGTTGTTGTTGTTGTTGTTTTTGTCTCCAGGCAGGGCTGCTGTAGCAGCTGTGGTCGGAGGAGGTGAGTCTCTATGGGAAGGAACTCAAGCCCCCATCCCCCGCCTCCCCCCAGCCCTGAGCCTCTGGGAGAAACTGGCTTTGACCAAACCCAGGATTCTCCAAGACATAGCTGGGTAGCGGTGGAGTGGGCAGAGTGATGGGGACCTTAGAGCAGCAGGAAGCAAAGCAAAGCCATTAAAGGCACAGGGCTTTGGAGGCAGCCAGAGCTGGGGCTACTCTCAGCTTCCACCAAGTACAAACCATGCAACCCCGGATGAGTCATTGGAGCAGTCACAGCCCGGGATTCCTCCCCGTCTAAAGCAGGGCCCATGGTATCCTTGGGGACTTTTGAAGGGAGTATGTCAGCTGAGCTGTGTCTCATTCCTCAAAAGTATTTGACAAATGCTGGTAGCCCATCCACTGAGTCAGAAGCTTTTGACCTGCTATAAAGCAGTGTCCTCCAATGCAATGGCCAAAACTAAAGAAAATCATAATGTTTCTCTGTCACCTGCACCACATTTCAAGTGCTAAACGTGGCTACCCTAGTAGACAGTACAGAAAACAAATGTGGCTGTGATTGCAGATGGCTCTCTGACTGCACTGCTCTGGAGATTTTGGGGAGCCCTAGAGGACCCCCGCGTGCTGCTGCAGGGCCTTCAGGGCCTCCATCCCCTCACCTCTCCAGAAAAGCAGCTCTGATATTGTCTTCTGTCAACCTTTTGCATGGAGAGATCATGTTTTCCTTGCCAAAAGGGAAAGTTTGAAGACTGCTGTTTGCTTCAATGTATTTATTTTACATTAGGGGAACAGAGGCCCAGGGAGGGCCAGTGAGCCCTCAATGGTGTCTGTGAAACAGGCGTAAACAAGCCTGGGATTCAGATTATCCTGGGAGCCGGTCCACTGGCTGCTTTACACGTTGACTGCCCTTGTTTTGGGATCCCATCCCTGCTCAGTCTTTCCTGAGAGCACAGCAGACCCCTCCTCCTCATCGCCCCAGGAGGATGTCAGGGAAGTCTGGGGGACTCCGTCCCATGGGGCCAACCCCAAATCTCCACTTCCCGCAGTTGTGGCTGTGGGGACTGTGCTCGTGGCGCTCAGTGCCATGGGCTTCACCTCAGTAGGAATCGCCGCATCCTCCATAGCAGCCAAGATGATGTCTACAGCAGCCATTGCCAACGGGGGCGGAGTTGCTGCTGGCAGTCTGGTGGCTATTCTGCAGTCAGTGGGTGAGTGTTCTGGACAGGATGACCAGAGCCAGGAGATGATCCAGCCCCGAGGCTGAACCAGGGAGGCCTCTCCTCTCCCTGCAGGTCCGTGATCCTCTGCCTCTTGGGCCCTTTGTCTTTCTGTCACTGTCCCCTCTTCTGGTTGGAGGTGGGACCAGGGGTGCAGCCTAAGAGATCTGCATTCCTGGTGAACCCTACAAAACCCAGGCAGGTCTCCTCCCCTCTCTGGGCCTTTGGAAGATAAGGAACCTGCCATTTCTCAGAGGGTCTGCCCTGTTGCTGGGATTCCTCACCAGAGTTCTTGCCTCCTCTTCGGGCAGTGGCCTGCAGCAGCCCCTCCCAGAGCAGAAATCCTAGGGTTTTAGGAAGCAGAGGTGGGGAACAGGGTTGGACTGCCTGGGCCTCAGGTCTCTGGAGGGACCAGGGTCTCTGGCCTTCAACCCCCTGTTAGGAGCTGCTACCCCTCCCTGTGCCCTGTGCTCACCCTCTCTTCTCCCCCAGGGGCAGCTGGACTCTCTGTGACATCTAAAGTTATCGGGGGCTTTGCTGGGACAGCTCTTGGGGCCTGGCTGGGTTCACCCCCTTCCAGCTGAACACCACACTGAGGCAGGGAGTTGGCTCTCTTGGTGGAGATGACTTTCCTGGGCCTCTGGATGACAATCTTCCAAAGGACAAGTCTCCTACTCCCAAAACTATTTAAGGAAGCATGAAAAATAAAGATGCTGGTTATCTTCTCCTAGTGTCGGTTCTCTGTTCTTGTGGTCAGGATAGGGTACAGCGCTGCTGCAGGACTGCTGGACAGGGAGGGACTCAAGAGGAAGCAGCATGGGATGTCTGTGACCGGAGCCAGGTCTGGCCCCAGGCTTTCCACTCATTCTGTGGTCCTGAGCAGGTCATGTCTGCCCTTTGAGCCTCAGTTTGCTGCACTTCAGATGGGAGAGTCAGCCAGAGTAAGCGTTATAGGATGGCGTGGCTCTTGGGTCATTGCTTGAGCCATTGACCCTCAATTACGAAGCCCTTTGTCCTCATGCGTGACTGATCCCTTCCTTTCCCACCCAGGACTCAGGGTGTGACTGATTACTCTAGAAGTTTACTCTAGAAGTTTACTCTACTGATTACTCTAGAAGTTTAGCAACACTACATTTGCCTGGCCTATGGGCCTTCTCCATACAGGTCGAGAAGTTTCATTCCTCCAGGGAGCTCTGTCCCTCTCAGCACAGAGCCCAGGCTCCTCAGGCCCCAGGTGGACTGAGCAGAGCCTGTGAGGATGGGCAAGGGGCTGGGGCTCCTGAGAAGTAGGCCAATGCAGAATACCCATTTCCAGAGACCTCCTGTGTGCCTGGCCCCAGATCAGGTGCCAGCTGTCCTATGCACACTGACCTGGCATCTGCCACACGGCACCTGCCTGGCCTTGAGGATAAGTAAACCACACTTGACTTCTGCAAGGCCTATTTAGATGTGGCCTCTGACCTCAACGTTAGTCCCACTCTGGGCTGTTTGACCTTCACACTTATTTTTCCTTTACAGCTGCACTCCTGCAGGGCTCTCCCTGGGATGCTGGCTGAGCTGACTCCCACAGCTCCCAAAGGGGCCCCAAGGCTCCATCCCACAGGATTGCCCTGGCTACAGAGGATCACAGAGGTCCATCTCTGCCCAGGGTGCACAATGTTGGGGAAGCCAGCCCTTAACCAATGATGTGAAGGGACTTGGGGTAAATTACAGAAACGACCATATTCTCCGCCCTTTCAGCATGGCTGTACAGCTCCTCCCATCAAGAGGTAGGAATTTCTTTCCCCTCCCTTTGAATCTCCTCTGGCCTGCGGAGTTGCTCTGGCCTGGCCGATAGAACACAGTGGAAGTGATGGCGTGCTAATCTTGAGCCTAGTCCCTAAGAAACCTTGCAGCCTTCTGCTGTATCTCCCGGACCCCATCACTGCCATGAGAACAAGCCAGGCTGGGCAAGCACACAAAGTCCATTCATTCCAGACAAGACCCCAGACATGGCAGCGAGCCCAGCCAAGTTCTGCAAAGCTGACCTGCAGCTGACTGCAGATGGATGAGGGGCCCAGCTGAGACCAGAAGAACCACCTGCCTAGATTGCTGACCCACAGAATCATGAGCTACATAACTTTTTTAAGCCACTAAATTGTGTGGTCACTTTTTATCCAGCCATGGGTAACTGACAACATAAGACAATGTGTAAAATCACTGAAGAGGATCAGGCTATATGGCTCGTAGGACAGAAAAGGAAGCGATAGATTCTAATTGCAGCAACCTGGGAAGACTTCCCTGGAGTAAGTGCTGTTTTACTTAAGGATTATGGAGTTGTAAGTACTAGAAACTTGATCGCAACTTGCTCAGAGTTCAACGGACTTCATTGCTTTACTAAATGGAAAGCTCCAAAGGTAAAGTATGCTTCGGACAGGGTTTGATTCAGCAACACAGCACAGATGCCAAAGACCTGTCTTTTCTATTCTTTGTTTCTGAGGCATCAGCTTCATCTTGTGGCTGCCAGCTCTCGTGGTTACAAGACAGCTGTTAGCAAGCTCTGGAAGCTACCTTCTTTATTCATGTCTCCCAGAAAGAACATTTTTTCATGTACTTTCTCCTGAAAAGCAAAGAAACATCTTTCCCAAATACCTCTAGTAAATGTTCATGCTACTATCTTAAATGGGGTCATTTACTCATTCCTAAAACCCTTTATTAGGCCCAAAGGATGGGTGGGATGTGATGACTGGTTTAAGTCCACCTGGACTCACCTTTAGAAAGTGCGAGGAGAGCCCATGCCTCTGATACACTCATAGGTCAAGGCAGGGGCTCCTATACCTGAAAGAGGAGGTTTCTGTTTCAAAGAAGAGAGGGGGGTAAGAGACAGTGAGTGCCCAAACACAGCGTCCTGTACAGACAGCTTGGGCGTTGTTCTCAGGGAAGACTGCGCCTCGAAGATCCTTGGAGGAAACCAAAGTGGGCTCCCAGCCAGGTTCGCTGCTTCTGTCTCTGTCTCTGTCTCGTTATTCTCACCGCTCCAGCCATTAAGGAAGAGCACACCGGACCCGAAGGTAAGTGGACAGTAGGTTACTGTCTTTTTGTTTTTAACTTTACAGTATGGGATTATATTATTTTCTAATGAAAACCAACATTTTATTGCATTTAAATTACTTAAGAAATCTTGAAGTAGCTTCTACTCTTAAAAATCTAAATTCATATAGGTAAGTCTAAAGCCCCTTTGGCTCTGATAAGCATCCTTGCCCCTCATTACAGCCCCTACTCCCACCCTCAGAAGTAAAGCACTGCTGCAATTTCATGCGTTCCTTTCCAAGGACCCCCCTTTTATAGTGTGATAAAAATTCATAAAATTGACCATCTTGACCATTTTTTAAGTGCAGTTCAGCAATGTTAGGTGTATATTCACGTTGTTGTGAAACATCTCCAGAATTTTTTCATCTTGCAAAACTGAAACTCTGTTCCCATTAAACAGCTCCGCTCCGCCCCTCCCCCTGCCCCGGTAACCACCATTCTACTTTCTTTGTGAATTTGACTACTCTAGGTACCACTTAATGGTAGAATTATATAGTATTTGTCATGTGTGTGTGTATATGTGTGTAGAGATGGGCTTTTTTCTCCGTGTTGCCCAAACTGATCTCAAATTCCTGGGCTCAGCTGATCCACCCACCTTGGCCTCCCAGAGTGCTGGGATTACAGGTGTGAGCCGCCGTGCCTGGCCAAAATTATATAGTATTTGCCTTTTTGTGACTGGCTTATTTCATTTAGTATAATGTCCTCATCCAGGATGCAGCATGTGACAGAATCTCCTTCCTCGATAAGGCTGAATGACATTCCACCGGAGGTATAGACCACATTTGGTTGATCCATTCACCCATCAGTGGACACTTGGGCTGCTTCCACCTCTCGGCTATTGTGCATAGTGCTGCTATGTACGTGGGTATGCAAATATCTCTTTAAGATCCGGTGTCTTAGGCCGTTTGCACTGCTGTAACAAAATACCATAGACTAGGTAGCTTAAAAAACAGAAATTTATTTCCCACAGTTCTAGAAGCTGGGAAGTCCAAGATTAAGAGGTGTCAGCCCCCTTGGTGTCTGGTCAGGGTTCCTTTCCTGGTTTGTAAATACTGCTTTCTGTGTCCTCACATGGTAGTGGGATAAGGCAGCTCTCTGGGGGGCCTCTTTTATAAAGGCACTAATCCCATTCATTAGGGCTCTGCTCTCCTGATTTAGTCACCTCCCAAAAAGTTCCATCTCCCAATACCATCACCTTTGGGGTTATGATTTTAACGAATTTGGCGGGGCCGTGGCATTCAGACCATAGCACCCTGCTTTCAATTCTTTGGGATATATACCCAGAGGTGGGGTTTCTGGATCATATAGAAGTTCTTTTAATTTTTTAAGGAACTTCCCTACTGTTTTCCATAGCAACTACTCCATCTTACGATCCCACCAACAGTGTGCAATGGTTCCAATTATATAAGGGCCAACACTTTTTATTTTCGGTTTTTTTGATAGCAGCCATCCTAATGGTTGTGAGGTAGTATCTCATTGTGGCTTTGATCTGCATTTCCCTAATGATTGGCGATCTTAAACATCTTTTCGTGTGCTTTTTGGCCATTTGTATATCATATTAGTTCATCTTGCACTGCTATAAAGGCATACCTGAGACTGGAGACTGAGTACTTTATAAAGAAAAGAGGTGTACTTGGCTCATGGTTCTGCAGGGAGCATGGCACTGGTATCTGCTCGGCTTCTGGTGAGGCCTCAAGAAACTTGTACTCACAATGGAAGGCAAGAGGAACTGACATCACACGGTGCAAGAGCAAGAGGAAGGCAGGAGGTGCCAGGGTCTTTTCTGCAGTCAGATCTTGCGGGAACTAATAGAGTGAGAGCTAACTCATTACTGTGAGGACAGTGCCAAGCACCCCCATGACCGAAACACCCCCGACTAGGCCTCATCTCCAACATTGGAGGTTACATTTTAGCACGAGATTTGGAGGGGGCAAATATTTAAACTATAGCATATATCATCTTTGGTGAAATGTCCATTTAAGTCTTTTGCCCATTTTATTTATATATATCATTTATTATTATTATTATTATTTCAGATGGTGTTTCACTCTTCTTGCCCAGGCTGGAGTGCAATGGCACAATCTCGGTTCACTTCAACCTCTGCCTCCCGGGTTCAAGCAATTCTCCTGCTTCAGCCTCCCAAGTAGCTGGGATTACAGGCACACACCACCACGCCTTGCTAATCTTTTGTAGTTTTAATAGAGACAGGGTTTCACCATGTCGGTCAGGCTGGTCTTGAACTCCTGACCTCAGGTGATCTGCCTGCCTCGGCTTCCCAAAGTAGTGGGATTACAGGCGTGAGCCACCACTCCCACTTTTGCTCATTTTAAAATTGGGTTATTCGATTTTTTGTTGTTGAGTTGTAGCATTTTTTGGTATACTCTGAATGTTTACTCTTCATTGCCAAGTTTGATGTCATGAATAATTTCCCCTATGTTTTCTTCTAGGAGTTTCATAGTTTTGTGGCTCGCATTTGGGCAATTAGTTCTCCATGCCCTTTTAAAGTTATTTCTGTGGATAGATGATAGAAGAGATATATAGGTATCTCCATAGAAAATATTTGTATATAGTTCTGTTATATGCATTTTTATTGCTATGGTTTTGTTTAACCTAATACATACTATTCTGATGCTGGCTTTTTTTTACATTTTATAAGTCTTTTTCATTATTTTTAATTGCTGCTTAGTATTCTACGGTAATGATCCACCACATTTTATTTTGTCTTTTCCCTTTTAAAGGTACTTGTGTCGCTGGTTGTTAAAGGAACATTTCCTACTTTGGAGGAATTTCTTTTTTTTAATTATACTTTTAAGTTCTAGGGTACATGTGCACAACGTGCAGGTTTGTTACATAGGTATACATGTGCTACGTTGGTTTGCTGCACCCATCAACTCGTCATTTACATTAGGTATTTCTCCTAATGCTCTCCCTCACCCAGCCCCCTTCCCCCAACAGGCCAAGTGTGTGATGTTCCCCTCCCTGTGTCCATGTGTTCTCATTGTTCAACTCCCACTTATGAGTAAGAACATGTGGTGTTTGATTTTCTGTACTTGTGATATTTTGCTGAGAATGATGGTTTCCAGCTTCATTCATGTCCCTCCAAAGGACATGAACTCATCTTTTTTTATGGCTGCATAGTATTCCATGGTATATATGTGCCACATTTTCTTTATCCAGTCTATTATTGATGGACATTTGGGTTGGTTCCAAGTCTTTGCTATTGTGAATAGTGCCGCAATAAACATACGTGTGCACGTGTCTTTATAGTAGCCATTCTAACAGGCGTGAGATGGTATCTCATTGTGGTCTTGATTTGCATTACTATTTACTATTGAAATTGTGTAGAACTGCTGGACAAAAACTGTGTCCATATGCTGGCCGTGTATTGTTCCATCCAGAAGTGATTTGAGCCTCAGCATTAGGGTGACCCCAACCCAGCCTTTGGTTAGGACATGGAGCCTGATGATGTCACATACATACATTCATACATTCATTGTGCTAATTTGCAAAGTCTCTGGTACTGATGTAGTAGCTGCACAGGGGCGTGTGGATTTCTGAATATACTGCCTCCCCGGGGGCCCTTCCCAGAGAGAAAGCCAGAGTGGACACCTGCTGGACCCCTGAATAGGAGTATAGATCGCCATCAGTGTGGCTTAAACTAGTTGAACCAACATATTGATGTCACACTTGTGTCAACATAAAAAAAAAAAAAGAGAGAGAGGGAGACAAATCTTTAAGTAAAATCGTTTTACTTGGGAATAATACAAAAGAAGTAGGATTGCAATCCCACAACATAAATATGGACCAGGGTGGCCTTTTTGTTTTGGAGAACAAAGGAAAAAGCTGGGGATTTTTAGAGAAAGAGGCTGTTATGCAAGTTGTTCTGAAGGAAAGTTCAATGCAATTTGTTTTATGAAAGTTATGCAAGTTGTTTTGAAAGAAAGTTTAATGGCTGTGATCCCACAGCCGAAAGCTCACACCTGTAATCCCAGCAATTTGGGAGGCTGAGGCAGGAGGATCACCTGACATCAGGAGTTTGAGACCAGCCGGGCCAACATGGTGAAACCCCATCTCTACTAAAAATACAAAAAATTAGCCGGGCATGGTGGCAGTTGCCTTTAATCCCAGCTACTTGGGAGGCTGAGGCAGGAGAATCACTTGAATCACTCCACCGGGAGGTGGAGGTTGCAGTGAGCCGAGATTGCGCCATTGCCCTCCAGCCTGGGCAACAAGAGCAAAACTCCATAAAAAAAAAAAAGAAAGGAAAGGGAGGGGAGGGGAGGGGAGGGCAGGGAAGGGCAGGGAAGGGCAGAGAAGGGCAGGGAAGGGCAAGGGCAAGGGCAAGGGCAAGGGAAAGGAAAGGAAAGGAAAGGAAAGGAAGAAAAAAAGTTTATTGGTGGTGGCAGCATCTTACAAGACCTGGCGAGTTCTGACCGCCAAGTGTCAGTAGTTGCTAGGTAGGACTGGGAATCTTGGAGTTATGGTCAGGTTCCTGCAGTTTTGGATTGGGTTTGTGAGACACTGTGCCAGGCAAGTGTTTTTGCATAACTGGCTCGCTCTCCCTGTGCTTCTAGCTGTCCTTGTGTGGCCCATGTGATAAGCTGCAGTTTGGAAACATTTCTTGTGATAGTTCCTGTTAGCAGGCAAACGGGAGAGCCTCATCTTGCGTGAGAGCCCTCCCATTAAAGCCTTGCTGGCTCTGTCTGCTGAGGTTTTACCCAAGTGACTCCATTTTGAATCTTACAACTCGCACACTACTCATGTGGAAGATTTAAATGTACATTCCAGGACCTGGTGCTTTCTCTTCCGCCTGTTCTCAAAGCAGCTGCAGGGTGAGCCTGACTGTGTCATTTCTCAGCTTCATCTCCCTTTCCCCAAAAAGGTATAGATGATAATCCCCTGCAATGGCTTCAGGACACAAGATCAAGTCCTTGCAGTGCTTTTGTGGCCTCACAGGGCCTGGATCCCTGTTAAACTCTGAGTTCACCTCCTGCCTCTCTCCCCTGCCCACCTGCTGAGGCCACACTGGCCCCCTTGCTGCTCCTGCCACACGGGCTCTGCCACTGCTGTGGCCTCCACCTGGAATGACTGCCCCCCCATAATTCTGCCTAGGTCACTGCTTCACCTCCTTTTGCTTTAGCGCTTCATCAAATAACATTCTATACATTTAGTTATTTATTATGTTTAGTTTGCCCCCATTGCTGGTAAACTCTGTGAGGATGGATATTTTGGTCTGTTTTGTTTACAGTCCTGTCCCAGTGCCTAGTCAGTATCTAGCACAGTGGGCCTTCAGTTGAGACTTTTTTTGAAAAACGGAACATCTGCCTATCGCAAGGACTACTATTATTCTGAAAATCACCTTCTTCATTAGAAAGTAATATTTATCATTTTATTATAGAACTTTGATCTTACTTCTTGTGACTTCATTCTGCGTAGAGCACACTCCCATCCTTGAATTAAATGACAAAGCATTTTATATTAACTGACAATGACTGATGCCATGGGCAAATCCTATTTCTGTAAATAACTGAATTTTCTTCTGGACTGCGCATGAGGGGAGAAAGATGTCTGCAGTTTCGGTTTCCTGGAAAATGAAACCTATCTCATTTGTTGCCTGTGTCAAGGGGCAGTGCTTCAGTCGGGGTGGAGCTGCTTAAAAGGCCTGGGATCACACCCTTTGGGAACACATCCAAGCTTAAGACGGTGAGGTCAGCTTCACATTCTCAGGAACTCTCCTTCTTTGGGTAAGACTGGGAGGGTGGGCAGGAGCTACCCTTCCCGTGGCCCCGGACCTTGGGTGGGCTGTGGGCTCAGGGAGCGGAGGGGAGGCCTTAAGCATCCACTCTCTGCCCGGTGTTTTTGTTCTCATCAGGGAGCCTCAGATGGGAAGGGACTCGAGCCCCACCTGTCCCTGGACTCTGGAATGTAAGGACAATTAGCTTTGTCCTTGCCCAGGTTTTCCTCAGGCCTTGAGGGCGGCTTGGGGTAAAGTGGGCAAGGGGAAGAGATAAGTGTTAGGAGGAACCAAGTCGAAGCCATTGCAAGTCCATGCCTGGGCGGGGTGTTGCTTCCCTATGGAAAGCTTCTGACCTGGAGCAAATCACTGAGCCAGATCGCGCTCCCTCATCTGTAACATGCGGAGGAGGAGGGTCCCATCTTTTTCACGTTAGTGAGGAGATTACATAAGAGCAGGCACCTCGCCTGCTGTATATGCCTTAAAAATGCGATTGGTTCTGATTTCTTAGTTTTGGTGCTTTTTCAATTGCTCCGTGGAGAGATAAGGGAGTCCCGGAAGTGTCTAAGACATTGGCGCTGGGACTTTCAGGAGAAAGAAAGCAGCCCCCCTGGGGAAATAAAGTCCCTCAGGGCCCTGACCTAACACAGGTCCTTTGGTAGCCCCAACTCCCCAACATCCCTCCCTCCCTCACCCCAGGATCCTTTCAAGGCCTGCTGCTCCACAAGCTCAGAGCAGCCTCCCTAGCCCCCTGGAGCCCGTCACATTTTTCAGGACAGTGGGAAGCAAGTCAGGTTGTGTGCCCATCCCGTCCTCAGAGCTCCATCCCTTCGGCAGGTCTGGCTGAAGTTGAGGATCTCTTACTCTCTAGGCCACGGAATTAACCCGAGCAGGCATGGAGGCCTCTGCTCTCACCTCATCAGCAGTGACCAGTGTGGCCAAAGTGGTCAGGGTGGCCTCTGGCTCTGCCGTAGTTTTGCCCCTGGGTGAGTGTTCCTGGGAGGGGCTGGTGCTGGGGGCGAGGAGGCGGCTGGGAAGGGCGGGGGTCCTGTCCCGGGACCCGTGGGAGAGAAAATGGGGGACACCCGCAGCCTTGCTGCCCTGTCCTGTCTTCTCACAGCAGGCGTCCACCCTAACTTTCCATCTGGGAGGGGGCCCGGGGCAGGCAGACTCTGGCCAGATGCCCAGCCCTGGGTGTTCCACAGGTCCTCTCCCCTCTGGGCCCGGGCCTCCTCCTGCCTAGCCGGAAAGGGTCTATCTACCACTGAGTCCCACTCTCTTCAGCTCTCCCTTCCCCCAGATTCACCATCAGAATTCATCTCCTTTAGGAGTTTACCTTGTCAATAGGGCCCCGTGTCCTATGGGATCTCACATCCAGAGTATCGATTTTAACAAAATTCTTCAGCTCACTTTTTTCATTAGTTTCTGGGAGATCTCTTTCTGGTTTTATTTATTCTCATTTTCTTCCTTTTCACCCTCGATTCCCCTCCCTCAAAGTCAACCTTTCTAATATATTTAATGTGTGTCTGTTTTTCATATGTATTTTTGCAGAATGGGTATTGTGTTTTGTTTGCGGGCATTTTAACTGACATGCAGGATGGTGTGCTGTAGATCCCATTCTATTGCTTTTTTCCACACTGAGAACCATATTCTTGAGATCCATCAGTGTCATTCGATGAGCATCTAATCCTGGCTTCTACCTGCTGACAAGTGCTCCTCTGTGTGTATCCCCTGCCCTTTACCTTTCTGTCTCCGTGGGTGGACATCCAGGGGTTCCCCCAACTCCGCCAGCACAAATGGCACAGGCTTGAATGGGGGCACAGGGCCCCTGACTCCGACCCTGACTTCTGACCCCTGCCCCAACCTCTAACCTCTGTTTGAGCCTGCACTCACCCTTTGCTGACCCTGTCATCCTCAGCTGCCCTGAGCCCCAACATCTCTCTCCTCAGACCCTTGCTGGGGGCACTGGAGGCTAGCTCCTTCATGCTGGGGTCCCTCACTGGCACCCTGTTTTGCAACTTGGAGGTAACTGGCCCTCGGCAACACACACCACTCTGGGCTCCCAACTCAGTACAGAGAAGTGTGATGAGCAAGCAAGGGCCTGGGCCACGCCCAGCAGTCCTTTCTGTTTGTCAGAAATGCAGATGACTTCTCAGTTTAAGATCAAGCAATTCATAAAATTAAAATAATAACAGCTCAACTTAAGCAAGCGCTTTTATGTTCTAGTCACTTACCCTAGCACTTGAGGTTTGTCAATTTAATTCTCATAACAACCCCAGAGGAAGATAAGAAGATAATATCGTCCCTTATTTACCAACTGGGACAATTTACTGTTGTCCAAGTGCTCTGGGCAGGACAGAAGGGTGTGGGTGTGCTGCTTCCAGGCTTGGAACAGGAGGTAGAACAATGAACAATGACAGAAAGTATTAATAGGCCAGGCACGGTGGCTCACACCTGCAATCCCGGCACTTTGGGAGGCCAAGAAGGGCGGATCACTCGAGGTCAGGAGTTTGAGACCAGCCTGGCCACCACGGTAAAACCCTGTCTCTACCAAAAATACAAATATTAGCTAGGCATGGTGGTGCATGCCTGTAATCCCAGCTACTTGGGAAGCTGAGTCAGAAGAATCACTTGAATCCAGGAGGCAGAGGTTGCAGTGAGCCGAGATTGTGCCACTGCACTCCAGGCTGGGTGACAGAGCTAAGATTCTGTCTCAAAAAAAAAGAAAGAAATATTAATAGAAGTAGGAAAAGGTTGGAGGGAGGTCTCAGGGTAGGGCAGGTTCTGAATGGCACGAAATAATGGCCAGGCTACTCCGCCGTATGAATGCCCATCAGCTGAGCCTAACAGGCAGGCCTCCAGACACACCGCAGCCAGTTCCTGAGGGCTTTTGTGTGTCAGGGTGCAGGTCTGCTGGGCTGCCAGCCAACTTGACATCACCTCTCTTGCCTGCCAATAAAACTGAACCTTCTAACGAGGTTATCCATTCCTGATTCCCTGGGCTCATAACCCTTCTAGGTGGCCTTTCTGGTCACTCAGGGGTGGGCCTTCATACCTGCGTCTCTTTACTTCCTCCCACCATCACTCTAAGGCCTCTCCCTGGGAGCTGGCTGAGCTCACTCCTGCACATTTGGCTGTCTTTAGAACTCCTGGTCCCAAATTGCAGTTCTGGCCCCTCTGGCTGCTGGGGAACATAACCTCTGCCTGCTCCCCAGGGGCTCACCGTGTGGGGGAGCAAATCATGTATATCCAGTGCTGTGAGTGGCTCCAGTCATGGAGGAGCAAGGATGAGTTCTGCCTGGAAGAATCTGGGAAGGCTTCCTGGAGGAGGGAACAATGGCATGGACCTTGAAGAGTCAGAAGCTTTCAATTCATTCCATTCAAGCATTGCTCTCATGTGGCATTCAAGCATTCTATAGTGCTTGCCGTGACTCAGGCGCACAGTGCAAAAGGAAGCACATCTTTCTCTGCCATGAGGACTTATTAGTGTCTGAAGAGCTTTTTCTGGACTATAGGAGAAAGTCATGGTCTCCCTCACTAATAAACACTGACCCTGCTTCGGATGAGCTAACAGCCCTGCTCAGAAAGCATGACACCCATCCTGTTCACTTTTCCCTGCCCCGGTCAAACCACCAAGCCCTAGATTTCATTGCCAAGTATCCTGTATTTACTGGGAATGGACATCACAGTAGCATGCCTTCCTAGCCACATCTATGAGGTTTTGTTCATTTTCATTCTGCTTTTTGTTTGAGCTAAACCTGCCTTGGGAGGCAGAAAAGAAAAGATAACATCTGATTCCCCCGATCAACCAACCAATCAACTAGGTCAGGGCCACGTAAATTCATTCAGGACAAGCACTGAGGTCAAACTCCCCAGTGATCCTCACCCTCCTCCAGAATTTCCACTTCCCGAAATGAAGCAAAGAGCGGTAGACAGGAGTCATCCCTTCTTGTGGCTCCCAACCTGGGGCAGCCCCCTGCCTCCCTTTAGATGGGCAATCGGCTTAGAAAGTGGAGGGGAAGCCAGTGTGGATCTACTCACAGAATGTTCTTTTGGTTTCCAGCCAGGATTGCTACAGTTGTGATTGGAGGAGGTGAGTCTGTGGGGAAGGGGCTCAAGTAACCACCTGCCCCTAGGGAGGTGGACTTGGGGAGCAGCTGGCCTTGTCCATGCCAATGTTTCCCTCACATGGGTGGTCAGGGGAGGAGGTGGGGATGAGGGGCTAAGTATGAACCAAGGAGCTAGAAATACAGCACTGGAAGCTGGAAGCAGGGGGCTTGGAGACTGGGAGCTGGAGTGCGTGTGGGCAGGGTGTGGCAGCAGCCGGCAGAGGCCATTTCCCCTTGGCAGAACATTCACCATGTGACCCTGAGCATGTCTTTGAACTCCTCTGAGCTCCTGTTTCCTCTCCAGAGAAAAGGCTGGTAATGCCCATTCAGGGTTATGGTCAGGATTGCATAGGGTGAAACAATAGAGATTGAACACAGTAGACATGAAAGAGATGCCAGGGCTCAGCTCCCTTTGGTTTAGTTGCTTCCAGTGTGCTCTGTGGCAACACCACGGAGCCCTAGAGCTGTCTCTTTGAGCCGCTCTGAATGTGCCTCTTACATAATCTCCTGGGCAACATCTGCTCCCCTAATGAGATTTGCTCCCCAGCAAAGATAAGAAACTTGCCAACCACTCCCCTGGTCCAGCATTTGGCCAAGGCAGACACTGAGGCTCTGAGGACAAGTGGCTTTCCCAAGGAAGGTCCTGCTGCCCAGAAGAGCTTGGCCCAGAGCCCTGTGCCCAGTGACCCCACTAGCTTTTCCCTCTACTTTCCCCGCCTGGCTGTGCTCCCCTTGATTCGTGCCTATTGGCCGTGCCCATAGTCTCTCCCAAGCTCAAAGTTCACCTCTTTCTCCAGATCCCCTGGGGTCCCCAAGCCTGACTCAGTGTATCTGGGGGGGTCCCTTCTGAGCCCACGCACCGACCCAGCTCCTCTTCCCTGCAGTTGTGGCCATGGCGGCTGTGCCCATGGTGCTCAGTGCCATGGGCTTCACTGCGGCGGGAATCGCCTCGTCCTCCATAGCAGCCAAGATGATGTCCGCGGCGGCCATTGCCAATGGGGGTGGAGTTGCCTCGGGCAGCCTTGTGGCTACTCTGCAGTCACTGGGTAAGTATCCTGGCGGGGCTTGCTGGGGAGGGCGATGAGGAGGGCAAGAGCCTCCAAGGACCCAGTCCCAATCTCAACCCTATGAACCTCAATCTCCCTGTTCCTCTGTCTCTCTCTACACATTCTCTCAGGGTTTCTCTGAGGGAGATGGAGGAGGGAGGGAAGGAGCCCAAGCCAGGAACAGTGCACTCAGGAAGACTCAGCCCGAAGCAGATTTGCTGGGTTACCTGGGGCGTCTCCTCCCCTCTGGGGTGCAGCCTCCTTCCCTGAAGAGCGAGGCTGCTTCTAGCTCTGGAGTTCACCATGGGGGTTCATGCCTGCAGCAGCCTCTCCCCAAACAAAGACCCCGAGGGTACTGGGAAACAGAGAGGGGAACTGGGTGGGGTCTGTAAGCCTCAGCCCCTGCTGAGGGTCACTGGAGTCTCTGACCCCACAGTCCTGCCCACAGAGCTTCCCCGACAGGCATGTCCCACTCTGTCCACCCTCTGCTTCTTCCCAGGAGCAACTGGACTCTCCGGATTGACCAAGTTCATCCTGGGCTCCATTGGGTCTGCCATTGCGGCTGTCATTGCGAGGTTCTACTAGCTCCCTGCCCCTCGCCCTGCAGAGAAGAGAACCATGCCAGGGGAGAAGGCACCCAGCCATCCTGACCCAGCGAGGAGCCAACTATCCCAAATATACCTGGGGTGAAATATACCAAATTCTGCATCTCCAGAGGAAAATAAGAAATAAAGATGAATTGTTGCAACTCTTCCCAGAATCTCTTCTTCTCGCTGGCTGTGGGGCAGGCCCAGCATACTTGGGGTGGGGAGGGGGCATGTTAGGCTCAGGAGTATCAGGAAACGCGTTCGTATGTTGTTTTGCTCCTTCTTTCCACACCCTCTATGAGCACATGCTGTGGTCCAGGCACTGGGCTGGGCCCCAGGGAACAGAGGGGACACAGCTCGGTCCCCTTGGTCCCCTCAACCCCCACAGCCAGCGACACTCACGGTCTGCTGAAGGGATGGACCCACAGGCCGATGGCCATGGGCACGGACCTCTGATAAGTGCTATGCCAGAGGCCAGCCCATGGCTCTGGGGGCCAGAGGCATGTTGAGGAAGGGGAGTGTGGATTTTATCCTGAGGACTTCGGAGAGGCACTGAAGGGTTTCAACAGGCCAGCGACCACAGACACTACAACCCTGCGCACCCTGCCCTGGGGAGGGGTCATGTTAGGCTCAATTCTCTTTCCCCACACTGTCATCACAAAAACTTGGGATGTGATGAACCGAAATGAATCTAAATTTGAAGACAAGCTGTCCCCTCCCCTGCTACAACTCCATATATAACCCTGGGCAGGTCACCTCCTCTCTGAACCTGTTTGCCCCTCTGTAAATGGGGAGTTGAACTAAATGACCTTCAAGATCCCAGCCAGGGTTTGTGTTTGGCTCAGTTCATGTGGCTCAGGTTTGTGTTTGGCCGTAGTGTCTGTGATCACTGCAAACAGAGTGAGTCCCTGTCTCAAAAAGTAAAAAAAAAAAAAAAAAAAAAAAAAAGAAATTATCCGGGTGGCTCTGATCCAATGACATGAGCCCTTTGAAAGCAAAGAAGCAAAGAGCAGCAGAACTGTGAGTCTAGTGCTACAGACATTTCAAAAACTTGAACAACTCATCCATGTCTCTTAATTGGGTCAACGAAGCATGGTTTATTGCTTCATTGCAACTTAATTGTTTATTTCAACTTAATTCCAGCCATAGGAATTAAGCTTCTCAAGATATTCTTTCAATACGTGATTCTTTTCCCCCACCTCCCCCTTTCTTTGATGCCTTGGGGAATCTGAAAAAAGCTGTGAAACTTCTCCCCACAAAATGTACACATTCCCCAAATAACACCCTCATTGTCAGGGCTTTCATTAGAACATCAGAAGACCCTCATTGGAATGAAAGGTACAACCCCCCGCATTAACTAGAAATCCAAGCCCTTCCAAAAGGAAAGCACTTGGGTCTGACCTGCGTCTGGGACGATGGACGAGCCTGCATCCCAGCTGAAGCCCAGTAAATGGTCCTGCAAGGCAGGTCACCCTGGAGCACCCATTATTCTAGGTGTGAGTCCTGACCTCCTCCCTCGTCCCCCTCATGAAGATGAGGCCTCCCGGTTCCCAGAGGACCTGTTTCCATTCTGGCACTGAGCCCCTCACCCCCACCTCGGTTCTGTGGCTCTCACCCCCACCTTGGTTTTGTGGCTCTCACGTGGTTCTTTATCTTTAAACCCTCAGCTTCGACCTTTGTAGCAGGCAGAATTCTAAGAATGGTGCCCAATAACCTCCCTAGAATAATCCCCTCCTCTCTGGGTGTTGGTGGAACTTCTGAGCATGTTGAGCTATCACTCCTGTGATTTTGTTACATTAATGGCAAAAAGGAGATTATCGGCTGGGCAAGGTGGCTCATGCCTGCAATCTCAGCACTTTGGGAGACCAGAGGGATTCCTTGAACCCAGGGGTTTGAGACCAGCCTGGGCAACATGATGAAACTTCATCTCTACAAAAAAACACAAAAATTTAGCCAGGCATGGCAGTGCACACTTGTTGTCCCAACTACTCAGGAGGCAGAGGTGGGAGGATCACTTGAGCCCAGGAGGTTGAGGCTGCAGTGAGCCACAATTGTGCCACTGCACTCCAGCCTGGGCAAACAGAGTGCAACCCTGTCTTAAAAAAAAAAAAAAAAAAAAAAAGAAAAGAAATTATCCAGGTGACTCTGATCCAATTACATGAACCCTTTGAAAGCAGAGAGTTTTGTCTGCTCACAGCAGAAAAGGAAGTCAGAGATTTGAAGCATGCAGGGGATTTGATGTCTGTCTCTGGCTTTGTGGATAGGGATGCCATGAGCCAGGGAACGCAGGTGGCTATTAAGTGCTAAAAGCTGTCTCCAGCTGCCAGCCCACAAGAAAATGGGGCCCTTAGTCCTACAATGGCAAATAACTGAATTCTGTGAATAATCTGAAGGAGCTTGGAAGCCAATTCTTACCAGAGCCTCCAGATGAGAGCCCAGGCTGGCTGAAACCTTCCATTTCTGCCTTGTGGGGCCATAAGCAGAGAACTCAGAACTTCTGACCTGCAGAACTATAAGATAGTAGTGGGTGTCACTTAAAGCCAACTAAGTTTGTGGTAGTTTGTTACACAGTAGTAGAAAATGTATGCAGCCTGGATACCCTGTCTCCCTTCACTGGGCTGAGGCTTTTTCACCCAGGAGCTGGCTGAACTGACTCTGGCAGCCCCAGGATTCCTGACACTCCTGGCCCCAGATGGCCCCTGGGACACCAGGTTCTACTCCTGTGGGATGCCAGAAGAATCTGCCTGCCCTCAGGCCTGCAGTGTTAGGGAAGCCAGGCACATCCACAGCTAACTGGGCTGTGGCACACAGTGGCTCAGCAGGCTGAACAGGGATGCAGAGAATTCTCATTGCAGGGATCTAGAATGGCTTCCTGTTGAGACTGGTGTCTTCACCAGAGAGGCAGAGGCTGCTAGTAGTCACCCAATGCCTGTTCTTTCCTTCTGGATGATACAAGAGAGCCCTGGCTTTGGCTAGGCACACGATCCCTAGGGAAGAACTGCATTCCCAAACCCTCTTGCAGTTAGACGCACTCATCTGGGTATGCAGTTAAAGGGATTGGATGGGCCCACCTTTGCCCCTTTGTCCTTTCCCATGGGCTCTGCTGCAGGTGAGAGAGTGAGCATCTTACACTCATAGCTGAGAACAACACCTTGCAGAAGGCAGAGCAACAAGACTGCAGGAGCCTGGGTCTCCCAGAGCAGAGTCACCACCCTGGCTGATATTTCTAGATGAAAGAGAAGAAACTTCTCTTGTGTAAGCCAAGAGGGTCTCTTACTGCAAACAAACATACATTCTATTGCACACAGTAGGGAATCTTTTGATTGCAAGCAATGGAAGAATTAACCCAATAAAGAGAGTTGCTTCCATCTCTGTTCCATTTCAAAACACCATTAAAATAACAGTCAAGGATCAAAGAAAAGCATAAGCCCACAAGGACAAAGAGAAGAAAAAAGGAGATGACTCCACAGAAGTCACACCTGCTTTCTCTAAACCCACCAATTGGAGCCTGAACCCCGCAAAAGAAACCTGCTTGGGTAACGCCCTGGACCCCCATAAAGGCCCACAGCCAGAAATGACATGGACAAGTGGTTCCACTTAGCAGCCCCAAGAAAGCTGGACATTAAGTTGTCAGTAAAGAGAGCAGAAAGAGTCAGCTTTGCCCTATAGGACCCTGAAGGCTCAGCCACTAGAGCAGCATGGGCTTTGGAGGTGGGCATGAAGGTAGATTGAGAGCAGGAGGGCTGGCTGGAAGTCTGCTTAAGAAGCAGGAAAACCCCAGGATTCCCCCTCCAGTAGACCACTGGAGAGTTATCTTTGGAGAGGTTGAGTCTCTGGACTAGGGGCCACCAACAGGACTGAGGGCAGGAGCTTCACACTAAAAATGAAAGTTTCCATACTAAGTGTTAAGTCTCTCAATCTTCTTTATCAATAGACACCTAGAACACTAGCAGGCAGGCTATGACATTCAGGATGGAAGTGCAGTGAACTCTTACACTGTTATGTTGCCTTGGCCTCCATTCTGAATCTAACTGGGACTTTCTCACACCAGAAGTAGGGTTTGGTCACCCTTGACACAGTTTCCAATTCTTTGCTGCCTTCCAGTCTCTTAAGATGGTCGATCCATATATCTGCCTTATAAACTGCCTTGTGGTGACCACCTCCTTATGGGACACCTAGATACCACCTACTTGATTCACCTCTCAATCACAGTGTGACTCCACAGAAGTCATGCCTGCATGCTGTAAACCCACCAGTTAGAACCCCAAAGGGAAACCTGCTTGGGTAATGCCCTGGACCCTCATAAAAGCCCACATGTCCCTCGCCCCCTCTCTCTCGCTCTCACCTGCTGTTTGAGCACGTGTGTCCTGGAGGGCGCCCTGTTCCCATTGGCCCTGGATGGCACTCTGCCCTCTTCTCTCTGGGACCTGTAAGCAATAAACTGTTTCTGTTATTTCATGCATTTTGTTGAGTTGCCTCCTCTGAGTCTCATCTGACCAATACACATAAACCTGACTCCCCTCCTAGAGTGTGACTATCTTGGTAGGAATAAACTGGACACAAGTCAGACAAGAGCCACAAAAGCATGTGCCAGTATAAACAAGTTTCCTGTGACGAGACTGCCTGGTCATGAGTTGGACATTTAGGCCTTAGGCTGTCCTCCAGGATAAAGAATAAAGAAGTTTCCTGTGCTTTTACATTGTAAACATCCAAGACCAAATTTCTAGAGCCCCATCAGCACAGGGCTAGAATTTATAGCCACTCTCCAGAGAGAGTGAGAGAGAATGAGAGGCCAAATGAGAGGGGAAAAAAAAGCAAAAAATGTGTGTGTGGGTTTAGGGGGAGATTCTTCCCAGGCATGTTACCAGCCCAGGAAAATAAATGCTCACATTCTGACACTCTGGGAAGAAACTGGCCATTGAAAGCCTGGGTCAGATCACAGTACAGTCCTCGGGTTGATGAGAACAGCCCCTGTGGCCAAGCCTGCCATTGGATATCTACAAAGGCTCAGATATGACGGGGAAGCAGGTGTGAGCCCCTCATGTCTCTGATCCTCTCCCTCCTATCACCCCCAGCTGCAGCCCATCCAGGAGCACTCACCCTCTGACAGCTGTGAAGCTTCAACACCGGCTTCCCCACCCACCAGGAGACTCAAGGGACCCAAGGGAGACTGGAGTGGCTGCTCTGAGTTTGTGGAAAACCGTGGGCACAGGAAGGAGTTATGAGCTGTGAGGACTGCAATGAGCCCAAGTGGGAGATGGCTGGAGTGCTGTGACTTCCAAAGCACCTGGACTGGGGGAGGGAGGAAAAGAGCTTCTATGTCCTGCCACTCTGCCCTCTGTTCTCCTGAGTCCCCATACCAACCTCTGGGTCACCTATGGGACACCCTAAATAGCCACAGGGTGGTCCTAAAAGTGCTGGAACAAGAAGATCAACAAGAAGATCAAAACAAATAACACTTACATACACACACCATGGTCAAGTCACTGCTCATGTCTCATTACATAAAATCCTCACACCATTCCAAGAAAGGTGACGCTCCTGGTCCTATTTTATAGATGTTGTTAGAAGAACTTGTAAGAAGTTGATCCAGAGAACCCCACTCCTGCTGCTATTAAAGATGGGCATCTTTCCGTGGCTGAAAATGATCAACTTTGCAGGTTATTCCCAGTAGATCTGCAGCCTGAATCTGGTTGCCTGCCCACTAACTCTCTCCAGCTGCCTCCTTGAGCAACCAGCCTGCACTCAGGGAGGTAAATTTACTTTTACAGTGAATCAAACAATTTCAGATTGATGAAGAGGTCCGGGGTGGGAGTGGGGGCAGAGCAGTTCAATAATTTTAACCATTTTGGGACCAGCCTCAGCCAAACTCTCTTGAGTGTCTTTGGTAACAGGGATTTACTAGTGGAAAAGATAACTGAGAAGAAACATTTAAAATTGAAATTGAGCCAGGCTTTCCCTTGACAAATTGCAAAGACCTAGGGATCAATCACTGGTTTGAGTGGTTTACCCCATTGCCCCATGCCTTGGCACATGGCACTGCCCAGGGTAGCCCAGCTGGGGAACAGCCCCAAAGTTGAGCTGTATCCTCTTCTAAGATTCGGACAGGTCAGGGGCTACCTGTGGTGCTGAGCGGGTGAATCATTGCACAGAGATGGCAAAGCCACCTGTCTGAGCTTTATCCCAAGGGAAGGAGATGGATAAGACCTGAACACAGCCAGATTTCAGGAGCAATACGATAGAGTGCTGTGGCTATCTTAGGCTCAGGCCTATGGGCTCCTGAGTGGGGACAGAGAAGAGAGTGGGAAGCAGCCTTAGCTGAGACACCAAGATGAGATGTTATGTTTTGGCTGTGTCCCCACCCAAACCTCATCTTGAATTGTAGCTCCCATAATCCCCATGTGTTGTAGGAGGAACCCAGTGGGAGGTAACCAAATCATGGGGGCTGTGCTGTGCTGTTCTCATGATAGTGAATAAGTCTCACGAGATCAGATGGTTTTATAAAAGGCAGTTCCCCTGCACACGCTCTCTTGCCTGCTGCCATGTAAGATGTACCTTTGCTCCTCCTTAGCCTTCTGCCATGATTGTGAGGCCTCCCCAGCCATGTGCAACTGTGAGTCCATTAAGACCTCCTTTTTTTTTAAATAAATTACCCAGTCTTGGGTATGTCTTTATTAGCAGCGTGAGAACAGACTAATACACAAGGATGTAAGTGCAAGTGGCTTATTTGGGAGGTGATCCCAGGAAACACCAACAGGGGAATGGGGAGGCAAGCAATAGAAGGGACAGCAGCCCAGAAAGGGTCGATTAATGAGTGACTTTGCAATGCAGGCTACTGAGGCTCAGTCCCGCTGGGGACCACTGGAGACAATGTGGAACAGGCAAGAGTTGTCCCACCTGTAGGGAGTTAATCGCCCGACTCCCATCCATCATTGGCTGAGGTCTATTCTGGATCAACGCGTGGACACTTTCAGCCTGTCTTGCGGGCCTCATGGGTGGGACCCTGGGGCGGGGGGTCAAAGGTGCTGGATGTAGGGAGCAGTAGGCAGGGACTAGAAGAGAGAGTGTAGCGGGTAGGGGCAACAGTACAGACAGGACAAATGATATTCATGCTGGGAAATGTGTATGTCTTTTCTTCTGGCTAGGCCTTTCCCTGGGGATTGAGTCAATCCAAGCAGGAGTCGAGCTGGACTTGGGTTTTGTAGTTGCCCTATGCTATGGTTTGAATGTTTGTCCCAACTCATGCCGATATTTAATTGCCATTGTAACAGTGTTAAGAAAGAGGGCCTTTAAGAGGTAAGCCACAAGGGCTCCACCCACGTGAGATTAATGCCATTATAGAAGGGTGAGTTTGGCTCTCTTTTTCTCTTTCTCATCTTCCCGCTTTCCATCATGTGCTGATGCAGCAAGAAGGCCCCCAAACATACTGGTACCTTGATATTGCACATCCCAGCTTCCAGAACTGTGAGCCAATACATTTCTATTAGTTATAAATTAACCAGTCTGTGGTTTTCTCTTACAGTGGCACAGACTAAGACAATGTGGTTGCTGTGCATGTGCCACTGGCTTCAGATCAGTGTTACCCTGTGCTTAGGGTGGAGGCTGGCTTGCAGAGGAGTTTGCTCAGTGTCTTTAAGCTTCTGCACTGTGCCTGAGCCTTGGATATGGTCTCTGCACATCTGCCCCATCCCCAGTGGTAGACATCTGTTTGCTTGTTATTTGCTAGCCTGGTTGGATGGGAGAAGTTGGATTCTCTATGATCCTCATCCAGCCTCAGTCTAGGCAGGCCCTGTGTGTTTGGGGCTTAGGGGTGGCATTTTCTCAAGATCCCTGCCCCTCTCCTAAGGGTAGCAGGTCTCCAGGTCTGGGCTCAGGATGGTTTCTTGCTCTTCCCCAAGGGCGGAGGGTTTTACTTTTTCTTCTCCTTCTGCAATTGTCTTTGCATGAGCTTTGGAAGCTACAGGGTCGGCTGTCTTTCCCCCGCAGCTTAAGGTTTTTGTGCCCTTCTAGAAGAGAAGGAAGGTGGGGGGTATTTGATGCCCTTCTTGCTCCCTTCCTCCAGTCTTGCCCCTTCCAGGGAAGCTTTCTTCAGGACCCTGCAGGGACCCAGTCCGCAGGGAAAAAGGTCTGCATGTTGGTAGGATCCATGTTGTCTCTGTGGCTTCTGAAGGTTCTATGCACTCACGTGAGTCTTAGTTGGCCTTTAGCAATCACTTAAGACTTTTAGCTGATTCCTTACTCGCTTGTGCAATGGACCCCAGGGGGCTCAGTGATCCAGAGTCCTGTCTCTCCCTGGAGGCACCTGACTGTCCTGCGTTCAGGCCATCTGGTGCCCCTGCAACCTCAGCTGTCCTAGGAGTTCAAGGAAAGTAATGATTTTGGAGACTGGCCTTTTTTTTTTTTTTTTTTTTTTTTTGAGAAAGGGTCTTGCTCTGTTGCCCAAGCTGGAGTGCAGTGTGCAATCTCGGCTCATGGCAACCTCCACCTCCCTGGCTCAAGAGATCCTCCCATCTCAGCCTCCCAAGTAGCTGGGACCCAGGCATGTGCCAATGCACCCGACTAATTTCTGTATATTTTGTATAGATGGAATTTTGCCATGTTGCCCAGGCCGGAACTCCTGGACTCAAGTGATCCACCCTCCTTGGCCGCCCAAACTTCTGGGATTACAGGTATGAACCACTGTACCTGGCCAGCTCTTCCTTCTTGATAGGTTACCAAGTGGTCTATAAGATGCCTTGTGTGCACCCAGAAGGCTGCCTTAAGACCATCTGTTAGAGTGTGGGCGGAAATTTTAGAACTTGTATTTCTACTTATACCTCATTCTTTGAAACACCTCCAGGGAATGAGGCTTCTCTGGCAGGAAGTGAGACTTCACCCTAGCAGTGAATGGAGCATCAGGGGACACCCAAAAATGCCTGTCACCAGGGTAGGAGCTGTGAATACCCACGAAGTTCCTCCTTGGGGAACAGGGGAATCAAAAAAAGTCTAACTTACAAATGTAGTCATCTCCCATCCCATGTTATTTCTCTTTTTTTAAAAAAAATTATTTTATTTTTAAATTATTTATTATTTTTCAGTTTTCCAGAGGCTGAAGCTAAGAAATTCTCTCCTGTCCTTTAGGTCTTAGGCAAAGCGTCTCTGTTTCAGAGGCCTTCTTTGACCATCTCATCTAAGGAGGGCCTCTGTTATTCTCACATGATTACATTCATCACACAGCCTGGCCTAATGGTGGTGGGAGCCAAGGGTTAGGAGAATGAAGGGAAAAGGTTCAGTCCCTGCCATATCTGGGTCTCCAGACAGGGAGGCTGGAGCTGTCTCATGGGTTATGGGCAGCAGCCCTCAGTGGTGACGGCTTCTGAGGGGCCAGGAACATGGCAGGAAGGAGCAAGATGCTGAGACCTCCAGACGAGGCAGAAGTAGACAGATGCCCCTTCTGCTCTGTTCTCTGTGTAGTTGATGCTGCTACCTTGGAGGAGAGGAGAGGCAGCCTTCTCTGTCACCCCTTCATACCTGAGCCCTTGGGGAAAAGGGCTCAGGTTTTGTCCTGGACACTTGGCCTCTCTTTCCTGGGTTCAGCTGTGCAGGCAGTCCTTGGGAGGAAGATGGAGACCAGGGTGCTCCCCTTGTGGGGCCTGGGCTGCCGCTGTCCTCTGAGTGGCTCAGAGCCTAGGTCTCTGTCCCACAAAATACAGGGGAGTTTCAGGAGCAGCAGACATGCATGTGCCTCAGCATAAGGAATCTAAAATGTATGGGGGCAGAAGGACAGCTGGGGGTCATCCAGAGCAGACTTGCCTCCCTGTAAAACCTCCACACTTGGGACTTCCCTCCTGCCTCTGTTGCTCTCCATGGCTGCCTAGAGGTCCCCTTCCTCTCGCTGGCTTCTCGGAGGTATTGCCTTCCACCCACACTGCCATGGAAATGCCTAGTTACATCTCCCTCTCCAGTTCTCTCACTGAGCAGCTGGGACTTCCTTCCTCCTGGGACACCTTTCCCTTTGCCTGCCTCCTCCTCTGTCAGACTTCCATTCGCCTTTCAAGGCCCAAGCCTTTTGCCTCCTCTTCCAGGAAGCCTCCCCAGATGTGAGAATATATCTCTGCCTCCTCTGTGCTCCCTGCTTGTGGCTGGAGTCCATTACTGCACTGAACATAATGCTCTGTGTCACTTTTGTTTGGGTAAGTGCCCAGTTTCTCCTGACATCATAGTCTCCTGGGGGTCTGTGTGGACCCCTCCCATCCACTGTAGCACCCGTCACATGAACAAAGACTGGAGTCGTTAGGTGACTGATATAGTTTGGATGTTTGTACCCTCCAAGTCTCATGTTAAAATGTGATTCCCCAGTGTTGGAAGTGGGGCCTAGGGGCAGGTGTTTGGGTCATGGGGGCGGATCCCTCATGAATGACTCCGTGTCCTCCCCACAGTAAGGAGTGTTTTCACTCTATTCGTTCACAAGAGAGCTGGCTACTTAAAAGAGCCTGGCATCTCTCTTGCTCCCTCTCTTGCCACTTGACACACCTGCTCCTCCTTCCCCTTGTGCAATTGTAAGCTTCCTGAGGCTTTCACCAGAAGTAAATGCCGGCACCATGCTTCTTGTACAGTCTGCAGAACTGTGGGCCCAATAGACCTCTTTTCTTTATAAATGACCCAGCTTCAGGTATTCCTTTATTGCTACCCCAAACAGCCTCACACAGTGAGGGTGTGGTCAGGGTTCCAGGTCTTCACGCATGAACTCAGCCTCTCCTTCAATTTTCCAGCCACATTTTGGTGACCATTCCTGACTCAGCCTCCTCCCCTCAAAGTGCCTAGAGCCTGCATGTAACACTGGACACATTGTCTTTTCCTGCTGGCTTGCTTATCGGCCTTCTGACAAGACTTTGAGGTTAGGCAAGGGAAGGATGGTGTCCTGCTCATTCTGGGTATCTAGTGCCATTAATGAAGAACAGAGGGCTCTACAGTCAGTGGTTCCTGAAGTGCCCTGGCTACCCCTCACCCCTGCCTCCCAACAGGAGCCTGTGACAATGCCAACATTGAATAAGGGGGAAACTGAGGCCCAGAAAAGGCCCACGAATGGCCCTGGGTCACACGGCCCATCTCCGTAAGGCTGAGACCAATCAAAGCCTTCTGCCTACCGATTATCTGCGTGGCCAACCACCTCCCTCTGCCCCTCCATGACAGGGCAGTCTAGGAGAGAGGGAGAACTGGAAACCTCCAGCTCAGAACACCAACCAGAGCTGCAAGAAGCAAAACAGGGAGATGCATCTGCATGTGACCTTTATTCCTCATGTTTCTCTGACTTGAGTGGGGGTTTTGGAGGTTCACCTTGGGGTACATTTTCTCTTGCCTCATCTTCTTTAGCCTCGGGTTCAGCTGGGAGAGAAGAAGAAGGTGAATTCCCCAAGCAGGCCCCCAACACTGACCCAACAGAGGCCAGGAGGATGTTGGATGATGTGGAGAGTCCAGCTGCCCCTGTGGAGGAGACAGAGAATGAGCACAGGGGTCGGGCAGTGGCCCAGAAATCCCACCCGGATCCCTCCTCCAGGTCCTGAAAATCCCAGGGCTCTGCCATGGGTAGAAGCTGCTAGAGGCAACTAAAAGACAGCTCAGGGGTGAATTCACGGAAACTGAGAGACAGAGGGAGAGTCATCCACAGACAGACCCTAAGAGCTACAGAGCCCCTCACTTTACACAGGAGGCCACTGAGGCCCAGAGAGGACAGGGGACCTTGCCCAGGTCACCCAGGTGTCAGAACCCAGGCATTGCTCTTGGCCTAGGTTCCTTTCCTCTTCTCCCTACCCAGCACCCCATCACCCCTCCACTCCTACCCCAAACCTCACTCAGAAGGAGCCAGAAGAGGGGACAGTGAGGGAGAGACTGAAGACCCAGGAAGCTGAGGGTCACGGAACTTCAGGGTGAGAAGAGCTTCCCTCGGGCTCAGCCTCAGGGCTGGATCTTCTCGCAGCTCTGGTGGTCCTGTCTAGGACACTTACCCACGGACTGCAGAGTAGCCACCAGGCTCCCCGCAGAAACACCACCCCCGTTGGCAATGGCTGCTGCGGACATCATCTTGGCTGCTATGGAGGACGCGGCGATTCCTGCCCCAGTGAAGCCCATGGCACTGAGCACCACGGGCACAGCCCCCACTGCCAGGGCTGTGGGGAGAGAGAAGCTGAGTGCAGAGGTGGGCTCAGGAGAAGGGACCCTTCCCCCCGCCCCCCGCTTAGGAATTCCTTGACAGTTTCCGGAGACTGTCAGCTTGAGCAATACAGAGATGGCAACTTAGTGGTCTTCTGGTGAAGAAAAGGTGGAGTGTGGAGCCAGGTGAAGCAAAGATGTCATAGAAGGACCAGCCATGGCCCTGGTTTGTCTCTAACTTGCTGTGTGATGCTGAGGAAGTCAATACCCTTCATTGGTCTCAAATTTGTGTGTGTGTGTGTGTGTGTGTGTGTGTGTCCACGCATAAATGTGAAATAAGCCACGTGGAGTTTAGCTGCAAATCCTCTTTCAAACGATCTTCCTCCTATGCTTATTCGACATAAGGACTAGAAGAGAAGCTGGGTCAGGAATGGGAGTGAGCTTTTCCCTGGAGTATTTTGATGCTGTGGCTCACTCAGGCTACTCGGGCAGCTTCGGAAGTGGAGGGTGAGAGCCAGCCCAGCGCCTCATCTCTGCGTTCTCCCAGCAGCCCGGGGACCAGGCTAGGTGAGGGCCTGGAGACAGGCGATCCGGGTAACTTACCTCCTCCCACTGCAGCAGCAGCTGCCCGTTCTAGAGAGAGAGTGCCAGGGGAAGGCAGAGGGAGATGGGAAAGGGGAGAAAGAGGAGAGAGAAGGGCAGAAAGGGAGGGAGGGGGAGGGAAGCAAGGAGCGGAGGGAGGAAGGGAAGGGGAGGGAGGAAGGGAGGGAGAGGGAGTCAGTAGGTCAGCTGGTTGATGAAGTCAGGGAATGAAGCTATTCCCTGTCCCTTCCTGGGCTGGGGTTGGGGAAGCCTGCCCCCAGCCCAGCCCGCCAGCCCCCTGGGGAAGCAAGACTCACTCATCATGGTGAGGCCGTCCGGGTCCCAACTTGGCCCAGGAAATGACAGCGTTCTTGGGGTGTTACTTCCCCCTCCATCCAGTAGGGACGCGCCTACTCTGCCCTAGAGAGACGCAGGCCCCGCCCCCCGCCCCACCCCGCTCGCCCGGGAGCCTTCGCGACTCCCCGGCTCGCCTGTCCCGGCTTGATGGATCTACCGAAGAGAAAAGCGCTGGAAAGAACCTGGAAGCCATAGCAAGTGAGCCCCGCTTCCAAATTGCTGTAGCACCGCCCCCCACTCCAACCCCGCCAATAACAGAAGAGCTGTTTGCTGCAAAAACCAAAACCAAAAACAACACAACAATAACAAAGAAACAAACAAAATGCAAGGAGAAAAATGATGTTTAATTTAATAAACGATGTTTAACTTCCAGAGAGACACTAATATAAATACATTCTGGCACGTTTGCTCCCAGCCTATGTCTCCCCTGAATATGTAAACACCCCCTCCACCACTTGCCAATTTCCCTTCACACTCTGCCTTGCAAATTACTTACTTTAGTTAATCAACCATTTAGATTTCCCCAGGCTGCTTAATATCCTTCATCAAGATTTTTAAAAAGTCAAGTTTATTAAGGTGTAGGTGATTTACACAAAGTAAAATTCACCCTTGTAGTGTACACTTCTGTGAGTCTGGGAGGCTTTGACGGCTCTGATTCAGACCGTTTTTTTTTTACATGCCCCGCCCCCTCCTCCATCAATCCTCTCATGCGCTTTTGGAGTCACCCACGCCCTGCTCCTGGCAACCATCCCCGCCCATTTGCCTTTTCCAGAACTTCAATATGATATTTGTCATTAAATATTCCATCCCCTTGGGTTCAACGTATCAGCCCTCCCTTTTAAGTGTTTAAAGTCTAATTTTTGCTCTGATAAGTTATTTTAGCATGAAGTGCTAACATTATGGGGCACAAGTGTTTTCTGTATATTCCTGGAGGTGGAACTGCTGGGTCAGAAACTGTGCATTTTTTACAGCACCTGATACCTGTGTTGTTATGTTGGCATCCAAAACTATTGTCATCAGTTTACATTTTCCCAGCAGTATGTGAGAGAATCTATTTTTTTTCTACTCCTCACTAACAATTAGCTTTGTCGTTAAGAAACAATAACACAAAAACCCTTTGTTGATTTAATAGGTGACTTATTTTAATATACTTTTCTCTTCACCACTAGTGAGACTAAACTATTTTTAAGTGTATTAGCTTCATGTACTCCTTATTTTGTGAGTTATCTTCTCATATTCTTGGATCCTTGTTCTACTGAAGTATTTTTTTCCTTATTGGTATATAGGAATTAATGATATATTAATTATCTTCATCCATTCTCATAGATGTTGCAAATTTTTATTTACACTTCATTCCTGCCTTTTTGGTGTTTTTTTTTTAATAGAAAAGTGTTTAATATTTATGCAAACTTACCAATATTTTACTTTATTATTTTTGTCTTTAGAAAAGGCCATTTCTACTAGCTATTCAATACACTGTCACTTGTATTTTCTTTAGATTCTTCTGGGGTTTGCTACTTAAGATTTACTTTAATCCGTCTGGAATTTAGATTGGTACATATAGTGTTTTCTGTATCCATATATGTCTTAGCCAGTTGTTCCACTACCATTATTAAATCATCTTACATTTCACCTTCGATTTGATATTCCATCTTTATATTCAAAACTCATTAGCTGGTATATATACCAGTATATCTGTTTGGATATTTTCTGTTCTGTTCCAAAAAGCTATCTCTTCTGGCAACAATATCACACTGTTTCAATCTTATAAATTTATTATCTGATTTAAAATCTGACTGTGCATAGCAGTATTGTTAATCCAGGGCTACACATTTTTTGTGAAGATTAAAAACACTTTGTAATGCTCTCTACTATCCTGAAATGAAATTCATAGATAACATCCTCTATTATAGTTACACACAAGGTATTGCCCAAACAAAAGAGAAATACAAGAAAATTACTTGTAATAAAATAGTGTATATTTCAGTATGTACATGCTCAAGCACTATTACACCAAAAGGTATAATGAAAGAATGAGTTGTTTGCAACCATATAAGTTTGGATTTAAGATGATACAATATTCAATGGTAAATTCTTAATTTTTTTTTTCTTGAGATGGAGTCTTGCTCTGTCGCCCAGGCTGAAGTGCAGTGGCGCGATCTCGGCTCACTGTAACCTCCGCCTCCCAGGTTCAAGCGATTCTCCTGCCTCAGCCTCCCGAGTAGCTGGGATTACAGGTGCACGTCACCATGCCCAGCTAATTTTTGTATTTTTAGTAGAGACGGAGTTTCACCATGTTGGCCAGGCTGGTTTCGAACTCCTGACCTCATCATCCGCCCTCCTCAGCCTCCCAAAGTGCTGGGATTACAGGCGTGAGCCACCGTGCCCGGCCAATGCTTACTTTTTTATATTTGATGTTTCAAAACAAGGACCTAAGAAACATATCTATATATTTGTATACATATATCTACATCTAATCACCCTGAATGAGGGAGCTGCAAATACAGGCTGAAGTACATTGCTGCCGGTGACATGATTTTCCGAAATGGTGAATAACTCTTGGTAAAGTTCAGAACAAATCAAAGTACGATTTCTCCCTGATTTACAAGATAACAAAATTCCTAAAAATTCAATCTGTATTAAAACTATGCCAAAAACACGTAAAACATGTTTAAGTTCTAGGCCTAAATAATTATGAGCTTTTTGCTTGTATGAAGAGATCTTTGACATTTATACAGGGTAACTTTTAGCTGTGCAGGATTGTCTTACCTATTTCATTTGTCAGGCCTTCGTTCCCATTCAAGAGCTAAATACAAGCATCCTCTCGCCAATTGCTGACTAATAAAAGCACACCATCAAATTTCCAAAATGCCCCCTAGGGGGCAGTACCATCCTGTTAAAAACTACTGCCTTAGCCTGCTGCCTTAGTATTAATAGTTAAAAACTACTGCCTGCTAAAAACTACTGCCTTTGTTAAAAACCTAGAAGTGTTTATAATTACTTATGGAGAAAATAAAACAAAATAAACAAAACCAATGGCATTAACATTTTTGGCATTAGTTTTAGGACTAATTTGTGCATATTGAGTATTTAACGTGTGTATAAGAACTTGGCGTATGGGGCAGATTACTTATAATTCCAATTTTAATGATGTACTTCCATAAGAGACTTAATCTTATGATTATAAAGTTGAAAGGTATTCTACTTTAAAAACAATTTTGTTAACAAATATTGTTTAAGAAAACTTAACACTCAAAATTATGTTTATTTTATTAAATGTATAAAATTCATCTGTGTTCATGGGAAGTCTTTGCTTGTTAGAGACATATGCAGTGTTTAAAAAGAAAATTGACAATGTTTATATATTTATACACACACACACACACACATGCACACACAAAAGGAAACTAGATTATGTTAATATACATGTAACCTTAAATACTTTGGAGAATTTGCTCAACTAAATTGTAAAAGTCCCCTTAGATGTATAAATAGAATATTAGGATTTTAATTAAAGCTAAGAACTTAAGGATTACTAGATTTTTAATTTATTTCAATAAATTGAATATTAATCTAAAAACCCAAATAGCCTTCAGTGTTTATCAAAGCTGCTTTCAAGGATAACCCAAAATTTCAGTGTGTACCAGCTGCCTTTTTTTCTTTTTCTTTTTCTTTTTTTCTTTGGAGGGGACAGAGTCTTACTCTGTTGCCCAGAGTGGAGTGCAGTGGCATTATCTTGGCTCACTGCAACCTCTGCCTCCCGGGTTCAAGTAATTCTCCTGCCTTAGCCTCCTGAGTAGCTGGGATTACAGGCGTGTGCCACCATGCCCAGCTAATTTTTGTATTTTTAGTAGAGACGAGGTTTTACCATGTTGGCCAGGCTGGTCTCAAACTCCTAACCTCAAGTGATCTGCCCACCTTGGCTTCCCAAAATGCTGGGATTATAGGCATGAGCCACCGAGCCCGGCCACCAGCTGCCTTCTACCACACCCTGAGTAGTGTCAACTGGACCTTTTCTGACTTCCTGGAATATGCAAATAAAGACTGTAAGCCTCAAGCAAACGCAAAAAAAGCACTTAAACCTAAAGGAAAACATTATTAATTATCTGAGCACAATAAAATTAAGAATCTCTGTTTAACAAAAGGCACCATGACAAGAATAAAAATTCGTGCCACATAGTGGGAGAAAATACTTGCCATACACATAACTGACAAAGAATTCATATTCCGAATATATCAATGTCACCTTGATACCAAAACCTGACAAAGGCATTAAAAAAGAACTACAGAAAAATATCCCTTACAAACATACATGCAAATATCCTGAACAAAATACTAGCAAATCAAATCTATAAATATATAAAAGAGACTTATATCATGACCTCATGAGGTTAATATAAGGTGAGTTCAACATTTGAAAATCAATTAATTTACTCCATATACAGAATAAGGGGAAAATATTGTAGTGCATATCAATACATGCTTTGATTAAAAATTCTGAGCAATTTAGGAATAAAGGGAACTTCCTCAACCTTCTAAAGTTTTCTATAGAAAAAAGCAACAAATATCATGCTTAGTGCTGCTGTATTGAATGCATTCTACTTCAGATTGGAAGCAGGCAAGGACATCCACTTTCACCACTTCGATTTAATATCATGATAGAAGCCTTAACCAGTGTAATGAAGAAGGGAAGAAAGAAGAAAAAAATAAGAAAGGTATCAAAATTGGAAAGAAAGATGTAAAACTTTCTTTATTAATGTACAACATTGTTGTTTATGTAGAAAGTACTAAGGAATCTACAAACAACTGCTAGACCTAAGTGAATTTAACAATATTGCAAATACCAATTGCATTTATAAATATCAGCCACACAAAACGAAACATCAATAGCATCCAACTGTTTTCAAATGACACAATAGCATCCAAACTGAAATATTTAGGAATAAATTATGAAAACACATGCAGCACATATAGATTGAAACTACAAATATTGCTGAGAGAAATTCAAGTGGACCTAAAAAAAAGATAAATTACATTCATGGATTGGGAGACTGAATTTTAAGATGTATTAAGTTGTTAATACATCACAAACTGGTCTGTAGATTCAAAGCAATCCCAATAGAAATTCCAGCAGGGTTTAATTTTTTGTGTGAAATTGACATGATGTTTCTAAAATATATACGGAAATGCAAACGACATAGAATACGCTTTTTTGTTTTTTTTTAATGAAAAGATAAAGTTGGAAGATTAACACCGGAGTACTTAATTTCAAGACAGTATAAAGCTACATAATTAAGACAGTGTGATGTTGGTGTGAGGATAGGCAGAGAGATAGATGGGACAGAATAGAAATCCCATAAGTAAACCTAAACATATATGGTCAACTGAGTTTCAACAAAGGTACTAAGGTAATTCAATAGGGATGGTAATTGTTTCAATTGATCCTGGAATTACTGAAGATCCATGTGGCAGGCTAAATAATTAGCCCAAAGATATCAGGTCCTAATCCCTGGAACCTGTGAATGTTACCTGTATTAGTCTGTTTTTACCATGCTAATAAAGTCATACCCGAGACTGGGTGATTTATAAAGAAAAAGAGGTTTAATGGACTCACAGTTCCACATGGCTGGGGAGGCCTCACAATCATGGCAGAAGGTGAAGGAGGAGCAAAAGCATGTCTTACATGGTGGCAGTCAAGAGAGCATGTGAAGGGGAACCGCCCTTTATAAAATCATCAGATCTCATGAGACTTATTCATGATCACAAGAACAGCATGGGAAAACATCCCCCCCATGATTCAATTACCTCCTGCTGTGTCCCTCCCATGACGTGTGGGGATCATGGGAGCTACTTTTCAAGATGAGATTTGGGTGGGGACACAGCCAAACCATATCATTACCTGCAAAGTGTCTTTGTGGATGTGATTAAGTTAAGGATCTTGAGACTGTGAGATATCCTGGATTATCTGTATGGAACCTAAATTCAATCACAAGTATCATTATAAGAAGGAAGCAGAGGAATATCTGATACATAGAAGAGAAGAAGATGATGTGACCACGTGGGCCGGTGCAGCCACAAGCCAAGGATTGCTGGCAGCCACCAGATGCTAGAAGAGGCAGGAAACAGATTCTTCTCTAGAGCCTCCAGAGGCAGCACAACCCTGCTGACACCTTAAATGTGGTCCAGTGATACTGATTTCAGACTTCCGGTCTCCGGAACTGTGAGACAATAGATTTGTTGTTTTAAACTACCAAGTTTATGGTAATTTGTTATAGTACACACAGAAAATTATATAATCCAAATGGAAAACAATCAACCTCCAACTTTACTTCATACCATGCATATATTTGATAAAGGATTCGTAAAAAATGCCTATAGCACAATTTGAAAAAGACAAACTCACTCAATTTAAAAAGGGGCAAAAGGTTTGAGCAAATGCTTCACAAAGCAAAATACATGAGTAGACAGTAACCACACAAAAAAGACTCTCAACATCTTTCGTCATTTGGGAAATGTAAAATGATGCCACCATGGAGCACCACTTCGCGCCCGCTAGAATGGCTAAAATTTAAAAGGCTCACTTCACCAAGTGTTGACAAGGATATGGAGCAACTATCACATATTCCTGTTGGGAGTTTAAAATGGTACTACCACTTTGGAAAACCCTTGGCTGTTTTATAAAGTTAAAGATATTCCTATCCATTAATTCCCCTGCTTGGCATTTACACAAGAGCAATGAAAACATGTCCACACAAAGACTTGTACACAATGTTCAAAACAGCTTTGTTCATAAAAGCCCCTAACTGAAAATAACCAAAAAGATACATTAGCAAGGGAATTATACACACAATACGTGTTCATTAGAATATTTAGAAAACATAAATATGCAAAGTTAAAAAAATCAAAGCCCCTGGTTTCCTAACACTAACCCTGTTAATGTTTATGGTGCAGAGAGCTTTTAGAGTTTCTCCCCATTTTGCCTGCATTTAATGTAGTCCTTAGGCTGGCCTCTAGCCAAGTCTCCCTGTACCCCTCTGAAAATTCCACTGGGGTTCTGAGCCAAACTTCCAGCTTAAAATACAGTGACTGGGTTTGCCTGGGATGTGCCATCCTTCATGAGCTGTGGCAGGGCCTGGGCAGCAGGCCAAGAGTTCTGGGATCGTGGGTCCCTGTCCTCTCTGTCTCTGCCAGCCTTGCGGACTTCCTATAGCCAACCTAGCTGGGCCCGCGGCAGCTGAGTTGCAATCTGAGGACTGGAGTTTGAGAGAATGCGCTTCTTGCTTTGGAGTGCCCTCTCGTGGCGATATCTCAAACTGCAAGCGCAGTTGCTAGCGGGCTGGATAACGCACCCACAGCGCCTGGGTTGGCTGGGCTGGAGCTTAGTTTTCAGGACTGGAGCAGGCTTGTCCTGAACCTCAAACTGAAAGGGCTGTTCAAAATGCAAATACTTATTTACAGTTTCTACACATCAAGCACTGTTGAGACCCAAAGCCGAGTTACTGAAGCCTGCATCATGAGCCTTTCCATGAGAATTGTGTGAAATACCGTAGATGCTGGGTGTAAGGTGACCCACAATATTCCATCATGCCCCATTTTCCCACTTTTGGAATCTATAGAAGATGCCGTCACTGGAAAATTAATCCCAAGCCCCAAAGCCTTATTTACGCAGATTAGAATAGCTTCTGTTCAAGTGTTTGTGATGTCGCCGTGTAAGCCCTCATCGTGATGCTTTAAAAGTCATCGTTAAGTCGTGTTACCTGCTGTCCGGCCCTGGCACAGTGAGGCTACACTCCCACAAATAATGACGAAACTCCCTCCTCCCAGTTCTGCCAGGTGATCCCAAAGTGCATCTGAAACCAGCACAGATTGAGGGAGTCTCACAGTCCTCTGTTACCAAAAAATTGAGAGCCCCCCCCTCCCAGAAAATGAAATACTTTGCAACTGCCCAAGTAGGAAGGGACTCTTTCCCAAGGGATATATTTCTGGGGGGATCCTCCTCTCAGTCTTCACTCAGTTAGGTCCTCCTGCAGTTTGTTTCACATGTTTATTTGTATATCTAGGTTTTCTTTCTTTTTTTTTTTTTTTGACGGAGTCTTGCACTGTCACCTGGGCTGGAATGCAGTGGTACCATCTCAGCTCACTGCAACCTCCGTCTCTCGGGTTCAAGCAATTCTCCTGCCTTAGCCTTCCAAGTAGCTGGGATTACAGGCATGCGTCACCACGCCCGGCTAATTTTTGTATTTTTTTTTTTTAAGTAGAGACGGGGTTTCACTATGTTGGCCAGGCTGGTCTCAAACTCCTAACCTCATGATCTGCCCGCCTCGGCTTCCCAAAGTGCTGGGATTACAGGCGTGAGCCACTGTACCGGCCTGTTCTCTAGGTTTTGAACGCACACATGGGAGCATTTAAAACTACCGTCAGAAAGGACTCCTTTAACTTGATTTCCTCAAGGGATTGTGTGCAGCTAGGAAAGCACGTAGGGCCAAGCTGCTTGTGTTTCTTGAAAACAATAGAAGAGATTTTTCTGGAAAGAACATCCCCAGCCCTGAGTCCAGCTTTTAGGATTAGGGCTCATGGCTCCATCACCGTGGATTTGAAACATCGATTAGCAGAGCCATTAGAGTTCAGCTGCTGGGGGAGGCCAAGGAAGGGGCTTCTGGGCCAGACCAGAGCTTTCGATTCATCTGCAAGACTGTGGGGAAAAGGCTAATTGCAAACCTGTGCTAAGAGCGGGCCACACGTTTTCACATTTAATGCTCACCACAGCCTCATAAAGTTGGTATTTTTAAACCCACAAAATGGAGCACTTACCTCCTTGCAATTATCATACCTCTCTCTGGGTAATTACTTGAATGGAGTGTTGTCGAGCATGATGCAGTCCATTTCCCAGCATCGCAGGGAAATTTTGAAACACAGGTCAAGTGCCCTCACCTTCGAGTTATATCAAGAAGCTTGCTTAATAGAAAAGCCAGCGTAATGAGAATACTGCTCGTTAAATGTGCAGACGATGCCTCTGAGACAGTCTGCAAGATCCCCTCAGCTGGTCCCTTTGCAACTTGGAGGATGGAGCTACTCCAGGGTTCCCCGATCCACTTACTGATCTCAGTCCTGGGTTTACAGGGGATACTCTGCAGCCTGGGGCAGGCCGAAGACCCTCCAGGCCTCCTGGTGCCACTTTGGATATCTGACAACCAAGCAGGGCTCTCCACTTCTCAGCTGCCTTTGGCCCACAGCTGACTTGAGGGTCCATGCCAAGAAGCTTCGGTGACTGAGGAAGGGTTGTGGTGGGGGTGAGCAGGGCTGACGGGGGAAGCGCTGATCTCTCCCTGATCTTCTCCATTGTCTTCTCTGACCCATTCCCTTCACACCACTGGGAAGGGGCTCCCTGCCGCTCAGCCCTTTGCCCTCTGCCCCCTCTCCTCTCCATTCCACATTCTCCTTCTCCTACTGCAGCAGGGTGACACTTCTCCTACTGAGGGAACGGAGGCCCCAGTCACCTCTCAAGGCCACGAAGGACTTTGTGGCTGAGCTGAATTTGAGCTCAGAGCTCCAGGATCCAGACCACACATTCTTCTCCCATACCACATTTCTGTTAGCATATTGCAGTACTTCTCATGCAAATCACGTGGGGTCTTGTTAAAATTCAGATTCGGATCCATTAGGTCTGAGGTGTGGCCTGAGATTCTGCATTGCCAGCAAGCTCTCAAGTAATGCTGACACTGCTGGTCCATGGACCAAACTTTATGTAGCAAGCACGTAGCATTTTCAAAAAAAAAAAAAAAAAAAACCCTCATATATTTTTTATTTGTCTTGATCCTTGCCACAATCCAGCAAGGCTATCAGGATGGGAGCTAATGCCCTGAGTGGAGGGGAGAGGAGACTGAAGTCTAGAAAGTTGCCATGACATATATGCGTTTCCCTGGGTAGCAAGCAGCATCAGGGAAATGGAGCCCCCACTTCAGATTAGGAACCTCTTGCCTGGGGCGTCATGCTGCTCTCCTGCAAAGATGCAAAGGGCCTCCGGCCTGCCAGCATGGCCTTCCGGTGGCTGGAAACCACCCTATGTGTTTAATGTCACCCACATACCTGCCTCTGAGAGCAGCCTTGAAATTGTGGTGACTGTCCTATTATTCTGAGGTCCCATTGTTCCTGCCCTAGTGAGGTGCCCCAGTAAAGCAAAAGACTTTGGAAAAGTTGCTTGTGTCCGTGGGTGGAAAGCACACACATCCCAGAGGGCAAAACTCGCTGTTTTCTTGTGCAGGATCAAGTGTGCTTTGTAGGCTGTCCTTGGCAGTGAAAATGGGCCATATAAATTATACATTGAAATAATAGAGGCTGCTGCAATCTGCCAGAAGGTCTACAAAGTTGGAGATGATGAACTTGTCGGTGAACTGTGGGCTGTGCCAAGGGCACCTGGAGAATTCAAGATAGCAGGGACATTGAGTCAGCAAGGACACGTGCTTTCATCTGTGTTTAAGCTTGCCGGCATTTGACAAAGGACTAACGTGCTCGGGGTTTCGGGTCTTGGGTATGAAAAGAAGAATGAAATGCGGTCCAGTTAATGAGCGACAGCGTTAGCTCTGGTGAATCTGAGAATGTCCAGGGTGGAGGGGTGCAGCTGAGGGTCTGAACACCTGGCTCCTCTGCTGAACAACTAGGGAAGCAGAGGCCTATGGCCAGGAACATTTGGCCAAAGCCACTCGTTTATTATGGGCAGTGTTGGGGCCAGGGTGTGGGCTCTGAATTGCAGTCTCAAGTTCATCACCTGGCTTCACCTCTGAGCCTTCTCCTGGACCGGCTCTTGTCTGACTTTTCTTAAGCAGGTCAGAGGGGCTCTGGATTTAAAACAGATGGCGGCCAGGCGCAGTGGCTCACGCCTGTAATCCCAGCACTTTGGGAGGCCGAGGCGGGTGGATCACGAGGTCAGGAGATTGAGACCACGGTGAAACCCCGTCTCTACTAAAAATACAAAAAATTAGCCAGGCACAGTGGCGGTCGCCTGTAGTCCCAGCTACTTGGGAGGCTGAGGCAGGAGAATGGCGTGAACACGGGAGGCGGAGCTTGCAGTGAGCTGAGATCGCGCCACTGCACTCCAGCCTGGGTGACAGAGCGAGACTCTGTCTCAAAAAAAAAAAAAAAAAGAAAGAAAAACAGATGGCAGCAGGGCAGCACACTGGAGCGCCTTGGAGAGAAAGGCTCATTCAGGGGGTGCACGTGGAAAAGACATCAGAAAAAGACACATTCCTATAGGTTGTCACCCTGCCCAGGGCTGTTTCCTTGGGCCACTATTCGATTTGACCCAAGGAAAGAGCATTCCAATCTGCATTTCAATCTGCCTTGCACTATTTGTCTCCACCTCTCAATAAATGCTTGTCAATCAAATGAGGAAGATGAGCTATGTTCACAGGTCATATTCTCACTTCGGGTTCTCATTTTCTTTGTCGACAAAACTGATTTGATGCTTCTCTCTACAAGTCAGGTCCTGTGCCAGGCATTGGCTATCTTTAAATTGGAATATTCGTTTTCTTATTGTTGAGCTTTACATATTTTAAATATAAATCTTTTGTCAGATGCATGAGTTTCTTTTTTCTTTTTTTTATTTTTAAGATGGAGTCTCACTCTGTTGCCCAGGCTGGAGCACAATGATGTGATCTCGGCTCACTGCAACCTCTGTCTCCCGGGTTCAAGCGATTCTCCCGTCTCAGCCTCCTGAGTAGCTGCGACTACAACATGCACCACCACGCCCAGCTAATTTTTGCATTTTTAGTAGAGACGGGATTTTACCATGTTGGCCAGGCTGGTCTCGAACTCCTGACCTCAGGTGATCCACCCTCCTCAGCCTCCCAAAGTGCTGGGATTACAGGCGTGAGCCACTGTGCCCGGCCAGATGCATATAATTCAAATATTTCTTCCCAGTCTAAAGCTGCCCCAACATCCTCGCCCAGGCTGCAGTGTCACGATAATAACTCTGTGCAGCCTGAAACTCCTGGGCTCAAGCAATCCTCCTGCTTCAGTCTCCCAAGAAGCTGGGACTACAGGTGCACACCAACATATTTTTATTATTTTTTATTTGTAGAGACAGGGTCTCACTATGTTGCCCAAGTTGGTCTCAAACTCCTGGCCTCGAGCTTTCCTTTTGCGTAGGCCTCACAGAGTGGTGGGATTACGGATGTGAGCCACTGTGCCTGGCCCTTAACATTCTCTTAACAGTGATTTTCATGAGCAAAAGTTCTTAATTTTGGTAAAATCCAATTTTTAATTTTATGGATAGTGCTTTTGGTGCCATGTCTGAGAACTCATTGCTAAATTCAAGGTCATGTAGATGTTCTCTGGCCTTTTCTTCCGTTATATAATTGTACATGATAAATTTAGATGGATTTTGTGTTTTGTGCAAGGAATGAGGTTTAGGTTCCCTCTTCTGCCTATGAATGTTTGATTGTATAGTAAGTCCTCAATACTGTTGCTAGGTCTTGGAAACCATGGCTTTAAGTGAAATGGCAAAACAACGTATAATGAAACCAATTTTACCATAAGCTAATGGATATAAAGAAGAATTAAATTCCTATGGCATATTTCTCATCACAAAAACATCACCGAGCTTCTAAATAAAGACCAAAACACTTCTAACATTAAACATGGAAATAAATGTGAGTTACGTGTACAGTTAAGAAAGATTAATAAAAATAAGCAGAATTATTTTAATGCAGGGCAGTGGTTGGCTGGAGCCTATCCCAGCAGCTCAGGATGCTAAGCAGGGACCCACCTTGGACAGGATGCCATTCTGTCGTGGGGTGCACTCACACACAGACACACACACACACACACACACACTGGCGTGGGGACATTATAGACACACCAGTTCACCCAGTGTGCACATCTTTGGGATGTGGGAGGAAACTGGAGTACCTGGAGAAAACCCAGGCAGACATGAGGAGAATGTGCAAACTCTACAGTGGCCCCAGCTGGAAGTCCATTTGAGGATCTGCTGCATGTACACAATTGGGTGTAAAGACTATGTTTTTTCCATTTAATTGCTTTTGCAACTTTGTAAAAAACTAATAAGCCTTATCTGTGTGGGTCTATTTCTGTATCTCCATTCTTTTCCATAGATCTGTGTGTCTATCTCTTTGCTAATGCCACACTGACTTCATTACTATAGCTTTACAGTAAGTCTTAAAATTACAGTGTTTGATTCCTACAACTCTATTTTTTTAAAATTTTATTAGCTCTTCTCATTCCTTTGCCCTTCCATACACACTTTATAAATAGTTTGTCTATATCTCAGAAAGAATCCTGCTAGGACTTTGATTGGTACTATATTAAATCTATGAATTTATTTAGAGAGTATTGGAGTCTTTACTCTGTTGAGTCTTCTAATCTATGAAAATGGTATGTCCCTGTACTTATTTAAATCTTCGATTTCCTTAATCAGCATTTTGTGGTTTTCAGCTTAGAGATCTGTTACTTTTTTTTTTAGATTTATACCTAAGTATTTCAGTTTTTGAAGCTATTGTGACTACTATTATTTTAAGTTTTTGTTTCCATCTGTATATTGCTAATGTATAGAAATACAATGTATTTTTATGTATTGACCTTGTATGCTATGACCTTGTAAAACTTATTTATTAGTTTGGGGAGTGTTGGTTGGTTTTTTGTTTTTTTGACTTTCTACATAGATAAAAATACTTCATATTTTTCACATGTAATATTTGCCTCATAGCTATCTCTATCAGGGGACCCTAAATAACAGTACCTTAAAAAAACATAGTAGTCTATTCTTACTTGGCTCTTCTCTGTGCCATTTTGGGGGACACATACACCTTCTATCCCCAGCGTATTGCCTCCACCTGCAGGTTTGAGTTGGCTCTGCACTTATGCCTGCATTCCACTGGCGACAGGAAGAAGAGGGTAGGCCCTGGAAATTCTGCTCACATCTAACTACAAAGGATGCGGGGAAATTGGGTCTTTATTCTGGACAGCCATTGTCTCTAGCCTCCTCCTTAAAATAGGAAGGGGCAACAACTACCAGTCTGCACCACAACAATGAAGTTAAATAAATGTCTCATTTCTTTATTTTTAAAATCAAATTAGATATGGCTTAGAGCTGCCATTGTCAAGGTTTGGGACTGGCTGTCAGTCATCATAGGACTTTCTCCAACGCACCCCACTCTGTCCAGGACAACATGGGGACCAACTGGTCTCATGCACTCTGTTGCTCAGTGTCACTAACAAGGGTGGATCCTTCATTCTCTGAGGAGCACTGTGGCTCTGAGGAGGGACTGAAGATGCCCCTCCCTGAAGGCTCAGCCACAGGGGCATATGCTTCTTCTGTGAAGTCTGTTGCCTTCATAGTGTGGCCTCCACGGCATCTTCCCAGCTACCCCTCATCCAGGGCCCAGGGCTTTAGGGCACTACATGGCAATAGGGCTAATTTCTCACCCTTGAAGAACACTCCAAATCTCGGTAAAATTGACACTTAATAATAATCTTAAAAATACATATTTATGGCCGGGTGCAGTGGCTCACGCCTGTAATCCCAGCACTTTGGGAGGCCGAGGTGGGTGGATCACGAGGTCAGAAGTTCGAGACCAGCATGACCAACATGGTGAAACCCTGTCTCTACCAAAAATACAAAAATTAGCCGGGCATGGTGGCAGTCACCTGTAATCCCAGCTACTCAGAAGGTTGAGGCAGGAGAATCGCTTGAACCCGGGAGGCGGAGGTTGTAGTGAGCCCAGACTGTGCCACTGCACTCCAGCCTGGGCGATAGACAGAGACTCTGTCTCAAAAAAAAAAAAAAAAAAAAAAAAAAAAAAAAAATATATATATATATATATATATATATATATATATATATATATATATATATATATTTAAAATAGTCTTATAAAAAATATATCCAGAGGAGCCTCAAGGAACCTGAACAACCTATGACATTTGACAAAAAAAGCCCGAAACATGGTTAGGTTTAATATTCAGAAAGTAGGTGTCTCAATTAGGGTCTTGGCAAGAAACAGATGGCAGAGTCAATCTGGGACATTTCAGGAGAATTTAATGAAGGGAACATTTACACAGGCAAGGACAGGTGTGGGGGAGCCAAAAAAGCAGTGAATACTTTGGGGCTGGCAACCTCGGGGAGCCTGGGGGAGTGAGGGGGTGGGGCTGGTCACATAAGGATTTGGAGAGGGAGAGAGCTGTGAGGAGGGGCTTCAGGCCCTCAGCAGCCCACAGAGAAGGCACTGGAAAAACACAATACCCTGACAGCATGCTCCTGCCTCCTCCTGTCCCCTCTCAGTGTTCCTCCTTCCTTCTTAGCTGAAGCCAACAGGAAGTCAGAGGTCAGGTGGCCTCCTGATGCAATCCCTGGAAGACAACCCCTGTGGACAGAGATGGCACAGAGTGGGGTTGGGAGGGACCTGTGGAGGCATCCAACACAGTGGGCGAGGGAGGACAAGGATAGGGGTTAATAATGGCCAACATGTTCACAGGGCTGGCTCTGTGACAGGAATTATTCTAAGGCCCTTTCATAGGATAACTCATCTAATTCTCTCAGGGCCACAAGCAAAGGACACATAGAGTGAGGCATTCCAGGGAGGCATTCCAGGGAACCTTTTTTTTATGAGCTAGGGTCTCACTGTCACCCAGGCTAAAGTGCGGTGGTACAATCACAGTTCACTACAGCCTCAATCTCCTGGGCTCAAGTGATCCTCTCACCTCAGTCTCCTGAGTCGCTGGGACTACAGGTGCATACCACCATGCCTGGTTATTTTCCCTTTCTCTGTCTCTCTCTCTCTCTCTCTCTATATATATGTATATATAATTTATATATAATCTTAAAAACATAGTGAGACCCTGTCTTTAAATATATATATTTAGATATATATATCTAAATATATATATTTAGATATATATATCTAAATATATATTTAGATATACATATCTAAATATATATTTAGATATATATATCTAAATATATATATTTTAATATATAATACATATATATTTATATATTTTATATGATAATATATATAATATATAATATACATATTTAATATATAATATATATATTTTAATATATAATAAAATATATAAATATATATATTTAAAAACATAGTGAGACCCTGTCTTTAAATATATATGTTTAAAATAAATATGTAAACATACATATTTAAAGACAGGGTCTCATCATGTTGCCCAGGCTGGTCTTGAACTCCTGGGCTCAAGTGATCCTCCCCAAGTGCTGACATTACAGGTGTGATCCGCCACGCCTGGCCCAGAGAACTTCTGACTGAAAAGATGAGGAAGGGCTTCCTGAGGGGAGGTGGTTTTGAGCTGGGCCCCATGGAGGGAGTGGCTTGAAGAGTAAACACTTGAAAGGCCCAGCAAACAATATCCCTGGATTAAAATGACCATTCATCTCATGAACCAACAATGGCGAGTACCATTTTGTGTGTGCTAGAAGGGAGCAACTGTGTGAGGTAGGTAGGAGGGGTTTGCATGTTCAGGCAGGATTGGGGTAAACAGGAAGTCAGTGCCATTCTGCAACTGCTGCAGCCAGCTGTCTGTCTGTAATTATGACCTTACGGAAGTCCGGCCCAGCAGAAGGAGGACTTACTGCTCATTAACATCAAGGGTGGCCATCACTATTAAGCTCCCTGGGTGCCACTGCATTTATGCCCATTACCTCTAATAATCACCGGAATTTTGCAAGGTAGGCATTATTGTCTCTTTTTTATAGATGAGGAAACTGAGGCCCAGAGAGATTAAGTAACTTGTCCAAGGTCACACAGCTAATAGTTGGCAAAGCTGGGACTCAATTCCAAACGCAGTGAGCTTCCTATTATACTATATTCCCCTGGACATTTAAAAAGGAGACATAAAACACAGAAAAGTGTAGAAGACCAGAATAGACCACGTGCAGAAAGATGGGTGATATGGTTTGGCTGTCTCCACCTAAATCTCATCTTGAGTTGTAATCCCCATAATCCCCCTGTGTTGAGGGAAGGACCTGGTGGGAGGTGATTGGATCATGGAGGTGGTTTCCCCCATGCTGTTCTCATGATAGCAAGTGAGTTCTCATGAGAGCTGGTGGTTTTGTTTTTTTTTTTTTTAATTATGCTTTAAGTTCTGGGATACGTGTGCAGAACGTGCAGGTTTGTTACATAGGTATACATGTGCCATGGTGGTTTGCTGCACCCATCAACCTGCCATCTACATTAGGTATTTCTCCTAATGCTATCCCTCCCTTAGCCCCCCACCCTGCAACAGGCTCTGGTGTGTGATGTTCCCCTCCCTGTGTCCATGTGTTCTCATTGTTCAACTCCCACTTATGAGTGAGAACATGTGGTGTTTGGTTTCCTGTTCCTGTATTAGTTTGCTGAGAATGATGGTTTCCAGCTTCATCCATGTCCCTGCAAAGGACGTGAACTTATCATTTTTATGGTTGCATACTATTCCATGTTGTATATGTGCCACATTTTCTTAATCCAGTCTATCATTGATGGGCATTTGGGTTGGTTCCAAGTCTTTGCTATTATGATTAGTGCTGCAATGAACATATGTGTGCATGTGTCTTTATAGTAGAATGATTTATAATCCTTTGGGTATATACCCAGTAATGAGATTGCTGGGTCAAATGGTATTTCTGGTTCTAGATCCTTGAGGAATTGCCACACTATCTTCCACAGTGGTTGAACTAATTTACACTCCCACCAACAGTGTAAAAGCATTCCTATTTCTCCACATCCTCTCCAGCATCTGTTGTTTCCTGACTTTTTAATGATTGCCATTCTAACTGGCATGAGGTGGTATCTCATTGTGGTTTTGATTTGCATTTCTCTAACCACCAGTGATGATGATCTTTTCTTCATAGGTTTTTTGGCCACATAAATGTCTTCTTTCGAGAAGTGTCTGTTCATATCCTTTGCCCACTTTTTGATGGGGTTGTTTTTTTCTTGTAAATTTGTTTAAGTTCCTTGTAGATTCTGGATATTAGCCCTTTGTCAGATGGATAGATTGCAAAAATTTTCTCCTATTCTGTAGGATGCCCTGTTCACTCTGATGATAGTTTCTTTTGCTGTACAGAAGCTCTTTAGTTTAATTAGATCCAATTTGTCTATTTTGGCTTTTGTGGTCATTGCTTTTGGTGTTTTAATATGAAGTCTTTGCCCATGCCTATGTCCTGAATGGTATTGCCTAGGTTTTCTTCTAGGGTTTTTATGGTTTTAGGTCTTACGTTTAAGTCTTTAGTCCATCTTGAGTTAATATTTGTATAAGGTGTAAGGAAGGGATCCAGTTTCAGTTTTCTGCATATGGCTAGTCAGTTTTCCCAACACTATTTATTAAATAGGGAATCCTTTCCCCATTGTTTTTGTCAGGATTGTCAAAAATCAGATGGCTGTAGATGTGTGACGTTATTTCTGAGGCCTCTGTTCTGTTCCATTGGTCTATATATCTGTTTTGGTACCAGTACCATGCTGATTTGGTTACTGTAGCCTTGTAGCATAGTTTGAATTCAGGTAGCATGATGCCTCCAGCTTTGTTCTTTTTGCTTAGGATTGTCTTGGCTATACGGGCTCTTTTTTAGTTCCATATGAAATTTAAAGTAGTTTTTTTCTAATTCTGTGAAGAAAGTCAATGGTAGCTTGATGGGGATAACATTGAATCTATAAATTACTTTGGGCAATATGACCATTTTCACAATATTGATTCTTCCTATCCATGAGCATGGAATGTTTTTCCATTTGTTTGTGTCCTCTCTTATTTCCTTGAGCAGTGGTTTTTAGTTCTCCTTGAAGAGGTCTTTCACATCCCTTGTAAGGTGTGTTCCTAGGTATTTAATTCTGTTTGTAGCAATTGTGAATGGGAGTTCACTCATGATTTGGCGCTCTGTTTGTCTATTATTGGTGTATAGGAGTACTTGTGATTTTTCACAATGATTTTGTCTTCTGAGACTTTGCTGAAGTTGCTTATCAGCTTAAGGAGATTTTGTGCTGAGATGATGGGGTTTTCTAAACATACAATCATGTCATCTGCAAACAGAGACAATTTGACTTCCTCTCTTCCTATTTCAATACCTTTATTTCTTTCTCTTTCCTGATTGCCCTGGCCAGAACTTCCAATACTATGTTGAATAGGTGTGGTGAGAGAGGGCATCCTTGTCTTGTGCTGGTTTTCAAAGGGAATGCTTCCAGCTTTTGCCCATTCAGCATGATACTGGCTGTGGATTTGTCATTAATAGCTCTTATTCTTTTGAGATATGTTCCATCAATACCTAGTTTATTGAGAGTTTTTTTTTTTCTGCATCTATTGAGACAATCATGTGGTTTTGTCATTGGTTCTGTTTATGTGGTGGATTATGTTTATTGCTTTGTGTATGTTGAACCAGCCTTGCATCCCAGGGATGAAGTGGACTTGATCCTGGTAGATAAGCTTTTTGATGTGCTGCTGGATTTGGTTTGCCAGTATTTTATTGAGGATTTTCGCATTGATGTTCATCAGAGATATCGGCCTGAAATTTTCTTTTTTCGTTGTGTCTCTGCCAGGTTTTGGTATCAGGGTGATGCTGGCCTCATAAAATGAGTTAGGGAGGAGTCCCTCTTTTTTATTGTTTGGAATAGTTTCAGAAGGATTGGTATCAGCTCCTCTTTGTACCTCTGGTAGAATTTGGCTGTGAATCTGTCTGGTCCTGGGCTTTTTTTTGGTTGGTAGGCTATTAATTACTGCCTCAATTTCAGAACTTGTTATTGGTCTATTCAGGGATTCAACTACTTCCTGGTTTAGTCTTGGGAGGGTGTATGTGTCCAGGAATTTATCTATTTCTTCTAGATTTTCTAGTTTATTTGTGTAGAGATGTTTATAGTATTCTGTGATGGTAGTTTGTATTTCTGTGGGATCAATGGTTATATCCACTTTATCATTTTTTATTGTGTCTATTTGATTCTCTCTCTTTTCTTCTTTATTATTCTGGCTAGCAGTCTATTTTGTTAATCTTTTCAAAAAACCAGCTTCCAGATTCATTGATTTTTTGAAGGGTTTTTCGTGTCTCTATCTCCTTTAGTTCTGCTCTAATCTCACTTATTTTTTGTCTTCCGCTAGCTTTTGGATTTGTTTGCTCTTGCTTCTCTACTTCTTTTAATTGCGATATTAGGGTTTTGATTTTAGATCTTTTCTGCTTTCTTCTGTGGGCATTTAGTGCTATAAATTTCCTTCTAAACACTGCTTTAGCTGTGTCCCAGAGATTCTGGTACATTGTGTCTTTATTCTCATTGGTTTCAAAGAACTTAATTATTTCTGCCTTAATTTCAATATGTACCCAGTAGTCATTCAAGAGCAGGTTGTTCAGTTTCCATGTAGTTGTGAGGTTTTGAGTGCATTTCCTAATCCTGACTTCTAATGTGATTGCACTGTGGTCTGAGAGACTGTTTGTTACAATTTCCATTCTTTTGCATTTGCTGAGGAGTGTTTTACTTCCAATGATGTGGTCAATTTTAGAATAAGTGTGATGTGGTGCCGAGAAGAATGTATATTCTGTTGATTTGGGGTAGAGAGTTCTGTAGATGCCTATTAGGTCCGCTTGGCCCATAGCTGAGTTCAAGTCCTGAATATCCTTGTTAACTTTCTGTCCGTTGATCTTCTAATATTGACAGTGGGGGTGTTAAAGTCTCCCACTGTTATTGTGTGGGAACTTAAGTCTCTTTGTAGGTCTCAAAGAACTTGCTTTATGAATCTGGGTGCTCCTGTTTTGGGTGCATATATATATTTAGGATAGTTAGCACTTCTTGTTGCATTCATCCCTTTACCATCATGTAATGCCCTTCTTTTCTTTTTTGATCTTTGCTGGTTTAAAGTCTGTTTTATCAGAGACTAGGATTGCAACCCCTGCTTTTTTTTTTTTTGCTTTCCATTTGCTTGGTAAAGATTCCTCCATCCCTTTATTTTGAGCCTATGTGTGTCTTTGCACGTGAGATGGGTCTCCTGAATACAGCACACCAATGGGTCTTGACTCTTTATCCAATTTGCCAGTCTGTGTCTTTTAATTGGGGCATTTAGCCCATTTAAATTTAAGGTTAATATGGTTATGTGTGAATTTGATCCTGCCATTATGATGCTAGCTGGTTAATTTGCCTGTTAGTTGATGCAGTTTCTTCATAGTGTCAATGGTCTTTACAATTTGCTGTGTTTTTGCAGGGGCTGGTACCGGTTTTTCCTTTCCATATTTAGTGCTTCTTTCAGGAGCTCTCGTAAGGCAGGCCTGATGGTGACAAAATCTCAGCATTTGCTTGTCTGTAAAGGATTTTATTTCTTCTTCGCTTATGAAGGTTATTTTGTCTGGATATGAAATTCTGGGTTGAAAATTCTTTTCTTTAAGAATGTTGAATATTGGCCCCCACTCTCTTCTTGCATGTAGGGTTTCTGCCAAGAGATCTGCTGTTAGTCTGATGGGCTTCCCTTTGTCTCTGACTGCCCTTTCTTTGTCTCTGACTGCTTCCCTTTCTCTCTGACTGCCTTTAACAGTTTTTCCTTCATTTCAACCTTGGTGAATCTGATGATTATGTGTCTTGGGGTTGCTCTTCTCAAAGAATATCTTTGTGGTGTTCTCTATATTTCCTGAATTTGAATGTTGGCCTGACTTGCTAGGTTTTGGAAGTTCTCCTGGGTAATATTCTGAAGAGTGTTTTCCAGCTTGGTTCCATTCTCCCCATCACTTTCAGGTACACCAAACAAACATAGGTTTGGTCTTTTCGCATAGTCCCATATTTCTTGGAGGCTTTGTTTGTTCCTTTTCATTCTTTTTTCTCTAACCTACTGTTCACTCTTTATTTCATTAAGTTGATCTTCAATCCCTGATATCCTTTCTTCCGCTTGATTGATTCAGCTCCCTCAGGGTGGGTTCTGCTGAGCTAGACCACTTGGTTCCCTGGCTTCAGCCTCCTTTTCAGGGGAGTGAACGGTTCTGTCTCGCTGGCATTCCAGGCACCACTGTGGTATGAAAAAAAACTCCTGCAGCTAGATCGGTGTCTGCCCAAATGGCTGCCCACTTTTGTGCTTGAAACCCAGGGCCCTGGTGGTGTGGGCACCCGAGGGAATCTCCTGGTCTGTGGGTTGCAAAGACCGTGGGAAAAGCATAGTATCTGGGCTGGAGTGCACCATTCCTCAAGGCACAGTCCCTCAGAGCTTCCCTTGGCTAGGGGAGGGAGTTCCCTGACTCCTTGTGCTTCCCGGGTGAAGCAATGCCCCAACCTGCTTCAGCTCACCCTCCGTGGGCTGCATCCACTGTCTAACCAGTCCCAATAAGATGAGCCAGGTACCTCAGTTGGAAATGCAGAAATCACCTGCCTTTTGCATCGATCTCACTGGGAGCTGCAGACCAGAGCAGTTCCCATTCCTTTTTTTTTTTTTGAGACAGAGTCTCACTGTGTCACCCAGGCTGGTGTGCAGTGGCATGATCTCAGCTCACTGCAACCTGTTCCTCCCAGGTTCAAGTGATTCTCTGGCCTCAGGTTCCTGAGTAGCCAGGATTACAGGTGCCTGCCACCACACCTGGCTAACTTTTGTATTTTTAGTAGAGATGGGGCTTTGTCATGTTGGCCAGGCTGGTCTTGAACTCCTGACCTCAGGTGATCCACCCACCTTGGCTTCCCAATGTGCTGGGATTACAGGGGTGAGCTACTGTACCTGGCCTCTGATGGTTTTATAAGGCAGTTTTCCCTGCTTTTGCTAACTCTCTCCTGCTCTTGCTAACTCTCTCCTACTGCCATGTGAAGAAGGTCTTTGCTTTCCCTTTGCCTTCTGCCATGATTGTAAGTTTCCTGAGGCCTCCTCAGCCATGCAGAACTGTGAGTCAATTAAACCTCTTTTCTTTATAAATTACCCAGTCTCAGCAGTTCTTTATAGCAGTATGAAAACAGACTTATACAATGGGGGACCCAGGATGGCGGAGGAGAGGAGGGGTAGGATTATCCAAGATAGTTCTAGGAGGAAAGCAGGTGCACATTGTACTTTGAAGGACAAGGTTAATTCCTGTTAGTGGCTAGTGAGAAAAGAGCATGGGCAGTGGGGGAATAGTTTCAGCAAATGTATGCAGGCAGGAGTGAACATAGTTTATAGCACAAGGCAGAGGAAACTATCCTGGTTAGAGCAGGTGGGCTACTTTGGGGAGGGACTTTGCAATAAAACCTCTGGGGGCAAGACTTTGGACTGGCTTCAGTAGGACTTAGGCATCAGCTCAAGTTCTTGAGCAGGAAAGTGAGATGATGAATGTGGTGACTAAGGAAGATTAAAATGCAAGGTACACAGTTCAGTGCCACGGACAGGACTTGAACAATGTACATGACACAGCTATATAGATTAGGTCTTCATAACAAGGGGCTCTCCAACACAGTCATTGTCCAAGTCTCTCCTTTGGCACTAGGTATTAAAACAAAAGGCTGTCATTCAAAATGTAGCTAACACAAAAGGTAGATTTTTTTTTTTTCCCTTTTCTGGCTTAGTGAGTTTAACTGACACTGTATTACTTTTCTGGAAAACTACTGCCCACAAATAAAACCTATGAGTGTTTGTGTGTCCACCACAAAGCTTGTGTAAGGTGCTATGCTATTTTGTCAGTGTTGATGGTGGGTCCCTCTAACAGAGCTCTGCCATCTGCTCCTGAATCCCTCAGCAGGTGCTAGAAAGGTCTGAGGAGCCTCAGGGCATGAATGTCTAGAATTGGCCTGGGTGCCGGGTTCCATGTAGACCTGTAGTAGATGAACTCCTCTTCAGAGACAAGCCGAGAGCGTGGAAGCCGGGTTTCACTTGTTTTTTTATAAAATTGGCAAATCAAACTTTGACTGGTGCAGTGGCTCACGCCAGTAATCCCAGCACTTTAAGAGGCCAAGGCGGGTGGATCACTTGAGGTGAGGAGTTGGAGACCAACCTGGCCAACATCACGAAACCCCATCTCTACTAAAAATACAAAAATTAGCTGGGCATGGTTGTGCACACCTATAGTCCCAGCTACTCAGGGGGCTGAGACAGGAGAATTGCTTGAATTCAGGAAGTGGAGGTTGCAGTGAGCTTAGATGGCACTACTGCCCTCCAGCCTGCGTGACAGAGTGAGACTCTGTCTCAAAAAAAAAAAAAGAAAAGAAAAAACCTTAAACACACGTAAGTGAACTTACCCCCAGGGCTCAATGAATAAGGGAGTGGGAGAAAGGTGAATCCAGCTGCTCAGGTGCTAAGTGGTCATCTGGGATGGCAGAATAGGTGACAGTGCAAACCAGTGGTTCCTCCATGTCCACCCTGCGAAAGGCTCTGTACCAGGTACGGGAAGATGCAAAGCTGGCTGGGCCCAAGTCCCTGCTCTCAAGTGGGGAAGCCACAGCTACAGCTCCTCAGATGTCACCTCTTCTAGGACCCTTCTATCCCATTCAGGTGCCTCACTGGGACCCCACAGGCTCACCTGTTGATACTGAGCACGCTGCTTGCTGCACTGGATGGTCATTTGCTGACTTCTGTCTTCCTATGCTCCTTCTATTGCATCACTGCTGGGACCTATGTTTTACACAATTGACTGTCCGGTGAAATAGGGGAAGTGAATTTAAATCTAGGTGAGAGGGCGAATGAAAAATTTTGAGGTGCACTTGAAAAAAGCCAAACTCATACAAATGGAGAGTAGAAGAATGGTTACCAGGGGTCAAGGGGTTGGAGAAATAGGGAAATGTTAGTCAAAGCGTACAAACTTGTAGTTAGTTCCAAGATGAGTAAGTTCTGGAGACTTAATATACAGCACAGTGACTATAGTTCATGTATACCTGAAATTTGCTAAGGGAGTTGATATGGTTTGGCTGTGTTCCCACCCAAATCTCATATTGAATTGTTGTTCCCATAATCCCCACATGTCATGGGAGGGACCCAGTGGGAGGTAATTGAATCATCAGGGTGGTTACCTCCATGCTTTTCTCTTGATAGTGAGTGAGTTCTCATGAGATCTGATGGTTTTATAAGGGGCTTTTCCCCACCTTCACTCTGCAGTTATCCTTGCTGCTGCCATGTGAAGAAAGATGTATTTGCTTCCTCTTTTGCCATGATTGTAAGTTTCCTGAGGCCTCCCCAGCCTGCAGGACTGTGAGTCAATTAAACCTCTCTCTTTTATAAATTACCCAGTCTTGGGCATGTCCTTACAGCAGCATGAGAATAGACTAATACAGTCAATTTGTACCAGGAGTGGGGTCCTACTATAAAGGTACTTGAAAATGTGGGAGCGACTTTGGAACTGCACAACACGCAGAGGTTGGAACAGTCTGGAGGGCTCAGAATAAGATAGGAAAATGTGGGAGAGTTTGGAACTTCCTAGAGACTTGTTGAATGGCTTCGACCAAAATGTTGATAGTGATATGGACAATAATGTCCAGGCTGAGGTGGTCTCAGATGGAGATAGGGAACTTGTTGGAACTGGAATAAAGGTCACTCTTGCTATGCAAAAAGACTGGTGGCATTTTGCCCCTACCCCAGAGATTTGTGGAACTTTGAACTTGACAGAGATGATTTAGACTATCTGGTGCAAGAAATTTCTACATGGCAAAGCATTCAAGAAGAAGCAGAGCATAAAAGTTTGGAAAATTTGCAGCCTGACAATGTGGTAGAAAAGAAAAACCCATTTTCTGGGGAGAAATTCAAGCCTGCTACAGAAATTTGCAAAAGTAATGAGGAATCCAACGTTAATCACCAAGACAATGGGGAAAATGTCTCCAGGGCATGTCAGAGACCTTCATGGAAGCCCATCTCATCACAAGTCTGGAGGCCTAGAAGGGAAAGGTGCTTTCATGGACCAGGCCCAGGGCCCCGCTTCTCTGTGCAGCCTCAGGACATGGTGCCCTGCATCACAGCTGCTTCGGCTCCAGCCATGGCTAAAAGCGGCCAAGGTACAGCTCCAGCCATTGCTTCAGAGGGTGCAAGCCTTAAGCCTAGGCAGCCTTCACATGGTGTTGGTTCTGGGGGGCACAGAAGACAAGAATTGAGGTTTGGGAACCTCTGCCTAGATTTCCGAGGATGTATGGAAATGCCTGAATGTCCAGGCAGAAGTTTGCTGCAGGGACAGAGCCCTCATGGAGAACCTCTGCTAGGGCAGTGTGGAAGGGAAATATGAGATTGGAGGCCCCACAGAAAGTCCCCACTGGGACACTGCCTAGTGGAGCTGTGAGAAGAGGGCCACTGTACTCCAGACCCCAGAATGGTAGATCCACTGACAGCTTGCACCATGTGCCTTGAAAAGCCACAGGCACTCAATGCCAACCTGTGAAAGCAGCTTGGAGTGGGGGGTGCACCCTGCAAAGCCACAGGGGCAGAGCTGCCTAAGGCTGTGGAAGCCCACCTATTGCATCAGTGTAACCTGGAGGTGAGACATGGAGTCAAAAGAAATATTTTCAAACTTTAAGGTTTAATGACTGTCCTATTAAATTACAGACCTGGGTGGAGCCTGTGGTCCTTTTGTTTTGGCCGATTTCTCCCATTTGGAATGGCTGTATTTACCTAATGCCTTTACCCCCATTGTATCTAGGAAGTAACTAACTTGCTTTTGATTTTACAGGCTCATAGGAGGAAGGGACTTTCCTTGTCTCAGATGAAACTTTGGACTTGGACTTTTGAGTTAATGCTGGAATGAGTTAAGACTGGGGGACTGTTGGGAAGGCATGATTGTGTTTAGAAATGTGAGAACATGAGATTTGGGAGGGGCTGGGGTGGAATGACAATGGTTTGGCTGTGTCACCACCCAAATCTCAACCTGTAGTTCTCATAATCCCCATATGTTGTGTGAGGAGCCCGGTGAAAGGTAATTGAATCATGGGGCTGGTTACCTCCATGCTGTTCTCATTATAGTGCATTCTCATGAGATCTTATAAGGGGCTTTTCCCCACTCCCCTTTGCTCTGCACTTCTCCATGCTGCTACCATATAGGAATAGATCTTATAGATACCTTAATTAGCTTGATTGTGTAATCATTTCACAATGTATATATATTTATCAAAAATCACATGGTCCATACAATTTTTATTTGTCAGTTATATCTCAATAAAGCTGGAGGAAAATAATTTGGAGTTACCTTGGGACCATTTGCTTTCCTAAGAGAAGTGATTCACAAAACATTCTCCAGCAGCTCAGAAGGAAGCCACCTAGAGTGTTTCTGGACTCCAGGGTGGTTGTGGGACTCTGGGAAACTACAGCCACCAACAGGTGCATGGATGCCCAGCTGTCTGGACCAGATGGACAGTGGGTCAGAACTACTAGGAGGAAACGCCAATCACTTCTTACCCTCTCACTCCTCAGGGAGGAGAATGCCACCATAATCCCAATGGCCTTGGTCCTCCTTGGGCTGGGAGTGGGGAGTGGCTTAGGATGATGGTGACGGCCACTGTGTAAATATTGCCCCTCACTCTACTGGTCAGTGTACATTATGGCACCAAGTCTTAGGTTCTCATACTTGACCAGGTGACAACACGGTATTTGACAAGGAAAAAGACAAAAGATGATAGACTGCCACCTGGTTTAAGTGTGGTCATTGGTGGGCTTCTGTGTATTGTCACACGAAAAATCATATTTACCTCCTTCCTCCATATGCTCTCAGTTCTTCCTTGCCCTCTCTGTTCTTTCACCTTATTCTAGAAGACACTTTTAGTTGGCTGGACAATAATAGACTAACTGTATGGGTGATGAAAAATGAAATCTCACATTCCATTCTCTAATGTTAAGTTCACTCTATTATGTTGGCATAATGAGTTGACACAAGAAACAGAGTGCTCACACACTCATACCAGGCAGTAGTGGTTACTTAGCAACAAACTGGAAACTGTGTTAAGTAGGTCTTGTTTGTGTCCAGGTTCATGTGCTATAAAGAGCTGGAGTCACTGTTGAATGTGGATGGACATTTTGTGCATGCATTGAGTTCTCCAGGTTCTATTGCAATGTAGTTACCTAACAAAGAGTTTGAAAGGCTGTAGTATTCCTGAAACTGTTTCATGGTTCTAGAGCTAATTTTAAGAGGAACTAATCTTATCTGCTTATACTTGTCATTAATATACTCTTTGAGTTAGAACAATTTTCCTGGAGTAGCATAGAATAGCTATTCTTAAGATCTGTCTTAGTTTCTAAATTCATCAATCCCTCCTATTTTCTGTTGCTTCAGTGATCTTAGTGAACATGCTTTATTTCCATTTTACCTCCTGCAGTAGAGGCTCAGAGAGGAGAAGAACAGGTCCAAGGTCACATAGCTAGTGAGGGGCAGGACTAGGATTAAGCCTGAAATCCGCCCACTCTGTTATGTCTATGGTATTTGTAGGAGGTTTCTGGTTTGAGACTTAAACCATTAGAGTGTGTCTCCTAAAAGATGGCAGCAAGGGTGTTCTTGGGTGTCTGTGATGTATGTTATCACTCTCCCAAACTTCAGCATCAAATGATCACTGTTCTGGCAGCCTTTCTCTCTGGATCAAGATGTAGGAGGGAATAAAGCCAGACTAGTCTCCACTGTATACCCTGCCTGCTGTGTCACTGGTGTCTTATTAGTATGTGCTGAATGAATGAATGAATGAATGGTTCTAATCCCATTCACTGCCAAGGTTTAAGCTTGCTATGAAAACTGAAGCAGAACATATGGTTTCTGTTACCCAATACTCAGGAGATTCTTTTTCTGCAAATGACACTACTTTTGCATGTTACTAGAGAATTATAAGTTCTCATTGTTCAAATTATTGTTCTCAATAATTATTGTGGTGACACAGGGAGAGAAACAGAGCTGCCCCCTCTTATGAAACTGAGCCAGTGTGAGTCAGGAAGGAGCATCAGCAGGTATTGTGGTGAAACAGGTGGCAGCGGACTGCCAATAGTTCTGTTTGCCAAGACAAACGCTATCCTAGGGCATGGCTTTAACGATCTCTGCATAGTCTTGCTGAGAAATTGTGTAGAAGCATTTGTAAATTGGTTCACTCCGTTTCATCCTGAATGTGAGCCGTTCTGACATAGGCTGACTTCTGAGGCATTTTGAGTTTTTGGGGCCATGGCATCTATTTATAAGCTGGGTCTCCAAATATAAAGGAACAGAAGCCCTGCGTCGCCTCTCTCTCCAAGCCACATCCTGGGGCAGCGCCCTCCTCGTGTGCATCCTGTCTCTCCAGTTGTACCCAGATGTGAGGTTAGAGAAATCTGTGCTAGTCGACCATCATTCACTCTCTAATCATCTATTCATTAAATATTTCTTCTTTTCAAAAATCTCTCTCATAATAAATAGTCATCAACTTCTTGCCAAGTGCCAGACACTAATGGGAGAAGTAAAAATGAGAAAGTCATTTTTCACAGTGAAGAAGCCCCACTCATGGGACACAGTGTCTTTGTCTCTGGGGCCAATTGTCTTGAAGATTTACTGGCAAAAGAGGGGCCTTTACCACTCAGCAATGCAAACAACTTAATATTGAATATTAGACATCACCATCCTTAAGTATTTTTTTTTTTTTTTTGAGACAGAGTCTTGCTCTGTCACCCAGGCTAGAGTGCCGTGGCACAATCTCAGCTCACTGCAAACTCTGCCTCCTGGGTTTAAGAGATTCTCCAGCCTCAGCTTCCTGAATCGCTAGGACTACAGGCATGCATCACCATGCCTCGCTAATTTATTTTTATTTTCATTTGTGATATCTAAAAATATTTATTCATTTTTAAAAAAATTTCCCCCATAGGTTATGGGGGTACAGGTGGTGTTTGGTTACATAAGTTCTTTAGTGGTGATTTGTGAGAGTTTGGTGCACCCATCACCTGAGTGGCACTGCACCTTTTTTGTCATCTTTTATCCCTTGCACTCCTCCCCACAAGTTCCCAAAGTCCATTGTATCATTCTTATGCCTTTGAGTCCTCATAGCTTAGCTCCCACATATCAGTGAGAACATACGATGTTTGGTTTTCCATCCCTGAGTCACTTCACTTAGAATAACAGTCTCCAATCTCATCCAGGTTGCTGCGAATGCCATTAATGCACTCCTTTTTATGGCTGAGTAGTATTCCATTGTATTTATATATACTACAGTTTCTTTATCCACTCATCAATTGATGGGGGTTGGTTCCACGATTTTGCAATTGCTGCTATAAACATGAGTGTGCAAGTATCTTTTTCATATAGTGACTTCTCTTCCTCTGGGTAGATACCCAGTAGTGGGATTGCTGGATCAAATGGTAGCTCCACTTTTAGTTCTTTAAGGAATCTCCACACTGTTTTCCATGGTGGCTGTACTAGTTTCATTCTCACCAGCAGTGCAGAAGTGTTCGCTGCTCACTGCATCCATGCCAACATCTACTGTTTTTTGATTTTGTGATTATGGCCATTCTTGCAGGAGTAAGGTGATATCACATTGTGATTTTGATTTGCATTTCCCTGATCATTAGTGATGTTGAGCATTTTTTCATATGTTTCTTGGCCATTTGTAAATCTTCTTTTGGGAATTGTCTATTCATGTCCTTAGCCCACTTTTTAATGGAATTATTTTTTGTATTTTTAGTAGAGATAGGGTTTCAACATGTTGGCCATGCTGGTCTTGAACTCTTGACTTCAAGTGATCTGCCTGCCTCAGCCTTCCAAAGTGCTGGGATTACAGATGTGAGCCACTGCACCCAGCCACCATCCTTAATTCTTTCCACTGTGATGCCTTCCTTGTGTTTTGGGCATCTTCTTTCCCTCACAGGGAAAGACTTTTATCTCTGCCTCCTGATGACTCAGGGAATATCTTGATGGCCAAAGATTCATTCATGCAACCTCCTTGAACAGCAAACAGTTACCTTAGGTGTGATTCCCTGCCCTTCCAGTCTTTTATAAGGGAAAGGAGTTAATGGTATTAAGATTTAATTTATTCATGGATTTAAGTTATATCACACACTTTCTCATCCCTTCCCACTCCTGCCCTGACCCTTAGAAGTAATTTCTGAGTAACTACAACCAGTTTTGGTTTTAAGCCACATATATTTGCATTATATGCAGCTGTACTTAACAGTCTGTATGTGTAGTTTCTTGTCTTAGATCATAAGCTCATCTAGGCAAGGGTTGTACCTCATTTAGATGCCTTTTGTTCTGTCTTAGTTCCAAGCATGGTGCTAAGTGTGTAGAGCAAAGCTTTAGGAATGTTTTTGCTAGATCGAAACAGGGTTTGCATTGGGGTTGAATAAAGGGTTCATTTCCTTTATGCAACAGAGGAGAGCATGCAGGACAGGAACTAAAAACAGCCTTCAACTCTGCTTGTTGAAGAAACTGATGAATAAAGCTGGGATAAAATGCTCAGAGAAATAACAAGTGGGTGGCATGGCCAGGTTCTACCCCAACTAGGAGTAGTAAGGCCAGAGGCAACTGGGCAGCGCTATTCCCCTTCATAGTTTTGAAATTCAAATTCCAAAGCAAACAAAATATTGTACTGGCCTAAGAAACCGAGAACCCCATCCTCAGAAACCAAGGGGTGAGGGAAGTTTTCTCTTCCTTGGAATGAACAATAATATTAGCAAACCCTTTGCTATAGTTCGGCTGTTTGTCCCCTCTAAAACTCATGTTGAAGTTTGGTCCACAATGTTGGAGGTGGGGCCTAATGGGAGGTATTTGTTCAGTGGGGTGGATCACTCACAAATGGCTTGGTGACATGCATGTGGTAATGAGTTCTTACTGTATTAGTTCCTGTCAAAGCTGGTCGTTCAAAAGAGCCTGGCATCTTTCCTCTCTCTCTTGCTTCCTCTCATGTGATCTCTGCACACATGGGCTCCCCTTTGCCTTCTGCCATGAGTGGGAGCAGTCTGAGGCCTTCACCAAAAGCAGATGCATGTGCCATGCTTCTTGTACAGCCTGCAGAACTGTGAGCCAGATAGACCTCTTTCCTTTATAAATCATCCAGCCTCAGGTATTCCTTTATAGCAACACAGATGGACCAAGACATCCTTAGGATAACACTTTCTATGCTGCAAATGCTGTCCTCAACATTGGACTTGTACTGACTCATTTAATCCTCATCAACTCTACGAGAGTCAGTTATTTACTCCTTTTCACTTCTTTTAAAACTGTTTATTTGCTTGCTCTGTAAGGATGGAAACATTTTCCAGAATAATGAAAGAAAGAAGAAGAAATTAGCTTTTTGGAGACAGGCACTATGTTCCCAACTTGTGACCCCAGGGTTGGCTACATAATTTGTGGGGCCCAGTGCAAAATAAAAATGTGAGTTTCCTTGCTCAAAAAGCAAAACAAGAAAAAAAATCATTAGAGATACTAAAATAGAAAGCATTTTCCTTTCTTCCCTGGTCTCTCTCTCTCAGCTTTTCATGTATATTTTATATATTATTTAATGCTGTAAGTAAAGAAAACTTATTAGCATGAATTTCAGCATTCATCTTTATGTTATGCAATGCCATTTTTAAATGCAAACATGAATGCATTAAACTTGTTTATGGAACCACGGAATTTTGTAGTTTGCATGTGCCTATGTACTTTATTTTTACCAGGACAGTGTTTGAAATGCTGCCAAAAACAAGCTAATCTGTTTTCCTTTCACTTCTTGATATGTGCACGTTTCATCAGCACTCTTTGCCTTCCTGTTGAGGGGAGTAGGGAGGACTGAAAGGAACAGGAGCTCTGGGGCCCTTCTCTCCCCTTTCCTTCTAAGTCATCTTCAGTGGGTGTGGTTGGCCAATGCAGGGAAGCAGCACCAGTAAGGAAGGATGTGATGGGGCATCTTGCCATGGTGTGGGTTAGAATACCATTGCCTTCTTTCTGTATTTGAAGCAAGTCTCCTAGTTTGAATAGAAATTTCGGGCTCTGGGCAGAACACAGTTACCTTGGACTCACTTTGAGCCTCTCTGAACTGCCATGCCTGTGGGTCCCCAGAACTCCATGTTCATGGAGCATCGTGAACACTCTCTGTAACTGGCAGCAAGGAAGGGTGAACGCGACTTGTACCTCCTTCCTCTGCTCACAGACATGTTCTAGCATCCCATAGGACTTCACTTGCAAAACACAAGTTCAAAGATAAAATTGTTGAGAATTTCAAGATGGCCACAACAGGAAACCAAGCTCAGGGCCCCTCTGAGCTCCGGACCCTGTACAACTGCCCAGGTCATTTACCTATGCAGCTGGCCTGGCCATAGGAAGTACTCAATAAATACTTGGTTAATGAATAAACAAATGTCACTTCTTAAGCACAGGCCTCGTTAACCAAAGCTCAATCTACTAATGGTAGACAACACAGATATATTAATCCCTCAGTTAATTCTGTTTAAAAAAACTCCGAGCCAAGAGTTTTAATCTTTTCCTTTTATTTATTTATTTGTTTTTGAGACATAGTTTCACTCTGTTGCTCAGGCTGGAGAGCAGTGGCAGGATCTCGGCTCACTGCAACCTCCTCCTGGGTTCAAGTGATTCTAGTGCCTCAGCCTTCCCAGTAGCTGCGATTACAGGTGCACACCACCACATCCGGCTAATTTTTGTATTCTTAGTAGAGACAGGGTTTCACTATGTTGGGCAGGGTGGTCTCGAACTCCTGACCTCAAGTGATCTGCCTGCCTCAGCCTCCCAAAGTGCTGGGATAACAGGTGTGAGCCATCGAGCCTGGCCTAATCTTCTTTTCTTATATGAGATTGGTTAATCAGCTGCAATTCTGAGTAGATTTGAGTTTCATCAATTCCATTTTTTTGCTAGACAGAAGGGGATGGGAACTGATGAGGCATGAAGAATTCATGTTTGGAGGAGCAGATTCCTGCAAGGGAAATATTAATTCTTGTTGCATATGAAATTTGATATATTAATAACCAGTAAGGTTCAGAAGAGCTTGTATGAATGAAAATGCTGAGGAAACAGTACTTCAAAAGTTTGAGGGTCTGGTGGGCTGTATCTGCATGCCCTGGGCTTTCCTAGGGGGATCTAGTACTAATGCCAAGGGGACTGAATGCCATTTACAGGGGCTGATTTCAGCCCCTGTAATGCAGTTTTCTCAAAAAAGGTAAGTGGGGAAGAAATCAAGTAACAGATGCCTGGAGTCCTAATTGCATTTCATCTCTCTACTAAATGAAGTGAATTGTTGATTAAGAAATTCAGATTTACACTGCATTTATTCATTCAACCAGCATTTGTCATCTGCCTACTGTATGCCAGGCACTGCTTTAGGTGCTGGGGCTTTGAAGCAAAATTCAGCCAAGTCCTTGTCCTCCAGAAGCCCTCAGTATACCCTGAGATGAGAACTGAAATGATGATTGGGTTGGGATGAGAGAGGTGTGTATCCCTGCCATCTCCTAGTGCCTTTGGTAAAATGACCACAGACATCCAGAGTATTTGGATGTTGGAGGAAGTCATTTTACCCTACAGAGGTTGAGGAAGCTGCAATTGTCATGGCAACAGATTAAACGGAGCTGAAACTCTCGGGTGTGAGTGCCCCAGCTGTGAGCACTGCCTCCTCCTCTTCTGCCTAAGTTCTAGCCTGACTGATTCTCGCTTACTGCAGAAGCCATTTTCCTGGATGTGGGATTTGCCTGGCAAGGGGCTGCTGGGAAGGCGAGAGGGTAGTAGAGATACTACAGGTTCACATAGAATAATAAGCGGAAAGCCTAACATTTATTGGACTCCCCTGCCCCAAGGTGCCAGGCCCTGTGCTATGCTTGTGGCCTTATCTCATCTGATATTCACAGTAGCTGCATGGGTGGGAGTCCTTTTTCCTCCACTATACAGATGAGGAAACTGAGGCTTAGATGGGCTACAGATAGATTGTCCTGTCAGATCCCAAAGCCAGCACTTTTAATGACAGATTACAGTGGCTCTGAAATGCAGGTCCGGTGTATGTGGAAGGTGCAGGGTGGAATGGCTAAAATGCAGATTCTTAAGCCCAGCTGTGGACCTACTAATTACAATGTCTGGGGGTGAGGCCTAGGAATCAGAACACAAAGAGGTCCTGGAGGGTTCCTTGTCCAAGTGAGGACTAGAGGGCGGGAGCCACTTGTTCCAGGTTCCAGGGCTAACCAGTTAGGATTAGGATCCAGGCCTTCTATGCCAGCTCAGTGGGCTTAGAGCAGGTGCTGTGGGGTTTTCTCAGGGAACCAGAACAGGATAAGGTGGGTCCAGCCACTGAAAGTTATCTTTCATTTATGATCACAAGGCTCTATCGAACTGGTGCTCCAATCAAGAAAAAGAAAAGGGAAAATCCCTAAATGGTGCTTATCATATTTTCCTTCCAGCATTTGTCGGCAAGGCCAACCCACTTCCCAGCCTAGTCACCAGGGCAACCATCACCCCCACCTTGACAGACAAGTGCAAATGCAGCTTCTTGCACCCACATCCAGGGCCACGGGACCCAGCCCTATAATCAGTCTCCCGCTGCCTCTGCAGGCAGCCAGCAGCGACAGTCACACACACTCCCTGCACTCCGAGCCCATCACCCCATCACGGTTCTACAGGCACCCCCTCCCCACGCTCACACAGCGCGTTCTGCTTCCCTCGCCCACTGCCTCCCAGGAGACAAATGTGCAATCTGCTCCTGGCGCGTATCATCACCTCTGGAGGGAGGAATCTGCCCTCGAGTCGAGGCACAGCCCAACACACACAGCCCACACATGAGAAAAAAACACCCCTTCCCGGAGAAGTGGAGTGGTGGCAGCGAACCCCCTCTCCCCTTCCAGAGACAGCTGAGGGGGCGGCGGAGTTTAGGAAGAGTTTGCAAAGTGACGAGCACATGAGCGGCTGGCTGAGGCAGCTGATGGGGAGGCTAGTGGCGGGGCGGGTTGGGAGTGGGGGAAGGTGGGCGGCCACAGCCTGTTGCTAATGAAGCAGCTCGGGCTGCCATGCGAGATCAGAGCCCCTTACCTGGCTGCAGACACCTGGAGTCCCACCCAGCAGAAAGTGAAGCTGGGCTCCCTCTTCAAGGTCCCTGCTAGAGCAGTTTCATGAGACCAGGCTGCCGGGGACATGGACCCTCTGTCAGGACTTCAAACAAACAAAGCCAGCTCCTTGGGTCCAGGGTGCCTACCCAAGTGCCTGCCCGCTATACTGTGCTCACCTGAGCTCCCTCCTCAACTGCTGGAGCCCACCTGTGCTTCTGACCAGCTTTACCATGGCCTCTGTTCCAGATGCCTCAGCTGTTCCCCTCACTGACTCCTTTCCCCCTTCTCACCTGTCTTGCACACATCCTGGGCATCTCAGAGTCTCTGGGTTTCCCCTGTCTCCTAGGCTCAGAGCCATCTGCCCAGACTGCAGGGATCAGGGCTGCTGTCTTCATGACCCTCCTTCCTCAGGTGCCTGCAGCCTGAGGCCGACCCCTTCAGGCTCCTCCATCCACTTCCTGGCTGGAGGCAGCCCTCCTCCTGAGGGGTTGAGCCCCAGAGGCTGCTGAGCCAGGTGAGACCATTCCAGTGCAAGGGAGTTAATCCCTAAGAAGCCAACTCTGACCAATGGGAGGTGGCAGGAAGCCTGACAGGCCTCCTTCCCATGGACAGTTCCCAGGCCTGCCTCGAGATGTCCTGTGTGGCCGGGTATCTGGCAGTGCCTATTGGTAAACTGAGGCCTGGTGGGCAGCACAGTGCCCTGTATTTGCTTCCCTTCTTGCCCCATCTCACTGCCCTCTCCCTCACCCCAGCTGCCCTGCGATTGTACCCCCCCGCCCCCGCACCGCCCCCTCCGACCGCCAGGCAGCATTAACACCTAAGCTTCACTGCAGTCTGCTTTCTAGGTAAGCCAGCTACGTTGGCACTCAGATTTAAATAAAACAGAATTCTTGCTCTGTCTTATCTAGCCTAATTCCCTTATTTGACAGAGGGAGCTGAGGCTCAGAGAAGTTAAGCGGAGGAGCTATGTCTGTTCATTACTGTAACAAATAGTTAACAAGCATCTGTTATGTGCCAGGCATGATTCTAGGCACTGGCAATGCAGTGGTGAATAAAATGGACAAAAATCCCTGCCTTTATGGAACATAGCATTCTATAAGAGGAGAAAAAGACCATAGACAAAGTGAATAAGTAAAATATTCAGAATGGTAGAGTGATCATTGCTGGTGGTGGCGATGCTGGGTGTCATGGGCTGAATTGTGTCCCTCTCAAAATTCATATGTTGAGGCTCTAACCCTTAGTATCTGATTGTGACTATATTTGGAGATAGGGCCTTTAAAGAGGTAATTAAGTTAAAATGGGCCCTAATCCAATAGGACTGTGTCTTCATAAGAAATTTGGACACAAAACCAGGGAGGTCTATACCCAGAGAAAAGACCATGTGAGGCCCTGGCAGGAAGGCAGCCACAGGGGTCAAGCCATCCTGCAGATGCCTTCATCTTGGACTTCCAGCTTTCAGAACTGTGAGAAAATACATTTCTGTTGTTTAAGCCACCTAGTAAGTGGTATTTTGTTTTGGCAGCCCTAGCAAACTAATACAGTGGGATTTTAATTTCATGAAAGGCATCCCAAGTTGGCCTCATCGAGAAGATGACATTTGAGTAAAACCCTAAAGGAGGTGATGGAATGAGTTATTTGAAAATCTAAGGGAAAAACATTCTAGGCAGAGGGACTAGGCTCAATGGCTCTGATCTGGATCATACCTTGAGTGTTGGAAGAATAGCAAGGGAGCCAGTATTCATGAAGGAAGCAGAATGGGTGAGGGAGAAAAGGGAGGACATGAGATCAGAGGGTGAGGGCATGTGGAAGGACATTCTCCACATGAGATGGAGAGAATTGCAGGGTTTGGGGTGGGAAGGAGGAATTTTGTCTCCAGGGGACATTTAGCAATCTCTAGAAACATTTTTTATCATCACAGCGGTGGAAAAGAGGGTGGAGTAGCAGTATGACACTAAGTGGGTAGAGGGTACCTTTCAATGCACAGGACAGTGTTTTCCTCCCCTCCCCAGCAATTACCGGGCCCACAGTGTCTGTGGTGTCAAGGTTAAGAACCCTGGTTTCAAGCTCATGGTGACTAGGTCTGACTTTTGTGTTAATAGGTTCACGTTGGCTATGTTGGGGACAACTTTAGAAGAGGAAAGGCAGAAGCAGAGGCACCCTTGATCCAGGTGAGAAATAATGGTGGCTCGGACCAGGGTGGTAGATGGCCTCCTGATATTCCAGTTTATTGCTCCCCACCTCCTCCCTCTTTCTCTTCTCACTTTCTCAATAAACATGAACAGGACCCTTACTATGTGCTAAACATCGTATCAGGTGCTGGGTAGATTCCAACAAGTATGGCCCACTAGGAGCCTGGTCTAGTTCACTTAAGATCCAAGTGAAGAGAACTGCAGAGAACAGGCACTGACTTGGGAGCAGACTATGTGACGTCCACTTGGAGCTGCAGATGGAGCTCTGGGGCAGTTGTCAGCAAATGCCATCTACTCAGACATTAATGAAAGCACAGAATGAGCACTGGGTGGCTGATATTTCCATCTATCCAGCTCCACAAGCCAAAAACTTGGAAGTCATCTTTACTGCCTCTGCGTCCCTGAACTCCACGCACCGTCCCCCCACCCACCCATCTAATCCATCCCAGTTACCTGTAAAACTTCTCTTGAATCTGTTCACATCTCTCCACCTCTATACTAATGACTCTAGTCCAAGCTACGATCATTTTCCACCTGGTCCCTGTTGTCACTGTGTGGCCTGCAATCTTTATTAGTCAGGATATATAGCCAATGCTGCAGAAACAGAAAGCATGGCCTCTCAGTGGCTTAACACAAAGAAGGTTTATTTCTCACTTACGCAAAAGTAGGTGGGGTGATGCTCCTCCATCAGTCTAACTACCTGTATTTTTTCCATAGCAATTATCATAGTTTGTAATGCTATATTTAATTGTATGCTTATTGGATTAGATTGCTTTTCATTGTTCTCACCAGGATGTATGCTACCTGGTAGTAAGGCCTACACCTAGAACAATGCCTATAATATAGCAATAACCCTTGAAATATTTTTTAGTGAATGAATGAATGGATAAATGAAGTGGCTAAGCTATAACTGGAAAACATTTAATTGCCCTGATCTAAAAAATTATAAAATATTATTTCATGCATAAAAAATTATATATAATACATACGGATATTTTAAGCATAACAATAAAATAAACACTCATGTTACATCAATTCAAAAGGTAACACATTACCTATGCCCTCTGTGTGTCCCTCCCTGATCACGTCTTAATCCTAGAGCTAAACAATAGGTTGCATTTTGTGTGTATCATTCCTCTTCTTTTTTTGGTCATTTTAACCAAGTATAGATATTATATATTATTGTTTCAGAATATTGTGTCAATGGTGTCATATGTAGATAAACTTTGGCAATTTGCATTTGTTGTTCAACATGTTTCTGAGATTTGTCTTCACTGAATTATGTAGTTGTGGTATATTTTCACTGACAGTTTTCCATTGATTGAGTAAAATGCAATTAGTGAAAGTATTTAAATGTCCGTAAATGTTTGAGTTCTTTCCAGGCCTTTGCTATTGCAATATGTACTGCTATGAAATTTCTTGTGCATAGCTCTTCGTGCAAATGTGCAAGAGTTTCTCTAGTGTTTTACAAGTTAATGCCAAATTATTTTCCAAAGTGGTTGCACCAGTTTACACTCCACAAGCAGTATGTAAGTCTGCCTCTTGACATTTGCGAAACATTTGATGTGATCAGATGTTTAAAATTTTGCCTGTTTGATGGGTGTGTAAATTTGCCTTTCCACTTTTATTAGTGAGGGTTGAGCTTAATTATTATTAAGGTTATGTTAATTATTCTTAATTAAGGATTATTGAGATTGAGCTCCTTTTCATATTGATGATTCTTCTGTAAAATCACTGCCTGTTTATATATTTTGCCCATTTTTCTATTTAGTTGTCTTCTGATTTTTTCGAAGTTCTTGATTCTGGACAGTAATTCTTCTATGATTAATTGGTTGTCAATATGTTTTCCCAGTTTATAGTTTGTCTTGTCATGGTCTTTGTGGTATTTTTTGATAAATACAAGTTCTTAATTTTAAAGTAGTTAGAGTTTTTTCTTTTTTCGAGATAGGGTCTGACTCTGTCACCCAGGCTGGAGTTAAAGTAGTTTGATTTATCGATCTTTTATTTTATGGCTTATGCTTTGGTTTTAAGAAAATTTTCCCTATTCAGATGTCATAAAATGACTCTCATATTTTCTTCCAAAAGTTTGAAAGATTTGCCTTTCATATTTCAGCTTTTTATTCACCTAAAATTGTTTTTTGTGTATGATATAATTGTATTAGTTTCCTATGGCTGCTATAACTAATTACCACCAACCTAGCAGCTTAAAACAACATAAATTTATTATCTTACAGTTATGGAAGCTAGAAGTCTGAAATAGTTTTCACTGGGCTAAAATCAAGATGTCAGCAGAGCTGCATTCCTAGAGGAGAATTTTTAAGTTTTTTTTTTTTTTCCAAGTTCTATAGGGTGCTGGCTTATGGCCCCATTTCATATTGAAAGCCAGCAGTCAGCCAGGTGTGGTAGCTCATGCCTGTAATCCCAGCACTTTGGGAGGCTGAGGTTGTCCTTGAGTCTAGGAGTTCCAGATCACCCTGGGCAACATGGTGAGATCTCGTTCCAACAACGACAACAACAAAAATTAGCTGGCACACAGCTGTAGTCCTAGTTACTCAGGAGGCTGAGGCAGGAGGATCACTTGAACCTGGAAGGTCAAGGGTGGAGTGAGATTCTAGCTCAAAAAAAAAAAAAGTGGCTGGTTGCATCCTTGCATGGCATCACTCTGACACTGAACTTCTGCTTCCCTTTTTCACGTAGAAGGTCCCTTGTGATTACACCGAGCCCACGGAGGTAAACGAGGATAATCTCCCTACTTCAATATCCTTAAATTAGTTGCATCAAAATCCTTTAGGCCATGTAAGGTAACATGCCCATATGTTCAGGGAATTAGGATGTGGACGTCTTTGGGGAAACATTATTTTGCTTCCCATTATAATCAATTGATTCAGCACAACTTCTTGACTCTGTTCTGAACCTGGGTTCAGAGGGACACTGGTCTGGTGACAATGATAATAGTAACAACAAACACTTGTGCCAAGAATGTTTCTAAGCATTGTATGCATATTATCTCATTTAATTTTCACAACACTTTGTACTAAGTGCTACTATTATTCCTAGCTTAGCGATGAGTGAAGTGAGGAGCAGAGAGGTGAAATACTTTGCTGAAGATAGGGAGCAGCAGAGTTTGACTCAACCCCAAGTACCTGAGCTTCGAAGTCCATGTGCTTAGTTAGCACCATGCTATTTTTTTTTTTAATTTTATTTTTTGACAGGGTCTCATTCTGTCGCTCAGGCAAGAGTGTAGTGATGCAATCTTGACCTCCTGGGCTCCAGTGATCCTCCTGCCTCAGCCTCCCAAGTAGCTGTGACTACAGGTGTGCACCACCATACCTAGCTAATTTTGTTATTTTTTGTAGAGACGCTATATTGCCAGGGCTGGTCTTGAGCCCCTGGGCTCAAGCAATCCTCCCACCTCAGCCTCCCTAGTAGCTGTGACTACAGGTGTGTGCTACCACGCTCGGCTAATTTTTGTATTTTTTGTAGAGACAGGGTTTCACCATGTTGCCCAGGCTGGTCTCGAACTCCTGAGCTCAAGCAATCCACTTGCCTCAGCCTCCTAAAGTGTTGAGATTACAGGCGTGAGACACTGTGCCCGGCCTACCATGCTATTTTTAAATGAATAAACAAAGTGGATAAATCTAGTTTCAGTTAGCTGTGTGTTCATGACTAAGTCACATAAATTCTCTGAGCCTCAATTTCATTATTTGTAAAATTAGAATAGTGATGCAGCTTTTCTGCATTCCACAGGGATGATTTGAGGGCACGTTGAGACAACATGCATGAAAGCAGTTCAGATAAGGAAAACAGAGATCCAAGAGTCATTCTGCCACATGTCACTGGCAGAGCCAGGACAGGGACTCAGGTTTCCTGGCAGCCAGGCTGGGCAGGCTACTTCCACCACAGAGTGGTAATTAGAGCAGTTACAAATTCCAGTCATCAAATTGAACATTTTCCCTTCATCACCCTCCTGCCCTGGAACGGCCAACATTAAAGCCGTATCTGTATATTCAATCAATTGTTCATTAAGAACGCCCTCCAGTTTTAGAAGATACTGTTACAAAATCCAAATGTGAGATAATACTTCTTAGCTGGAACAGGGTAAAGTTGACAGGTAATATTTTGTATCATTTACAAATCAAAAGGCAGAGAATTTCAGAAATTGACAGAAAGGGGAGGCTGTAAGATATCTGCTTAAGAAAACCACCTCCTCATGTGTTTGCCTCTTTTCCATCCTCATCCTATGTTTCTGTCCTCTTCTACTTCCCTTCACTTTTCCTTAGTAAAGCAGGGATTAGAAAACCTGAATTTTAGCTGTGGGCATCATTATTGACCATTTTGCTTTGAATTTCAAAGGCAAAATTGAAGAACAAAAGAGCCAAGAGTGGGAGATTCACTCTACCAGATCTTAGGATGTATAATTAAGCCACAGCAATAAAATCAGCACAGCACTAGCATAGGAACAGATCTAGATCAATAGAATAGCCACAAGAGCTCAGAGACAGACGTGTGTGTCTCTAGGGACTTGGCATACGATACAGACGCCATCATGCATCTGAGGGGAAAAGATGGATTGTTTGGTGGGTGCTGCTGGGAAAACTGGCTCACTAAATAGAGTTAATAATACTGTATTCCTGCTCAAACTGTATGCAAGGTGAACCCCAGGTGGATTAAGACCTGTGACAGGTAAAAGTATGAAGCCAACTAGGGGAAAATGTAGGAGAATATTTTGCGACTAACAGGTGGGAAAAGATTCTTAAACAAGACCCCAAGACCACACTGCACAAGGCTAAAATTTGATGCATTAGGCTAAATGAAAATTAAGGATTTCTCCTCCATTGCAGCATAGCAAAGACCAAGCAAACAGGATGCATGAAAGATTGAGAGAAATATTTGCAGTGTTTTTCTAAAACTGACAAAAGATTAATATTTAGAACATATAAGAAACTCAACTGCTTCAATTCATTCAGAAAAAATAATAAAATCCAGCAGAAAATAGGTAAAGGATGTAAATAGATAATTCACAGAAGGAAAACAATCTCGATGGTTCTTAAGTATATGGAAAAATGGTTAACACCACCAATCAAAAAAATACAAATCGAAATTACAATGTGATACTACTTTACTGATTTCAGATTGACATAAATTAGGACATCGGATAATACCAAATGTTAGCATATAAAATGGGAAACGGGTACCTTCCTACCTTCATGTGCCATTGGTGGGTGTGAATGGCAAAGCCATCTGGAGGCCAACATGACAGAGTGAAACCAAACACTGTGGACTTCATGACCCAGCGACTCAATTTCTTATGTTCTGTAAGGGACACGTCTAACATCCATTCCAGCATGGTCTGTGGTAGTAAGGAACTGCTGGCGACCTAACTAGCCGTTATTTGAGGAATTGATAAGTAGAATATGATAGACACACAAATCAAATATTATTATTAGTCATTATTAATGAACTCTTGTTGTATAGTGTCACATGGATAGATCTCTAAGACACTGAGAGAAAAACAAGGAACAGAATGAGTTCTCATCACAATGCCGTTCATATATGTTAAAAACAGACACAAACCATGTATCTTTTGAGGCTGTATACGGTGCATGAACTGGGACATACCTTAATAGAGGAGAGGGTGCATATGGCGGGTAGAAGAATGGGTGTGGAGAAGGAACGAGTAAAAAATAAAAACAAAAAAGAAAAGGGCCTTGCTGACTGACGAGCTGAACAGTACGAACTTGTCCCCAAGGTCCAAAAAAATCGCCCCAATCCCCCTTCCATCTCGTCCCATTCTTAACAGAACCAAGTGCAAGGGACTCAGCGTGGCTGTCCAGAGCAGGGCTTTTCTTCATCAAGGACCTAGGTCCTCTTCCTTCCACCCACCTCGCCACGCCCTCGGTGCCCGAGCCCCGAGCTGTACTTCGACGGCACTTTTCAAACACAACCAAACACACCCAGGCTTCAACCCCGGACCGGCTTGCTTTTATTATTTCTCTTGGGAAAGCCTTATCGGTCGCTAAGATTCAGTTTAAGTGACTCTTCTCTGGGAGGCCTTTTCCGAATGCTGCCCTTGACCAAAAGCCAGCCCCTCCAGGGCTGTATTCCCACAGCCCCCTCCCCCGTCAGCCGGGCACCCCGCGTCCTAACTGCTTATTTTGGGCACTCAGCGCTCCCCTCAGGGCTGGAGTTGTGCTGGGGGGGGTCTCTGGGTTCACGGCCCGCCAGCTGGGGTGGGCGGTCCTGGGAATAACTGGACAGTTAAGTCAGCAGGTACAGCCGCAGCCCAGCCAGCTCCCTCTCCTCTGCTTCCGCTCTCATTGGCTCAGCCTCCCCGCCCCCCAGCCCCCGCCCCCCAGCCCCCCTCCCCAGCGCCCGCCCCCAGCGCCCGCCCTCAGCCGGCTGCGGGAGGCAAAAGGCTCTGCGCACGCGCTGTGGGGTGGGGCACACTTGGTTGGGGGCGGACGGGGGTTTAGGAGAACGGCGAGGAGCGGGCGCAGAAGGGTGGCGGGGCCGCCGGGTCGTTGCGCGGCAGTTGCGTCCGGCCTCTTGCGCGCGGCGCCCGGGAAGGGGCGGGGCCGAGGCGGGCAAGGTGGCGGGCCCCCGCCCCTGGCCCCGCCCCCGCAGCCCGCCCGCGAGCCTCGCCCCGCCTCCTCGCCGGGCCCGCCCCGCCCCCTCGCCGGGCCGTGCTCTTGCTCCCGCCGCCTGGCAGCCTCACGCTCGGCTCCAGCGGCCAAGAGCCGGAGAAAGTCCTGCTGGTGGGCGGCCGCGGGGCTGAGGGCGTCCGGCATCCCGGGGCCGCTCCGGCCCGGGCGGCGAGAGTGCCCGGCGGTCCATGCATCCGCCGCCGCCCGCCGCCGCGATGGATTTCAGTCAGAACAGCCTGTTCGGTTACATGGAGGACCTGCAGGAGCTCACCATCATCGAGAGGCCGGTCCGCCGGAGCCTCAAGGTGCGCCCCGGGGAGAGGACCTGCCCTCACGGCGTCCGGCCGCCTGCCCCGCGCGGTCCCGCGCTGATCTCTGCCCCACGCCACCACCCTCCCCTCCTCCGGGCCGCCGGGACCCTCTCAGTCGGGCCGGCCCCTCCTCCTCCACCCCTCTTGCCGTGTCGCCCTAAGCCAGTTCCCTCTCGGACCCTTCCTCAGAGCGGACCGGGTCCTCTCTAGTCTGGACCCCCATCCCCAAGGGACGGGTCCCTGCCCCAGCCCCGGACCGGCGCCAGCCCCGCGGCCCTTGCCCCTCCTGAGGCGTCCGAATCCCCCCGGCCCACCCCCAGGAACGGCCGAGCTCCAGCCCTCGGGGCAGCCCCAGCGTCCTCCGTCGCGGACCCCCTTCCTTCCGCCCCCCCCCCCCAAAGGAGCTGCCCCTCGAGGCCGCAGCCCACTTCTCCCCGGTCCTCTCCTGGGCTCCCCAACCTCTGGTCCGCTGACGCCGCCCGGGTTCTGGCCCCAGGCCCACCCATCGGTCCACACATTCCCAACTCCTCCCCCCACCTCTCCCGGAGACACCACCCCGCGTCCCGTCCCCTCACCCCCAGCCCAAGTCAGATCAAGCTCGGGTCCTTCTGCCCTCGAGGTAGCCCGGCCTCCCCTCGCTTCCCAGCCAGCACTCTTTCTCAGTGTCGTCCTGGTCCCTGTCTACAAGCCCTCGCGACCCTTTGCCGCCATCCTGAGTCACCGCTCATCCTTTCCTCCCATCCCCTCCAGGACTGTAGCTGGGACCCAGCTCCCCAATCCCCTTGAGGGGGTCAAGCTTCAGCTTGCTCCCCCCACCCCTACTGGCTCTCCCACCCCGCAGAGTCATCTTCCTCCCGGCGGCTCCAACCTTTAGCGCCAGCAAACCTAGTTTACGGACCGGACCCCTTTCCCCTGGCCATTGCTTAATTAGCTGCCTTAGCGCCTCTCACTCCCACCTGCCGCAATATCTCAAATCTCTGGTTTTTTTCCAGCCCCGGAGTTTATTTCCTTCCCTCCCCCACTCCAGATCTTGTCCTTTTCATGCCTACTCGGCTGCAGTCTTCATCCATCTCCCTTTTAGCATTTCTTGGGGTGGAAAATGCTGGAGAAATAGCCTTGAAGTATTAGAGATAAAAAGTGTGTGTATTCGTTTTATAACATGCGTATGAAATGGATTTCAGCCAAGGTTCTGAAGCCACGATGTGATTTTCAAGCTGCAGTCCAGGAGCTAGAAGGATAAAAACAGAAAAATACAGCCCCCTCCCCAAACTCCCCAAACCACCCAATTAGAGACCTCCGTGATTGATGTCGCCTGGTATCCTCAGCTCCTTGATTAGTTTTCATTGTTAATGCTTAATTGTGAAACTTTTTCATTCGTTTATCCTCATAGAGGGTCACTGGGAGGTTGGGGGGCAAGACTGAACCAATATTTGTGGTGCATAAATGTGTATTTTACCCTTGACAGACACCGGAAGAAATAGAAAGATTGACAGTCGATGAAGACCTCAGTGATATTGAAAGGGCTGTTTATCTGCTCAGGTATTTCCTAGTCTTTCTGTGAAATTGCTCTTCTTTTTTCCCTGTGCAGCAGAGATGAATGCTTTCTAAAATGTATGTTCGCGTTATGTTCAGATTTACTTAGCCACTTGAACAGAGTACTTTTGTGTGCATAGTACTTAACTATATTATAAATTAGATTTGGCTATGGACTTATGACTTTGAGAATTTAAATAAAATACCTAATTTATAGAATGTTGCTTGGAGGAGCAAGAGCAGATGGTTGGAGTTGAACCTCATCCTTTTTTTCTTTTCTGGCTTTGGTTTTTCTCGCGTAAGATTCAGTAAGTTTACATGAGACTTGAGTATACAGTGATTAGTTTTAAGTTCATTGTAGAGTAGGAACATTATACGGGATCTACTATACGGAAAAAAATCCACAAATATGGTAGTTCATTTTGCTGTTCAGGATATCCTGTTTGTATTACTTTTGCCGTGCAAGCTTTATGATTTTGTCTGAGGGGTTTTAGAAATTTGGTCGAGCCTACTGTCATTTCAATTTCAAACCATCTCACAGGCTCTACAGAATTGCTTAAGGCAAATGGTTATTGCAAATATTTACAAGATTTTTCTGAACTATTTAAAACATTGTCTTGTAGATTGAGCATCTTAAAAACTAATACAGTGAACATGAATGATGTTTTAATTAATTGATTAAAATCCTTTAGAAACAAATTTCCTACAGCATTTTGCGTTTATTTAAAATTGTTCATTAGCTTACACAACATATTTTTCCCTTTTGGCAAATTAGTCACTCTTTTTTTTTCCAGAATCAGGTTTTGAAAACTGATGTAATTTACCTCCTAGGATATTTGTCACCCTTGTTTCCTTAGTTCAGCGCCAGTTTCAGGTACTGGCAAGTTTCTCGTTCTCCTTTCTTGTTTACAGATCATGTTCCAGTCCCATGTTACTCATTGAATGATTCTGTAAAAAAAAAAAATCCCTCTCCAGGTCTTCAATTTTCTTAATTACTTTTTTAGCCTTCTAAAAGTGGCATCATGAGTTTCTGTTGTAACTTTAGTCAGAATATCAGCATATTTACCATGTAGACCATTCCCTCTGATAATTGTATCATTTAGAAATGTTTCTGCATCTTAGACTTTATGTTGATGTTATTTTCCCCCCTCTTTGGGGTATCTGTGGTAGCATGCTCTCATCATTTCTATTTACTTCAAAGAAAACTTCTATTTATGTGTGAATTCAACGGTATGTGTTTTGGGTGTTTACTTAGAGAATAATCCAACTTTTAACCCATTTTCATATTGTGTTATATTTGGAATACTTTATTCCTTAACAATTAACATGTTTATTATGATGAACAATAGATGTCAACATTTGCCTTTTCCCACAGTTCTTTTACTCAAAGTAGGTAGAAAATTGATGAAAGTGTGGACAAATGTGTTTTAATCTACAACAGTTAATGATTTGAAATAAACTCCTGTTTATTCCTACTGAATTCTTTTCTTTAGTATAAACACTGGCTTAGAATTAGGAAATGGAGAGTCTTGCTCTATTTACTTGTGATAGAAGACACCGTATTCTAAATATCAGTGATAAGGCTTCTTTTTAAGGAAAGCTTATTTGTTTTCTATTTTGCTTTTATTGTTTGTTAGCAAACTAGGTTGTCTGAGTTGTCTTTATTTCTCAGACTCAACATCAGTTTCGCTCAGTTCTGGAATTTACAAAGCCCTTAAAGAGACAGATGGGCCCTCTCATTCTTGGACAAGAGAATTTTAAAAGAGATTCAATATCTCCTTTAGTTTCTTGTGGCTCACCTACCTTGAAGGAGGTTTGCAAGGTGACTCACAAGGGGAACACTGGTTTGGTTATGTATGGATTCTCCAACTGAGTTCTTCTTTTGTATCCCTACCATCTTACCACCTCCTGGGGGAATGTGGGATTTCACCTTAGTCCAGCTTTGGGAGGGATGATGCCAAGAATGCCTGAAAGGGTCTTTCTTCCCTGGGATTCAGGGGAGGGGACAGGATTGTTTCATAGAGATGTTCTGAACTTTGCCTCTGTTTAGGCCTTCTCATCTTCTCTCATGTATTGAGCCTGCTATTGTAGATGTAATTTATTCCTTTTTTTCTAGTTTGTACTTTGCTGAGTCCTTTTTTCCGTCTGTCATTGATTTTCAGGTTTATTTTTGAGCACTTTACCTTTTCCTCTGCATTGAATATTATATAAATGTATAATATATAACATGTTATATATATATTTTCTCTCTGCTTTTATGTGTCAGGTTTGTTTCTTTAGTTCTTTTATTTTGTGTATTGAAACTATTTTGGAGTATTATGTTAAATTAGAATTCAAAGTCAGATGTGTAAGCATCAGTAAGCAATGCTTTATATTAGTGGGGTTCTGATAGCATTTAGATTGAATCCAGTATCTGAAAAAAGCATTTTATATATAGAGTACTGTCATCGATAAAAAACAAATTATACTGTTCATTGTCTTACCCTGAAATATGACATGTCAGTTATTAATGACATTTTCACAATTAAGTTTAGAATATTACAGTCTTCAAAGATTTGACACAGATGAATTTGTGGTTTTGCATACGTGCGATACTGATATACCCATCTGTGGCATTTAGCACTGAAGCAAAACAACTTTCCTAATAGTCACAGCTTGTGTCTTAGTCAAAATCATATCTTATCTTTTTCCTGTTTTTTCTCTTCTTTGTGATTTTGCGTATATTTTTGGAATGTACTTAAAACATGTGAGTGATTTTATTATAGAAGAATCCTAAGTATGTATACTGTGCTTTCATTAGGTAAATCTTTACTTGTATATTTCTGATTGTCTACCAGATAAAGTGTAGACCCTGAAGGCTGGCATTCAGAATACTCCATAGGTGACTCTATCTTAGCTGTGCAATGTGATGTCCCACCAGTCCCTCACTTTTAAAAATGGCTTTACTGAGATATAATTCATAGTCCTTGTAGTTCACCCATTTAAACTGTACAGTTAAGTGAGTTTTAGTATATTCACAGAATTGTGCAACCATCACTGCAATCAATTTTAGAACATTTCCATCACCCCCAAAAGAAACCTTGTACTATTAGCAGTTGCTCCTCAGTACCAACCCTCTCAGCCTTTGGGAACCACTATTCTGCTTTCTGTATCTATGGATTTGCCTATTCTGGAGATTCCTAAACACGGAATCATACAGTATATGGCCTTTTGTGACTGACTTCTTTCACTTAGCATAAGGTGTTCAAGGTTCACCCATGTTGTAGCAGCTATCAGTAGTTTATTCCTTTTTATTGCAGTGTAGTATTCTACTGTATGGATATAGCGCTTTTGTTTAGCCATTCATCAGTTGATGGATATTGGGTTGTTTCCACTTAATTCTTCACTTTTTGATTCAGTCATGCTGGCCTTTTCACTGTTACTCAGTTTCATTGTGTTTATCCTTAATTTTTGCTTTTCCTCATCCTGGAGTACTCTTTCAATATATCCTTATCCAACATACACCATCTCTAGGATCCAGCTGTAATCTTACATCTTTCATAAAGTCTTCTCTAACTGCTTAAACCACATGGATCCCAGGCTTCTTTGAGCTCCGTTATCACTTAGTGGCGCTTTCTTCAATTGGCCATTAATCACTGATTTACATTCCTTAACTGTGTGTGCATGTTTTCTTCAGTAGATTGTAAGGTCCTGGAGGACAAGCTTTTAGAGGACAAGGGCAAGCTTTCTTGTTGTTGTTCTTTCTTGTTCTTCGCTGTGATATAAATATATGCCTCTTAATGGAATAAAGAGTATTTAAGATGACCATACTGCCAGATGAATTAAGGAACTTCTGATATTTTTGATTTTAGGTATTATGAGTCATATCTTGTTCCACAATTTATTATCTATGTGACAGTGGTGAAGTTAGTTATGGTTTTCGAGCCCTGCTTTTCATTTGTAAAGTGGAAATAATCATTCCCTTTTCCCAGTGTGGTTGAAGCACCTGGCACATAATAGGCATCCCGTTACTGTTAATTCCCTTCTGTCTCCTTTTCCCTTTCCCTACTTCCTTGCTACTTAGGTGCTCAAGTTACATTTAAAACTTTAAAAGAGGATAATGGTATTAATTTTGCCTTCCAATAATTTAATAAACGGACAAAGTATACCAACTGAAGTTTGTGATAGATATCCATTAACTTCGTTTGCTAATAGTATTTATCAGAAATTAGAATCTTCACAAATCATAATTAAGCATTTTTAACTGAGTAATAGTAAGGTCAGCCTGTTGATTTATATTTTCTTACCAAATGACCCTAAGTAATATTTGCTATTATGCATTAAATGTATTGATTGGTTAATGTACTGAGACTAGCTTTTATGTTGCTTACTTTTAAAGTCACTTGTGACTTTAAAAATATTTTTCACTTTGTGCTGTGACTTTTAAAGCATTTTGAACTTTGCTTTCCCAGGGCAGTCAGATAAAGAGCTTTGCTTTTTTTTTTTTTTTTTTCTTTTTTCTTTTTTAAAGACAGGGTCTCACTGTGTTTCCCAGGCTGGAGTGCAGTGGCTATTCACAGGCACGGTCACAGTGCTCTAACTCCTGGGCTAAAATGATCCTCCCACCTCAGCTTTCTGAATAGCTGGGACTACAGAAGGCACACACCACCTCCACAGCCACTGCCCCCGATCATAAAGTGCATCTTTATTTGGAACTTTTTTTTTTAACTTTCTCTTCCTATTTTTTAAAGAGTAAGTGCTCCCCCTAGTGATATGAAAGAGTGAGATTTCTGCAGTCAAATCAGTGGAAATAAACAAGTGTTGTACCATGTGAGAACTCTGGCGTACTTCTTCTTGGGTTCAAGACTAGGATAGGGTAGCAATGAGACAGTAAGGAAGAACTCCAGTGATTAAAGCTTTGCTACTCACCTAGCTTTTGGTTGTTTTTCTTTTAAAATACCTATCTTATTTGCTATCCCAAAGTGGAAAGTTGTGTGAAAAACTCCTTTGAATGCCCTCCTTTTTATGACGTGTGTCCCCACATTTACTTTCATTATTGTCTTGATTTCTGTTTTTGATGCTTGCTTCCTTTCAGTATTGTTTTAGTGAGGCATGGTTTGTGTGTGTGTGTATGTGTGTGTGTGAGAGAGAGAAAGAGAGAGGAAGAGAGAGAGATCACATTTGTGTTGTGCATGCATGTGTATATGTGTATATAGGTGGTCTTGAGTGACCAGTATTGCTTGCTCAGTTTTCTTTAGTGATACACAGGAGAGGACTTTTGCATTCTTCACAATTAAGATAGATAGTTGGTTAGTTAATACAAACAATTGGCTAGAATCATAAAATCACAAATGTTACATATTTTCAACATCAAATTTTAATGTAAACTATAAATATATTTTCATTTGCCAATCTTTTGATGTGAAGTCATGATCTTTTCTTTGAGTATGGGTCTGCTGATTAAAGTTTGAAATTCTCCTTCTTTCATAAATCACCCCATAATGCATTTACAATATCAAGTTCAGTTTTCTTTAAAGTTGAACAAGAATTTAAATTTGCTTATGAAGCAGTCTGAAAGCATGGTTCTAGGTTTTTATGATTTTCTACTTGTGTTTTAAAAGTTTTGTTCTTCCATACTTTAGTAGCAATTTTCTTTGACAACTTATGTTTATTGAATTTAGTTTTTCTAAAACTTTTAACTTAATTTGATAGAAACAAATATATGTGTTCATATATTTAGGTAATATTTAATTAAATTATGTAATTGCAACAGCAAGTGAAATTTGAAATAAACTAGTTTGAGAACATACTTAGCTGACTCTTAATTACAACTCAATTAGTGAGAGTGGAATTCTGTGGGCTTTCCAGAGAGTAGCCTATTAGCGACGAGCTTTCAGCTTGCAGTTGCAAGGGAGTAGAGAGTATTGCTTAATCAGGTCTTTTAACATCTTGTCACATCTCAAACACCTTTGTTTGAGAGAGATACATACCATCTCCTTTCCAAGTGTGCTCTGTGATGATCTTGCTTCATTCTTGATATTCCTCTCCTGTCTCTCTGTTGTATTTGTTCCCATGGTCTGGTTTGTTCTTTGTTTGCCTTTATAGATTTAAAAAAGTAATGAATTTGGAATATCAGTTAAAGAAGTACTTTCATAAGCTTATATTTTATTTTTTAACGCGAACTTTGAATGTATGCAGAAATGTGCACAAATCATAATACAGCTTGTTGAATTTTCACAAGTGAACACACCCATGTACCCAGTATCCAGATTAAAGCATAGAACATTATCATGTTAGCTTAGTAGCTTCCTTTGTATTCCTGTCCCAGTGCCCTGTACTTCCTGCAAAGGGTAGCTACTCTACTGACTTCTAACACTATACATTGATTTACCTGATTTTGCACTTTATATAGTAGGAAGCACTCTGTGTACCTTTTGTGTATAGCTGCTTTTGCTCAATATTTTAAAAAAGAGATTTATCCATATTGTTGCATGGAGCAACAGATTGTTCATTCTCATTGCTGTATACTATTCCATTATGTGAATATACCACAATTTATTCATTCCACTGCTGATGGACATTTGGCTTAGTTTTCAGTTTGGGGCTTTTATGAATAATGCTGTTATAATCATTCATGTACAAGTCTCTTGGTGAATACATGTGTGCATTTCTTTTAGGTATCATTATAGAAGCCGAATTGTTGGTCATAGCATATGCCTATGTCCAGCTTAAAAGATATTGCTAAACAGTTTTCCAGTGTGCTTTGACCAGTTTGTACTTCTGCCAGCAGTGTCTGAGTGGTCCCAGCCTATATATTTTTAGGAAACAAAAGTGACAAACTTCTAGTACATAATTTCTAGCATATCAATAATGAACTTCCTAGTTAATAGCCTTTAGATGTTTCGTTTCTCTGTGCATGACTTACACCATCTAACTTTTTTTCTTTCCCTACAAGAAGGGGAGTTCTATAAGGTTTTACTTGGCTACACTGTTGGTTAGAAGACTCTCAGTTATTAGATTGTCTCTTAGGAGATGAGGCATGTTGTGTGATTAGTTTTTCTTAGAAAAAGAGAAACAAAGTGGATATTGGAGTCTACCTGCTTATGGGAGTGCTATTCTCAGTCCCTGTGCTTTTAATGATTCTAAGAGGTCCTCATTAAAAAAATTGCCCACGTTGTCATCCTCTGTGAAGATGATGTACAAATGACTTGCCTTTCTACATGGAAATTGCAGGCATCTTCATTTGTATTTTTTAGGACAGAGGGATCACTGTTTAATATATTAAGAGCAGTATATAATGGATTCCAGCTGTATACCTTCCATTATTGCTAAGGCCAAATTACTGAAGTCTTTGGCAAACCTTGAATTCCCTGTTTTGGAAAAGTACGAGGTCTGTGAATATAAAGGGTTTGGAGATTGTTTCCCATCTCTGTTTCCTTGTCTTTTGTTATGAGAACAACCATGGGAGGCATCTGTGTCTTTTTTCCTACTTACCAAACACTCAGAAAGGTTTCTTTGTGACATCTGTAGAAAGCAGAATGCTCTCATGGGATCTATAGGAAAAGCTTGAAAATAAAAAGTGAAATATTTTCATCAATGTAAAAGTGACCCATATAATGTCATTGAAAAGACCTCTGAAAGCGTAATAACATAATGTGATGTGAGAGAATTGAGCAAAGTTTTCATCTTGTAAGCATAGTGTTTTATTACTTTAAAAAAGCCTATACAATTCTGTAGTACAAAATAATTTCATAATATAGAATAATAAAATACATTAAAATTAATCTATAAAATAAGATAATATATAAAGCAATATAAAATAAATGAGTATACATATTTGAATAATGTGTCAAGTTATGTAACTATCAATGTAATCATATTATAACATATGTATATCATAAATGTATATGCATGTGTGTGTATATGTTTATTTTCATGAGCAATTAATTCATCCCAACGCTCCCTCTTGAGAAGTAGCTAAGTGAGACACAGGGACATAGGAAGATTGAGTTCTATCATAAATTATAACTAATTAGTTCCCAGTAAAAAGTGGGAGTTGTACTGCTTGGTTCCCAGTCTTGTAATGTTGAATTGTGCAGTAGTTTCTTAGTATTGACATTAAGAATTAGAGGGCTCACCATACCAAGTGGTAAAATTCATAGCTTTCTTTTTTTTTTGAGACACGGTCTTGCTCTGTTCCCAGGCTGGAGTGCAGTGGTGCGATCACAGCTCACAATAACCTTGAACTTCTGGGCTCAAGTGTTCCTCCTGCCTCAACCTCCTGAGTAGCTGAGACTACAGGCACTAGCCACCATGCCTAGCTAATTAAGTTTTTTTTGTAGAGTTAGGGGTCTTGCTCTATTGCCCAGTCTTGTCTTGAACTCCTGGCCTCAAGTGATCCACCTGCCTCAACCCCGCAAGGTGCTGGGATTATAGGTATGAGTCACCAGGCCTGTCTTCCTTCTTAAAATTAAGATTGCATGAAGGGAATTAAAGCACTGAATAAGGTCCAATGAACTTTTAAATCTGTACGTCTTTCAGTTTGATATTTTGGGTATTATAGTGTCTTTCATTGACTATGTTGGCTATCAAATGTGGAAAGCATAGAGAAAGTGTTTAGGGTTCTTCATAGTCATCACTTTTGGCTTATCCTTATACTGGTATAATATTGGTATATGGTAATCATGTTAGTAATAATTACAAAATCTATTATACCCTTAGAATGTAATTTTCCCTCCAATCAGAAATGTTAATAATGGAAAAGATTTGTAATGCAACTAATAGTTGCTTTACAGTATCTTATTAATTTAAGTTAAAACATATATCTGAGTACTTATGTGCTAGGCATCTCCTGGGGAATGAAGGTCATTATACTAGCAGATACTTGTATTCAAGGAGATAGTTTAAGGAAGCAAATGCATTTTTCTTAAATTTCAGTAGAATAGAGGTTATCCCCAATTAACAGGTACTGGGAGTCAGTGTGTTGTATTGGAAATAGTTTAAGACAGACCCAGATTTATTCTTGGAGGCTGAGGCTTGCTCATTTACTTACTGAGAGACCTTGGGTAAGTTGCTTATCTTCTGTGAGCCCAAGTTCCCTAATGTAAAATGGGAATAAATAGGCTGGGCATAGTGGCTTTCACACTTGTAATCCCAGCAGTTTGAGAGGTCAAGGCAGGAAGATCAGTTGAGCCCAGGAATTCGAGACTAGCCTGGGCAATATAGCGAGACCCTGTCTCTACAAAAAAATTTAAGAAATTATCCAGGAATGGTGGCTTGTGCCTGTTTTTTGGCTACCTGGGAGGCTGAGGTGGGAGGATCGCTTGCGCTCAGGAGTTTGAGCCTGCAGGAAGCCACGAGTGTGCCACTGAACTCCAGCCTGGGCAACAGTGTGAGACCCTGTCTCAAAACAAACAAAAAAAATAAAATGAAAATAATAATATCTTCATTGCAGGATTGTTGAGAAGATGAGAGGAAATGTATGTATAGGGCACAGTGCTTGGTACAGGGTAGTGTTCAGTAAAGGATAGTTGTTGCTGCCCTTTTAAATCATCTGTTTGGGATTAGGAACATATTTTACTTTGGATATATAGGAAACATCCCATTTGGAAACATCCCATTTAGAAACTTCTTGTGTTACAAAGTTTCCTCTCTAGATCAGTTTTCTAGATTGGGCACCAAATTCCCCCATCTCCATTTTTGGAAAATAACTTTATTGAAGTATAATTTAAATAAACTAAGTTTATAGTTTGATGAGTTTTGACAAATGGGTACACCTGTGTAACTAGCACAAAATATAGAACATTTTCATCACCCCCACAAAAGCCACTGGTATCTCTTTGCAGTTAATGCCACACCCTAACCCTAAGCAACCATTAATCTGCTTTTTGTCACTGTGGAATAATTTTGCCTGTTCTGGAATCTAGCCATAGTTTTTTATATCTCTTGGATAAATGCCTAAGAATGTTTGTTGGGTCATATGCTGACTATATATTTTTTTCATTTTTTGAAGCTTTTTGAGGTATAATTCACATCCAATAAATCACATGTATTTAAACCATGTAATTTAATGATTTTTGACATATGTATACACGATTCAGATATTGAACATATCCGTCACTCCCAAACACTACTTGTGTGCTTAGATTATCTCTCTCTCCCTCCCGTGAGCCCCTTCCATTCCAGGCAACCACTGATGTGCTTTCCGTTACTATAAATTAGTTTCCAATTTCTAGAATTTTATAGAAATGGATCATACAGTCTACTCTTTTGTCTGGCTTCTTTCAATCTAATTATTTTGTAGATTATCTTTGATGTTGCCTATATCGTTAATTTACTGCTTTTTATTATTGATAATGATTCCGTTTAATGGGTATAACACATCTTGTTTATCCATTCATCAGTTGATGGACATTTGGGTAATTTTCAGTTTTCAGCTATTACAAACTTAGTGACTATACACATTCATTTATAAATCTTTATGTAGACATGTGCTTTCCTTCCTCTCTGGTAAACATCGAATTGCTGGACCATATAGTAAATATATGTTTATACCTTTAAGAAACTGCTAAACTGTTTCTAAGGTGATGGTACCATTTTACATTTCCACCAGCAGTATATGAGCGTTTGAGTTGCTCCTTATACTCTATAACACTTGATATGATCAGTCTTTTTAATTTTAAGTCATTCTAGTGGTGTGTAGTGTTATTTCATTGTGTTTATGATTTGTTCTATTGATTACAGAGAGTATTGAAGTCTCCAACTGTAATTGCAGGTTTGTCTAGTCCTCCTTTAAAATATATAATTTTTTACTAGTAGTTTAGTATTTTGAAACTGTGTGGTGAAATGCACATAAAATTAGGATTATTATGTTTTCTTGAATTGACCCCTTTATCATTATGTAATGTTTATTCTTTGAAATATACTTTGTTAGGCCGAGCGTGGTGGCTCACACCTGCAATCCCAGCACTTTGGGAGTCCGAGGTGGGCAGATCACAAGGCAGGAGTTTGAGACCAGCCTGGCCAACATGGTGAAACCCTGTCTCTACTAAAAATACAAAAATTACCTGGGTGTGTTGGTGGGCACCTGTAATCCCAGCTACTCGGGAGGCTGAGGCAAGAGAATTGCCCCGGAGGCAGAGGTTGCAGTGAGCCAAGATCGCGCCACTGTACTCCAGCCTGGATGACAGAGCAAGACTCTGTCTCGGAAAAAAAAGAAAAAAAATATGTTGTTCTGAAATCTACTTTAATATTCACATATTCATTCCAACTTTCTTTTGGCTAGCATTTACAAAGTATATCTTTTTCTGTCCTTTTAATTAATTTTTTAAATTTCAGAATAATTTTAAATTTTCACAAACATTGCAAAGTTAGTATAGAAAGTTCCTATATATCTTCCACCAGTGTCCCCTAATGCTAACATGTTATTAATACATAATCATGGTACATCTTTCAAAAATTCAGAAATTAACATTGATACATCACTCCAAACTAAACTTCAGACTTTATTTGGATTTCACTAGTTTTTTCACTTTTTTTTTTTTCTGTTTCAAGATCAACTCCAGGAAACTGCATTGTATTTAGTTGTCATGTCTCCTTAGTCTTCTCTTGGCTGTGACGCTTTCTTCACTTTTCCTTATTTTTCATGATCTTGATAGTTTTGAAGAATACTGGTCAGGTATTTCATAGACTGTCCCTCAAGTTGGGTTTGTGTGATGTTATTTCTCATCATTAGATTGGGGTTATGTGCTTTTAGGAAGAGTACCATGGTGGTGAAATGCCTTTCTTATTTCATCATATCAGGGGGTTCATGCTATCACCGTGGATTTATCATCAGTTATGTTAATTTAGGTCATTCAGTTAAGGAAATACCTGCCAGGTTTCTCCACTGTGGGAGTGGTGAGAGATGACTTGCAGCCTTTCCTCATCTTAGGAGAAAGCATTCTGTCTCTTACCATTAACTATATATAATGTGGTGGTACTTTTTTTTATAGATACCATTAGGTTAAGTTTCCTCTATTCCTAATTTGCTAAGTTTTATCATGAACGGGTATTGAATCTTGTAGAATTTTTTTTCTGTATCTATTGATATGGTATATGGCTTTTCTTATTTTGTCTTTTAGTATAGTGAAGTACGTTGATTAATTTTTGAATGATGAACCAACCTCTCATTCTTGGAATAAATCCTACCTGTTCATTATGTATTAGTCTTTTTATATGTTTCTAGACTCTATTTGCTAATATTTTGTGGAGGATTTTGTCATTTATATTAATGAGAGGATTAATCTTCAGTTTTCTTATAATGTCTTATTTTGATTGTATTTTATGAAGATGACCCTACAATCAAAATGCCTTGTATTCTGTTACACTGCTTAGTTTCTTCATTATTACTACATAAATAGCATATGGACCTAGTCTTTGGACAACATATTGAAATCTTGACAGGGATATGTCTATCTTGCCTAATATATATATATGTGTGTATACACACACACACACTTATATAAACATTTATATCTTGATATAGTACCTAAATTATTTGCTGTTGAATTACATATGTTGTAATTAATAATTATATTTCCTTAGACATTTGTATAGTTGAAATTTGCTAAGAGAGTAGATCTTAAGTATTCTCACCACAAAAAGTCAGTATGTGAGGTGATGGACATGTTGATTAGCTTTACTGTAGTAATCATTTTACAATGTATACATATAGCAAAATATCATAATCACTTTGTAGCCTGTAAATACATAATTTATTTTTTCTCAATTTACAATTAAAAAGGGTTAAAAAATCCCATCACATTGTATATCTTGAATATGCAGCATTTTTGTCAGTTATGCCTCAATAAAACTCAAAAAATTATTTTAGAATAACTAGAGGACTGATAATTCATATATTGTTGAATGATAAGTATGTCTAAAACAATTACCATAAGAGAAATCAGGGAGAAAATTGACTTTTTTTCTCTTAGAGAAGAAAATATACATATGTAAAATTTATTTAAATGAATAGTTATTTAGGAACCCATGAGAGAGATTATAGGATCAATAGTTTTTAAAAATTTGCTCTTGCTTTGTGGAGATGACATTTTGACCCTGATAGTAACTAGCTGGTTGACCTAAGTTCCATAATCTCTGTAGATGTTGGTTTCTTCATTGTCACAATGTGAAGGAGATGTATTTTATTTCCAAGACCCCCTTTTAGTTTGAACATTTCATTGTATTCTATCTTATCCTGTCCTTATTATTAGAGAACAGAAATAATTATTTCACGTAGCTTTTACAGATTGATTTTGGATTGACTGATGAGTTTTTAAATATTATAATTGATTTGTTTGTATTACATTTCTTCTGATTCAGTGCCCCATTTACAGTGATAATCAGTCAAATGAACAGACAGGAGCCACTGTATATTATTTGGGACTCTCTTTCTGGGTCAGATTATACACTCTGGATTTCAGTCATCATTTCCATGGCATGATTTCCAAATGTGGCTGTAGCCTTGGCCTTTCCTTCTCAACTTTGGATCATTTCTGTTTGCTGGGCACCTCCACCAGGGTGTCTCCACCAGAATGTCTTGCTGGCTTTTCAAACTCAATGTGCTCGAAACTGCATTTATCACTTTTTATCTAAATATGCCTCTGCTTGTTATTGAAGCCTGACCATCTTTCTATATCATACTGGAGGGAAACCTGGGAGTAATTTTATACTCTTTTTCTCTCAGTACTCTTGACAGTCTTTATTGTCTGACACATTCTGTGCTAGGCATAAAGCATTATTGGATTGTGTTGGAGAATCCAGAACCAGTGCCTGGCACCCAGCAGTTCCTGAATGATTGAACATGTCACTTTACCTATTTAGGTTAGTTAATTGGGTCTCTTCTCCTTCCTGTAATACTTGTCACCCCTTCTTCCTGTAGGTGCCAGGGATTTGGCTTGCTTTTATCTTTTTTTTTTTTTTTGAGATAGGGTCTTGCTATATTGCCCAGCTGGTCTCAAACTCCTGGCCTCAAGCAATCTTCCTGACTTAGCCTCTCTAGTAGCTGGGATTACAGGCAGTGTGCCACCACACCTGGTTTGTTTGTTTGTTTATTTTTAATAACTGTCGGCTACTATTCTGTTTTCTGAGTTTGTCTTACTGGCTGGGTTGGCAGTATGTTATCTTAGCTAGCCCTTTTCCCCTGCTATGTCTTAACATATCTATATATTTTTAAAAAGTATTTTAGGCTGGGATGGTGGCTCACGCCTGTAATCCTGGCACTCTGGGAGGCAGAGGTGGGTGGATCACTTGAGGTCAGGAGTTTGAGACCAGCCTGGCCAATATAGTGAAACCCTGTCTTTACTAAAAAATTAGCCAGGTGTGGTGGTGTGTGCCTGTAGCCCCAGCTACTCAGGAGGCTGAGGCAGGAGAATTGCTTGACCCCGGGAGGCAGAGGTTGCAGTGAGCCAAGATTGTGTCATTGCACTTAAGCCTGGGCGATGCAGGGAGACTCTGTCTCAAAAACATAAATAAATAAATAAATAAAATAGAAAGTATTTTAAAGGAATTTTTACTGCTATTTGTTAATGAGGAAATAGAAAGGCTGGTTAAAAAAATTAACAGGAGGGAGCTTACAATGTTCCCAGAACTCTTCCAAGTTTATGTAGTTATTCCTGAACTAATGTTTTGCATACCTTTCAATATTCCTGCTATAGCTCATATATTTAGGACAGACTTTGATAATATTCCCTTTTACTCTATGCAAAATACTGTAGAGCAGTGATTTCCAACTTTTTTTTTTTTTTTACTATGACCTTATCATGTAAGGAATACATTTCAAACTGTGACCCTACATATACAGACACGTTTGTGTGCATGTGTATTAATATAGATAACTGAAACTAAAATTTAACAATTATTCTTCCATGTATAATACAATAAAACATATCAAAGTTAATATCAAATGTAATCTTTGTATTGCAGTATAATATGGAACAAATCCAAGATAAACAATACAAAAAACCAAGGATTTATTAATGCCACAGGTGTACTTGCACCTTAATAAGTTCTTTTCACTCCAGAACAATTGGGAGTCATACACATCTTGTTATACTGTTTTGAAATGTGCTGTGGGGTGTGAGGAGAAAGGGAAGGTTGAAATAATTCTAAACTGTATCCTAAGGAATCAGAGGGCTGTTTGTACCCTCGTTGGTATAAAGAGGGAGGGGAAAAATAAGCTCATCTGTTTTTTTCAGGCAAATTTTGAGCCTTTATTTTTTCGTTTAAGTTGACATGTAGTAATTGTATGTATTTATGGGATACAGAGCATATTTCAATACATGTATGCAGTGTGTAATGATCAAATCAGAGTAGTTAGCATTCATCACCTTGAACATTTATCATTCCTTTGTGTTGTGAACATTCAGAATTCTCTCTTCTAGCTATTTGAAAATATACACTAAATTGTTGTTAATCGTATTCACCTTACACTGGTACAGAACAGCAGAACTTATTCCTCCTATCTTGCTGTATAAATTGTTGAAGAGCCACTCAAAAGGCAGTGTTCTCTATATCATTGATGATAAAGGTTTAAGCTAAAGAGGAGTTTATCTCTTCGCAAGGAACATGAAACTTTCGTATACTGTTTTGACATGGCATTGATAATAAAGGATACATAGTGGACTTTATTAGTAAAATACCTTATTGTAACATAAATATTAAATCATGAACATAACTCTTACAAAATTATCAACTTAGAAATCCTTTTAGGCTGTCATTTCAGCCAGTTCTTATGATGGGACTATGACCTGAGATGGTATGATGGCTATAGGCTATGGACTGAGAAATCATAGGTTGGAATACTAGCTCTAATCTTTACTAGTCACATGACTTTGGGTGAATCCCATTTTTTTTCCTGAGCATCAGTAAGGATAGAAATATACCGCTCATATATTGTGATGATTAATGTGATTATGTATGTAAAGTGCCTTGTATAGCACATAGTAGGCCCTTAAATGTTAACTTTTCTGTTACTCTTTCTTTGGTCCTACTAAAAAATATTATTTGTTTCTCTATGGTCTTAAGCATGAAGACTATAATCAGGTTTGAATGGTTTTCTACATAAACCTTTTAAGGCAATGTTTTAAAGATTTAACATTATTAAGAATTTCATTTTACAGGACTAACATATGGAAATATGCTATATTTGAAAAATTACTGATGTTAGGGATTGGTATTCAATATCTTCTGCTTAAGCTTCTTGTGTCCCTCTATCAGTCATCTTTGCCTTACAAGAAGGTTTTGTCTTTCTTGGAAGGTTAATTCTCTAAGGTAATCATTTAATTTATTTTGTTCTATTCATTAAAACAAACTGTTTAATAATTTAATTTGAGTAAGGAAATAATTAACTATCAACTATGTAAAGTTTAGTTTTTATTGTGAACTCAAAGCAAGGCTTTGTGGCATCTGCTTTATTGTTATAAATTCAAGCACAGTATCAGCAGCTTATGAGTTATATTTTGGATTTTAAGTGAGAGCTGCTAGGAGTAGGATCACTGGCTCTCTATAACTACAAACATTTGATATCCTGCACATAGTTGAACAGTAGCAAAGCTGGAGTTCTCAGATATAGTACTGACTGATTATGTCACGTCATCATTTTTGGATAGCATCTGCTCATCTCCTCTCTCTTGTCTAAGTGGTTTAGGATTAAACAAATTATGAGGGTGTCCAGGCTAGGAAAAGAGGACTTTGTGCTATGTAGTCAAAATTTTTAGTGTGTGAATCTATCTTCCTTATTAGATTTTAAGTTCTTAGAGGTAGGAGCAAGGTACAAGAATAGATGAAGATAATATTGTTAGTACCTGGATTTATTCTAACATGTGGCTTATTCTTCGTGGAGGAGGGCAAGGATTTCATAAACTAGCACAGGTAGCCTCATTTTGAGAGATCAAAGATGTTTCTGAAAATGCTTTAGGCAATATCGTAAACTAAGAATTTCTGGTTCCTTTCTTGATTGCAACAAATTGGTTATCATTTTGTGTTTTTGTCTAGCATCATTGATCATTGAGGACAAACTTTTTTTTTTAACCATATGTTTTTTAAAAGCATTAAGCAGCAAAGTTACACAGTTTTCTCTAGCAGTGCTGCATAGCTTAGGAGCAGGAGTGGGATAGGAAAAGCTGATAGATGTGTTTGGTATTGTCTGGATGCACAGTTTGGACAGGAGTCAGTGTAGTATAGTGGTTGGTATGAGTTTTGGAGTAGTACAGGCTGCATAACTTTAGGCAAGTACCTTAATTTCTCTAAGCTCTAATTTCCCCATCTACAACATGGGATAATAATAATATCTACCTACCTTATAAAATTAGTATGATAATTAAATAAGATGAGTGCAAGTAAGGTGCTTATTTATTAGCACAATGCCTGGCTTATAGTATATTAGATGCTATTTTTATTTTGTTGTGATTAGAAGGAGGTTATTAAAGTAAGGTTATTGGCGAGAATCTAATTGAAATAATAGGGAGGTTCAGGCTGGCAAGGAGGAAAGTGAAACTAGGAAGAATGTTAGGTACTGGAGAATAAGAAGGTTAATAGGTTAGAAATGTGATGAGGGTGAAATGTAGGCTTAGCAATAGAAAAGTAGAAAAATAAGAGTTAATGGCCAATAAGTGAGATCACAGCTTGAGATTCTAGAGATGGAATATTTCCAGATAATATCCAGCCTTTGACAAAAGGAATGGGTTGCTGATATGAAGTGAAGATGAATTCATTTTAACAAATATTTATGAAGCCTTTACCGTGTGCTGCTTTGCTAGGCATTGGGGAATGTCACATTTGGGTAAAACATCCTTGGATTACAGGAAATCAGAAACCAGCTGTTGGTCACTCACCTGAATGAAAAAGTTTACCATGACAATGGCAGAAGCTGGGACAACAAGAAAGACTATAAAACTTATTGTATCTAAGAATACTTCAGTGGATTGACTTGTTTTTCATTGGCATAAGATTTTACTATAAATGGCTCTAAAATAGGTGCATCTCCCAGTAGGGATAAAATAATTAGTAACATTAATTTAGAGTTTAAAAGATAGGTGTCCTAAATTCATTTATTTAACTAGTCTTGTTTTTTTCAGCTTTCCTTTTTAGCCACTAGTGTACAGATTAGATGATTAACCCAATTCTTTTTAGTTTTAGAGGAATGGTTTGTTGAGTGGGCTTGTGTTCATTTTGTTTCTGAGTAAGTATCCTAGAAAAGGAGCATGTCCCAAAGAATAGCACAACTGGGGCAAAAAGGAGCAGCTCAAGTTGTAACCATGATGATTGTTTCCTGTGCCGGCTTTTCAATAGGAAGTTGTAGATTTTAAAATCTGGGAAGCTGGGAAGCTTACTTTGAAACAAAAAGAATAATGTTGATCAAATATTTAAAAATTACATGTGTGCTATAAAGCAGCAAGAAAGTGAAATCCTGTATGCCATTTTTTTGGGTTTCTTCTAGTCAGTGATGGTAGCATAGATCCACACATACTTGTTTTTTTTGTTTTCTTTTGTTTGTTTTTTTCTTAAGAGATAGAGTCTGGCTGTGCTGGTCAGGCTGGACTTGAATGCCTGGGCCTGAGCTGGAGTGATCTTCCTCTCTTAGTCTCTTGACTAGCTGGGACTATAGGCGCAGTACCCCACACCGGGCAATACTTGGTTTATTTATACTGATTATGACTAAAGTCAGCAGAACAAAACAACATGTTCACAGCCCCAAGAAATTCCCAGGCATGCAAGTTAAGAACTCCCATTTTAATGCAAGCCAAGTCTAGTCAGTGACCCTTTTGTCTGATACACAACCTTTTCACAAACTCCTTATACTTTTCTCTAATGTACATTTAAGTAGACTTACATGTTATTCCATCTCTGCTATTTTTTTTCCATATTACTTTTAACATCATTATGAGGAGCCCAGTAGCCAGGACTAACAGAAGTTGTGAACATATGCAGTCTACTGTCAGATGGACCTTCCGCTTCATTTGGGCAAACTGCTACTGTGCACTTGGCTCATTTCACTCACATCTAAAAAATGTTAAGATTCTGCAGTCTCCTTTTCCTCTTTTTTGTTTTTGACTGTCCTTCTACCATAGTGACTCTCACTGTGTGATCCCCAGTAGTATCACCTGGAAACTTCTTAGAAACTTCTTAGAAATCAAGTTCCCAGGCCTAAACAAGACCAACTGAACCAGAATCTCTGGGGGTGGGACCCAGTTTTAACAAGCCCTGTACAAGTGGATTCCGACACATGCTGAAGTTTGAGAACCGCTGCTCTAGCATGTTGTAGTTACCAACCTGTATACATTTTCTTGATGTCACTGACTTAATATATTTCTGCTAAGCTCAACATATATGTTGAACTGTGGCCAGTAATTAATGTTGGTGGTTTCATGTGGCTCAACTAATATTTGCTTTGTCTAAACCAGGATTTCTTAGACATATTTTGTTGAGATATTGACATTCTTTGTTGTAGGCAGCTGTCTTGTGCATTGTAGGATGTTTAGTGTCATCTCTGGCTTCTACCTACTAGATTACAGTAGTATTTCCTAAATGATGATTAAAAAAAAATGTCCCTAGACCATGAGTAGAGGGGAGGGGAAGGGGGAGATCACTCCTGGTTGAGAACCACTAGCTAACCCAGTTTCTTTTCCTTCAAACTCATAATACCCAATGTACTACCCATAATGTATCAGTTTTTCTCCCTGGGTAGGAAAAGGGCCAGATATAAATTAATTATAGAAATTAAAGATTATGGTGATTATAATTTTTTATAATTTTACAAAATTTATATTTCTTTTTATGTTTTTTCATGTCCTATTTATAGTGAGCAATATCACCCTATAGACTAGTATTATTTGCTTTCCTTGTATCTTATTGCTGTGAAAGTCTAATGATAATTTGCTTTTCTTTTTGTTCCTAAGTAACTTGCTTATTTTGCTTGGATGCCCAAAGGATTTTTCTTTTTCTTTAAGATTCAACAGTAAATCTCAGTATTGGTTATATTGGATTGATTTTCTCAGGTTTGTGGTATGTGCTTTTGAATCTTTTTTTTTTTTTTTGACTTAAAAAAAATTCCTTCCCTTGCTTTGGTTTTGGTTTTCTTCTTCAGGAACTCCTATTGAAAGTTGTTAGATCTTCTTTGTCTATCTTATATATTACTTTCTCTCAAGCCTGTATTACTTTCTTTCAAAGGTTTTTTTTTTTTTTTTTTTTGGAGACAGAATTTCATTCTGTCGTCCAGGCTGGAGTGCAGTGGCACAATCTTGGCTCACTGCAACCTCCACCCGCCAGGTTCAAGTGATTCCTCCTGCCTCAGCCTCCCAAGTGGCTGGGATTACAGATGTTTGCCACCACACCCAGCTAATTTTTGTATTTTTAGTAGAGACGGGGTTTCACCATGTTGGTCAAGCTGGTCTTGAACTCCTGACCTCAGGTGATCTGCCTGCGTCGGCCTCCCAAAGTGCTGGGATTACAGGCATGAGCCACTGTGCCTGGCCTCAAATCTTTTTTATTTAAAAATTTTTCTTCTTTTCACCTTTTATTTCTCTTGAAGTATTATTGTGTTTATTCATCTTTTTCTTCTTTCTAGTTTAGTCTTTTTTGAAATATTTTCTTCTAATTCTTTCCTGAGTTCTATCACTTCATTTCTGAGTTTTCATAATTACGATTCATGTGTTTTTTCATATCTTACACATTAAAAATTTCTTTGCTTGTGGAGAAATAGTAGGTTATAGTTACCTGTAGTTTGCGTATGTCTTTCATGGTCTTTGGGAATATTAGTCTGCTCCTTATTCTCTCTTTAAAAATTAACTATCCGTGTAATTTAATCATGATCCTTATTTTTCATTTTTATGTGAAATTAGTTTTCATAAACCTTAGGAGGTGTGGTTCAGGATAGCTTTTCTAATTTCAGGGCTCTAGAGCTCCCTTTTTTGTTGTTTTGTATAGTGTTCGAATTAGGATACCTTACTTTGTGAGGTTTCTCGGTTCTGTTTCTCTCCTGTACTTTTATGTGGACCTTCTTGTTGTTCCTCTGCTGCTCAATTTGGATTCTGTTTCCCAGAATTTTTCTTCATCTTGGGTCTTTGTTCTAGAAGTTTTGAAAGTTCATGGGGATAAGACTGCTTGGTCCTCTCAGATGTTACTATGGACTTGAATTCATCAGCTGTTGGAGGATACAAAACCATTTGCAGTTTTAGCTGCCATTCACACGTGGCATGCATTTTTGGTTTGTGTGGGAAATCTTATCACGTAGTTATGGTGTAGATGTTATGCATGGTTTATTTTATTTATTTTGTTTAATTTTATTATTTTTGTCCTAGTTGCTCTGTTTTTAATGAGGGATTCAGGAAATTTTAAAAAATGATGTGTTCACTGCTGCCATCTTCATAGGGGTACTTTCATCAGTCTTTTTGTATTTATATACTTTATTTTGCACCAGTTTATTGAGGTATTGATGTACAGTAAACTACATATATTTAAAATGGGGAATTTGATGACTTTTCACATATGTGTATTCCCATGAAACCCTCACCATGATCAAGATAATAAGCATATCCACCTCCGAAAATTTCCCCATGTCCCTTTTGTAACCCAGCTTTCATTCTCCTTTCCTCATTCCCAGGCAAAAACTGCTTTCTGCCACTATAGTTCAGTTTGTATTTTCTGTGATTTTCTGTAAGTGAAAACATACAGTAGTATTATTTTTTTTGTATGGCTTCTTTCATTCAGTGTAATTGTTTTGAAGTTTATCCATGATTTTGTTCATTTCTTTTTATTGCTATATGGATATATCACTGTATGGAATATAATAATTTGATTATCCACTTGTTAGTGAACATCTGGATTGTTTTATGTATTACAAACAAAGCTGCTATAAATATTTACATTAAAGTGTTTATGTGAACATATGCTGTTATTTCCCTTGGATAAATGTCTAAGTATGGAATATCTGGGTGGTTTGGTAGGTGTATGTGTATCCTTTAAAGAAATTGTCAAACTTTTCCAAAATGATCGTATTATTTTATATTCCATCAGTAGTATGTGAAAGGACCATTACTCCTCATCCTTGCCAACATTTGGCACGTTGAGTCCTTATAATTTTAGTTATTTTAGTGAATGTGTAGTGATATCTCATTGTGGTTGTAATGTAATTTTACCTAACGATTAAAATTTTGTTGAGCATTTTAAGATGTATTTATTTGCCATTTTTATATTTTCTTTGGTGAGGTGTTCAAATCTTTTGTCTGCTTTTTATTGGATGTTCTTACTCTTGTAGTTAAGAATTCTCTATATATTCTAGATACAAGTTGTTTGCTAAATATTTATTTTGCAAATATTTTATGCCAGTCTATGGCTTACATTTTCATTTTTGTAACAGTGCCTTTGAAAAACAAACATTTTTAATTGTGATGAAGTTTATTTGGTTGATTTTTAAATTTTTTATACTTTACCTTTTGTGTTTTCTTCAAGAAATCTTGTCAAACCCAAGGTCACTAAGATTTTCTGCTGTTTTCTTCTAGAAGTTTTACATTATTGGCTCTTAAATTCAGGCCTGTGATCCACTTTGAATTAAATTCTGTTTATTGTTTCAGGTTGAGGAGAGACTCATTGTGTTTGTATACGGCTATTTAATTGTCCCACCACCACTTGTTGAAAAGATTATCATCTCCTCATTGAGTTGTCGTTTCACCTTTTTAAAAACTCAATTGCGCATTTATGTTTGGGTCTATTTCTGGACTTTCTGTTCTTTTCCATTGATCATATGCCAGTATTGCACGACATTGTCTGTTGTAGCTCTACTGTTGTAGCTCTGTGATAGGTTTTAAAATCAAACCTGCTAGTATTAGCCCTACAACTTTGTTTTTGTCAGATTTGTTTTAGCTATTCTATATCCTTTGCATTTCCATATAGATTTTAGAATAAGCTTGTTCATTTCTGCAGAAAGCCTACTGGGTTTTAGAAGGGGATCATATTGAATCTGTCTTCAATTTGTGAGATTGACATCTTAACAGTATTGAGTCTTTGATACTTGAATATATTTAGTTCTTCTTTATTTCTCTCAGCATGTTCTGTAATTTTTGGTCTACAAATCTTAAACATCTTTTGTCAAGTTTTCTAAATATATTTCATATTGAAATAGGAAAAGTTCCCCAGACCGCTCGCAGGGCGTGCAGTGGGGGAGTGGCGTGCTTCTTTGGTGCCCCACTGCTCAAACCTCTAGGGGGAGCATGCAGATGGGCAGGTTGTGGGGCTCTGACCCCATGGCAGTGTCTAGAGGTAGATGTTTAGAGCTCCCGAAGTCCCAGTGGGCATGTGTTACAGGGTGCTCTTTCAGTTTTGCTGTCCGTAGGCGGCTTGTGTTAGTCAGCTCAATTAGACCCTTGCCTTATTGCAAGGTCAGAGGGCTTTCTGTATCTCGGGGTTTCTTGCCTTGGTGTACTGGAAGAATCGGATCACACGTGGACTTGGAGAATAAGTGCAAGGTTGTATTGAGTAGAAGTAGCTCTCAGCAGATGGGGGAGCCAGAAGAGAGACAGAGTGGAAAGGTAGTTTTCCCCTGGAGTCGGGCTGCTTAGCAGCCCGCGCTCTCCTCTGACTGCCCCAGCCAAACTCCACCTCATTCCGGGGGTTGATGGCTTGCGGACCTGCCAGTGCCTGTTATTGTGCTCTTATGCGGATGCGCTCCTCTTGACGGCCTCTTAACATCTAGCTGCGTGTGTTTTCTTCCGCTGGAGTGTTCCTTTCCACGTCCAGCCACTTGCGTCTCTGCCTGCTAGGGTCTTGGGGTTTTTATAGGCACAGGATGAGGGTGTGGTGGGCCAGGGTGGTCTTGGGAAATGGCAGAATTTGGACGTGAAGGCAGGAGTTCCTGTCCTCACCTAGGTCCGTGGGCACAGGCCCAGGGGTGGTACCCTAGTCAGGGAACAGCCTTTCCCTTCCCGGCACTTCCCTGCACCCCCTCCCATATCAATATTGTTATGTTAATGTAAATTAGATTACTTTTAAAATTATAATTTATATTTCTTTTCTATTATATGGAGAATATAATATATAAAAGTAGAGATACTTTTATGTATTGACCTTGTATTCTGCATACTGCTAGACTCACTTATTCTAGCCATTTTGTAGATTATTTAGGATATTCACCATAGACAACTATGTTGTTTGTGAATAAAGATAATTAAACTTCTAATCTGTAAGTCCTTTATTTCCTTTTCTTGCCTTATTGCACTGGCTCAGAGCTCCAACACAGTGTTGGATAGTGGTAATGGCCTAGTTTCAATAGGTTGGTACCAATTCTTCTTTGAATGTCTGATAGAATTCAGCTGTGAATCTGTCTAGTCCTGGATTTCTCTTTGTTGGCAATTTTTAAATTACAATTTCAATCTTGCTGCTTGTTATTGGTCTGTTCAGAGTTTCTATTTCTTCCTGGTTTAATCTAGGAGGGTTGTATACTTCCAAGAATGTATCCATCTTCTCTAGGTTTTCTACTTTGTGTGCATAAAGGTGTTCCCAGTAGCCTTGAATGATCTTTTGTATTTCTGTGGTATTGGTTGTGATATCTCCCGTTTCATTTCTAATTGAGCTTATTTGGATCTTCTCTCTTCTTGGTTAATCTCGCTAGTGGTCTATCAATGTTGTTTATCTTTTCAAAGAACCAGCTTTTTGTTTCACTTATCTTTTGTATTTTTTTTTTGTTTCCCTTTCATTTAGTCCTGTTCTGATCTTTGTTACTTCTTTTCTTCTGCTGGGTTTGGGTTTGGTTTGTTGTTTCTCTAGTTCCTTGAGGTGCGACCTCAGCTAGTCTATTTGTGCTCTTTCAGACTTTTTGATGTAGACATTTAATGCTATGAACTCTCCTCTTAGCACCGCTTTTGCTCTATCCCAGTGATTTTGGTAAGTTGTGTCACTATTATTCAGTTGAAAGAATTTTTTAATTTCCATCTTGATTTCATTGTTGACTCAATGATCATTCAGGAACACATTATTAAATTTCCATGTATTTGCATGGTTTTGAGGGTTCCTTTTGGAGTTGATTTCCAATTTTATTCCACTGTGGTCTCAGAGAGTACTTAATGTAATTTTGATTTTCTTAAATTTATTGAGACTTGTTTTGTGGCCTATCATATGGTCTTTCTTGGAGAATATTCCATGTGCTGATGAATAGAAAGTGTGTTCTTCAGTTGTTGGGTAGCATGTTCTGTAGATCATCTGTTAAGTTCATTTGTTCTAGGGTATAGTTTAAGTCCATTGTTGCCTTGTTGACTTTATGTCTTGATGACCTTTCTAGTACTGTCAGTGAGGTATTGAAGTCCCCCACTATTATTGTGCTGCTGTCTTAGGTCTAGTAGTAATTGTTTTATAAATTTGGGAGCTCCAGTGTTAGGTGTATATATATTTAGGATTGTGATATTTCACTGTTGGACAAGTCCTTTTTATCATTATGTAATGCCCCTCTTTGTCTTTTTAAACTGCTGTTGCTTTAAAGTTTGTTTTGTCTGATGTAAGAATAGCTACTCCTGCTCACTTTTGGTGACCGTTTGCATGGAATATCTTTTTCTACCCCTTTACCTTAAGTTTATGTGAGTCCTTATGTGTGTTTGGTGAGTCTCTTGAAGACAGCAGCTGGTTGGTGAATTCTTATCCATTCTGTGATTCTGTACCTACTAGGTGTCTACCCAGAGGAAAAGAAGTCATTATATGAAAAAGATGCTTGCAAATGCATGTTTGTAGCAGTACAATTTGCAGTTGCTAAAATATGGAACCAGCCCAAATGCCCATCAGTCAATGAGTAGATAAAGAAAATGTGTGTGTGTATATATATAAATATATATATATACATATATATACACACTCACCATAAAAAGGAACAAAATATTGGCATTTGCAGCAACCTTGATGGAGACTATTATTCTAAGTGAAGTAACTCAGGAATGGAAAAGCAAACATCGTATGTTCTCACTTATAAGCAGGAGCTAAGCTATGAGGACGCAAAGGCATAAGAATGATACAGTGGACTTTGGGGACCCTGGGGAAAGGGTGTGAGGGGTGTGAGGGGTAAAAGACTACACACTGGGTACAGTGTACACTGCTTGGGTGATAGGTGCACCAAAATCTCAGAAATCACCGCTGAAGAACTTATTCATATAACCAAACACCACCTGTTCCCCAAAAACCTATAGAAATAAAGTGCTTAGATACGAATCTAAGAAAATGTGTGTAAGATCTGTTTGTTAAAAATTACATAAAACTGAATAAATTATTCAAAGATATAAATAAACAAAGATAAATATTGTGTTTATGGATTAAAATAAAGAAGTGGTAATGGTCAACATCCCTGCCTTGTTCCTGACTTGGGGGAAAGTATTCTTTCTTTCACCATTAAGTATGATGCTAGCTCTAAGTTTGTCGTAGATATTCTTTATCTGGTTGAAGAAGTTCCCTTCTATTTGTAGTTTGCTGATAGTTTTAAATCATGGGTACATACTGGATTTCTCAGATTTCCACATGCAGTGAGGTATCCATGTGTTTTTTGAAAATTCTGTTACATTAACTGATTTCAAAAATTAACCCTTTTGGCCTGGTGTGGTGGCTCACGCCTGTAATCCCAGCACTTTGGGAGGCTGAAGCAGGTGGATCATGAGGTCAAGAGATCGAGACCATCCTGGCCAACATGGTGAAACCCTGTCTCTACTAAAAAATAAAAACAAAATATTGGCCGGGCGTGGTGGCACGTGCCTGTAATCCCAGCTACTCGGGAGGCTGAGGCAGGAGAATAGCTTGAACCAGGGAGTCAGAGGTTGCAGTGAGCCGAGATTGCACCACTGCACTCCAGCCTGGTGACAGAGCCAGACTCCATCTCAAAAAAAAAAAAAATCTTTTTATTTTGAGAAAACTATAGATTCACATACAGTTGTAAGAAATAATACAGAAATACCCATGTTCTCTTTATCCAGTTTTCCCCTATAGTAACATCTTGACAGGATGTTGACATTGATAAAATCAGGATACATAAGATTTCCATCACCATGGGATCTCTCACATTACACTTGTGTAGTCACACCTATTTCCCTCCTGCTCCTGTATCTCTCCTTAGCCCCTGGAATTCACTAACCTGTTCTCTATTTGCATAACTTTGTCATTTCAAGAATGCTATATAAGTGGAATCATACGGTATGTAACCTTTTGGGATTGAATTTTTTTCACTTAGCATAATTTCTGGAGATTCTTCAGGTGGATACACATATAAATAGTTCTTTTTTTTTCCTTTTTATTGCTGAGTAGCATTCCACAGTATGGTGTACTACAGTTCATTTATCCGTTTCTTCACTTAAGGACATATCATTGTTTTCATATCTTTTTTTTGTTGTTGTTTTGTTCAAATAAAGGTGTTATAAACATTCATCCACAAGTTTTTATGTGAACAGAAATTTTTATTTCTTTGGGATAAATGCCCCAGAGTACAATTGCTGGCTTGTATGGTGTTGCATATTTAATATTTTAAGAAACTTCCAAAGTGTTTTCCAGAGTGGCTATACCGGCTTACATTCCTAGCAGCAATGAGTCATCCAGTTTTTTTGCTTTTGGTAGTGTTTTTAAAATTTTAGCCATTCTGATAAGTGTGTAGTGATATCTCATTGTCCTTTTACTTTGTGTTTGCCTGATGGTTAATGAATTAAACATCTTTTAGTGGGCTTATTTGCAATCTGTATATCATCCTCAGTAAAATGTTCCCTCATGTCTTTTACCCATTTTTGAATTGGATTGTGTATTTTATTACTATTGAGTTTTGAGAGTTCTTTATATGGTCTCGACACTAGCCCTTTTTCAAACATTCATTTGCAAATATTTTCTCCCAGTCTGTGGCTTGTCTTTTCATCCTTTTACAGGGTCTTTCACAATGCAAAAGTTTTAAATTTTGATGAAGTCTAACTTTTCTTTCTTGTGGATCATGCTTTTACTGTCAAGTTTAAGAATTCTTTGTCTAGCCCTAGATCTAGAAGCTATTTGCCCATGTTTTTCCTGACAGGTCTATTGTTATATGTTTCACACTTGATCTTAGTGAAAAGGTTGAGAAGTGATTAGTTTTATGTTTTAAGTATAAGTCTGTGATTTACTTTGAGTTAGTGTGAGGCATAGGTCATGTCAGTTTTTTTTTGTTTTTAATTTTAAACACCTGTGGATATCTAGTTGCTTCAGTGCCGTTTGATGAAAAGGCTGTCTTTTGTCTACTGGATTGTCTCTGCACTGTTGCCAAAAATCAGTTGGGCATATGTGTGGGGGTCTATTTCTGGGTTCTCTCTTCTGTTCTGTGGATCTGTGTCTCTCTCCTTCCACCAATACTGTGCAGTGTTGGTTACTATAGCTATATAATAAGTCTTAACAGTGGGTGGACACAATTCCTCCTACTTCATTCCTCTTTTTCAAAATTGTTTCAGCTATGCTCATTCCTTTGGTTTTTCATACAAATTTAGAAAAAATATAATCTATGTCTCCCGAAATCTTGTTGGTATTTTGATAGGAATTGTGTTAAAGCTGTATACCACTTTGGGGAGAATCGCCATATTTACCATGCTGAATTTCCCAGTGTGTGCCTCTCTGATTGCTTAGATATCCTTTGATTTCTTTCAGCATTGTGTATTTTCAGCCTACAACTTCTGTACATATTTTGTTAGTTTTTTGGAGTGATTATAAATTATATTGAATTTGTAATTTCAGTGTTCATGTGTTGACTTTTGTCACATGTTTTTTCTGAATTGGTATGATCATGTGATATTTTTCTTCTTTAGCCTGTTAATGTGATGGAGTACATTGATTTTTAATATTGAACCAGCGTTGCATCCCTGCAATAAACTTCATTTGATCATGGTATATAATTCTTGCTAAAATTTTGTTAAATATTTTTGTATCTATATATATGAGGTATACTGCTTTGCAGTTTTTCTTCATGAAGTGATTTAGGAAGTGCCACCTCCTCTTCTCTTTTCTGGAAGAGATTGTGTAGAATAGTGTTAATTTTTCATTAAATGGTAGTATTCTCCATTGAAACCATCTGGGCCTGGACAATTTTTTAAGACTTTGAAAATATTAATTCAATTTCTCTAATAGTTGTAGGAGCATTCAGATTATCTCTTTCATATTGGATAAGTTGTGACTATGTTTATCAAAGAATTGGACCATTTTGTCTAAGTTTTCAAATTTATATGTATAGAAGTATTCATAGCATTCACTTATTATCCTTTTGATTTCTGCAGTCTGTAGAGATACCTACCGTTTCAATCCTGTTGTTGGTAATTCATGTCTTGTCTTGTTCTTTTGTCATTCTTGCTGAGATTAGTTGATTTTTATCGATCTTTAAAACAACTAGGTCTTTGTTTCCTTCCTTTTATTTTTTCTATTTTTATTATTAATCTCATCTCTTTGTTTCTTCTGCTTGTATTGTGATTATTTTGTTCTAGGTTCTTGAAGTGGAAAGTTAGATTATTGATTTGAGATGTTCCATTTTTTTCTAATGGTTACATTTCCCTCTTTGAATATGTTACCTGTATCCCACAAATGTTGATTTTTTATTTTCATTAGTTCAGTGTATTTTTTGATTTCCCGTGAGACCTTTCTCTTTGATTCATGGGAAAATACAGAAGTTTGTTGTTTAGTTTCCAAGAGTTGGGAGATTTTTCTGTTACCTTTCTTTTACTAACTTCTAGTTTGATTCCATTGTGGTTAGAGAAAATTCTGTATTATTTAAATTTTCAAAAATTTGTTGAGGTTTGTTTTGTGGTCTGTCTTGATATATATTCTTCGGGCACTTGAATGGAATGTGTATTCTGCTGTTGGATAGAGTGTTCTATAAATGTCTACTAAATCTTGGTTGATGGTATTCTTGAGTTCTTCTATATCTTTGCTGATTCCCTGTGTAGTTCTGTCAGTTGTTGAGAGATGGGTTCTGAAATCTCCAGCTGCACCTGTGTATTTTTGTCTGTTTTTCTTTTCAGTCTCATCAGTTTTTGCATCACATATTTTGCAACTCAGTTTGTTGTATACACACTTAGGTTTGCTATTTCTTGGTGGATTCATCTCTTTTATCATTTTATAATGTCCCTGTCTGTCTCTGGTGATTTTCTCTTCTCTGAGATTTACTTTACTTGATACTCATATAGCCACTCCTGCTTTCTTTTGATTCACATTTCTATGATACATTATTTTCCATTCTTTATTTTCAACCACTGATACTGTTATATTTGAAGTGAGTTTCTTGTAGACAGTATATAGTCGAATCATTTTTAAAATCCACTCTGCCAATTCCGGTCTTAAATTGATATATTTAGACCACTTATATTTAATGTAATTGTTGATATTTTAAGGCTAAAGTGTATCATTTTATTTTTTATTTGTTCTTTTTTTGCTTCTGTTTTCTTTTTCTTGCCTTCCTGTGAAAAGTTTTGTTTTCACCTCCATGAGGTATTAGAGATTATACCCTTTTTTATCTTAATTGCAAATTAGTGAATAAAATTCACTGAACATTCAATATTTAATGTTCCTGACATCTGTTCATCTAGTTAGCCATCTATTCATTCATGTTTTCAAGAGATATTTATTGAACCTCTACCCTGGGCCAGGCATTGTCATTTTCTTTTTCTTTCAGATTATTCTCTTTCAGTTCTTTAGCAGTGTAGTAAATTTATTTCCTCTGGTTGTTGTAACAAATTACCGCAAACCAGGTGGCTTAAAAATAATAGAAATTTATTCTGTCACAGTTCTAGAAAACAGAAGTCTGAAGTCAAGATGTCAGCAGGGATCTAGAGGAGAATCCATTCTTGCCTATTCCAACTTTTGGTGGTTGTCACCATTCCCTGACTTGTGGCTGTATTGCTCAAATTTCTGCATCTGTGGTCAAATGGCCATCTATTGTGTTTTATTCTCTGAGTTTTTCTTTTAAGGACACTTGCTATTGGATTTAGGGCCTAGATAGTTTGGATAACCCAGGATAATCTCTTTATCTCAAGAGCCCTTTAAAAATTAAGACAATAATCGCAGGTTCTAGGATTAAGATGTAGACATATCTTTTAGGGGGCCACCATTCAGTTCACTACAAATAGTATTTTTCTGTGCAACTTTGATTTCTCTTTTTTTGATCCTCTCTCCATTTGGCATGGGTTCTCTATTTCACACCCTTTGCTATTCCTTCTGAATTTTGTCTATTAAAGGATTCTCCTAGAGAGTGATGAGAACAGTGGAATGATTATGATGTCCTGTATTTCATAGCTTACCGTATAGCAACAGAAAAAGCCTTTCTTCATGACAGGGCAGCTTCATTTAGAATCAGAATATGTTTCTTTCTAATAGAACTTACTCTAAAGCAAAAATAATATTATTTTAAAAACTATGTAAAACATGTATTAAAGTCTTATGTACGTATAACTACAAATCCATTTGAAGAGATAAGTAAAAATAATTCTAATCAATAAGTAAATATTATGGAATCAGCTATCAATATTTAAATTGGTGTCAGTTAAGAACAGGTGGAATTTCCCTCTGAGGTGATGCCATGTTTATTAGCATCTTTTTGATATATATATCTATATCTATCTATCTATATATATATATGTATATTTCAAGTACTTTCAGAACTTAGGCCACTTTGGTTATATTTGAAAACAGTTTTTTGCTGTTTGTGGAAATGGTTTTTTTGGGAAGAATCTGAACATTTTTTTCAAGGTATTTAGGCCACTAGAGTATTGCTGAGATTATTTTGATAACTCCTTAATGAATGTTAATTTAAAAAGGAGTTATGTAAATATACCCTGCTGATCTTTAAGAGTATTGAGTGTATCTTTAAGAAGTTTCTGACATGGAGTCAAATCTAGTGTAACAAGTGATTTCACTGTACCAAGAGAAAGTTGTATGATTTTGCTGTAGTTGATTTTATTGCTGTCCCTGTTGCTATGACTATTAATGTTTTACCGTAATAAAATGTTACCATTTATATATTTTTATAAAGTATGGCAAACTGGCAGGTCACAGGAAAAAATGAGGTAGAATTAAAAAATATGTATTTAATAATAGTCTCGAAACTTTTAGACTTAAGACATATAAAACAATAGACAATCTTGTTTCAGCACAAGCATAATTAATATCTTCATGTATTTGTTATAAGATTTGCTTAATAAAATTTCAGTTTTGGTTTTAATTTTATATCTAAATGATGTATTTCTGGCTTAAAACTTAGAAGTCTGAGTGCTTAACATTCAAAGCAGTCATTTTTCCAATTAGTCCATACTTTTTATAACTGTGCAGAGGAATTCAGCTTATAATTATAAATTTTAAATTTGTGTTTTCTTTGTAAGTGCTGGTCAAGATGTCCAAGGAACAAGTGTGATTGCAAATCTCCCATTTTTGATGCGACAGAATCCCACTGAGACGCTTCGGAGAGTGTTGCCAAAAGTCAGAGTAAGTTGGTATGAAATAAGATTGGAGTTTCCCATTTTTTCCCAGTAGCATGTTGTCATTGTTGAAAGGATTTTGGAGCTTTGATGGCTGATCTTTTGCACCTAAAAATTGAGTGGAGGAAGTGTTATTATATACATTTTGAATTATAATGAAAATATTTAGGGAAATTAGCTGATGGAAATGGAGAAATCCAGATCTTAAGTTGTAAAATTTCTTTAGTCATTTTCTCAGTAGAGACATTTTACTAAAGGTAGTTTTTAGTAGCTCAAAAACACCTCTTAATTATTCTTAAAAAAAAGTATTTAGTATTCTGTTGACTTAAATCTATATTAATAGTATTTGTATAACATTGATAATATAATTGAGCTGATATTCCTAATAATTGACCCTATGATGACTTCTGAAGAATCATCAGATAAAGATTGAATTATAGCCATCACAATTTTAGATGTGTATGTAATTTATTGCTTTATAAATTTCTTCAGAATTAGTTTTTCTGCTATGAACAAAAATGTTTGATCTATTACATTCTTTCTTCTGACTAATATTTATTGATTATTAATATAAAATTAAATAATTTCAACTATTAAATATTTAGTAATTATTTATTTGTACTTATGTGCAAAGTGCTTTTCTTTATAAGAACTTGAATGAATAAAACAGACACCAGTGTGTGTGTCCTCCAAGAGTTTACCTACTAATGGGGTCAGTGAGGTTACATACTAATGAGGATTATGTTTGCTAATAGAGGTTGGTAGATTTTGCTTTGTTTTTTTATTTGGATATAGCTCTTGTCATAATTTTTAATTTATGTGTTTAAAATACTGAAGTTATTATTGAGTCCTTGAGTTTTATTTTTAGGCATGTGTAGCATGGTTCTAGTTACTGTGATTTAGATCAGGGACATACCATGTTATTTTCATGAGATGCCCACCTATGCAGGCACTGTGAACATTTTGACTGATTACAATGGTGAATTAAGATGATATTTATTTTGGCATTGCATGTGATTCAAAAGTAAATCAAGCTTTTTTATATCTGTTTTTCCCAGAATCATGCCATGTTTCAAAGGAATTAGGCCCACACAGACCAGGTTTATTTTTACGTTCAATTTCAGTGATACTAACTGACCTACACTTGTCAGCATGACACCTGGAAGTGCCAGTTAAACAATAGCAGAAAGGAACAGGTATTTAGGTCCTCTTGGCTACAGAGTTAATGTAAGTAAGCAAATTAGATTTATAGCTAAGAATACTGCATGCTGCACACTTTGCATTGAGCAGGTAAAATCTGGTCCACAGAAAGCATATTAGATATCCAAAGTTTCATATGCAAGAATAAAAGATGAAAGAGAGCAGTGAACTTTAGAGGTCTCTAAATTACTTTGCAAAATTCCTTTTGTTGAGTTCACAATAAAGGAAGTTAAGTAACAGCTCCCCCAAAACCTTAATTTCATGGGAGTATATAAAGAATATTATACACTTTTTTTTATTTTCTTACTTTCTATTTAAAATATTCTAAAGAAAATTTTATACAAATTTTCATTACTTTTAAAGCTTATTAAAACCATATCTTCTATAACTCAGGCATACCTTACAGTTTCAAAAGATACATTTGATTCTTTGTATAAATATGCTATATATATGAGTGTATAATACAAAGAATCAAATGTATCATATTTATACAAAGAATCAAAGTGTATAAAGAATATTATACACTCATGTATAACATATTTATACAAAGAATCAAAGTGTATAAAGAATATTATACACTCATATGTATAGCGTATTTATACAAAGAATCAAATGTATCTTTTGAAACTGTAAGGTATGCCTGAGTTTTAGAAGATATGGTTTTAATAAGCTTTAAAAGTAATGAAAATTAATCCATAATACAGAGTATATTAACTGAATAATGGATACAAAGGTAGTATATACTAATGAACATGTACTAAGGAAACCTTTATTTATATGTGAATGATTTCACTCATTTATTTTACTAATCAACATGCAACCATTTATTTAGGACCATCGTCTTGCTGTACTCCGTTTAAAAGAGATGCCGAAAAGGTAGAAGAGTCCAGATTAGACTGTATATTAGGAAGGTCTAGTGACCATGGAAAACAATGAGAGAACAAGTATAATAGAGTATTGTGTGCTTGTGACTTGATGTAAAAATGCTGAAGAATAAGGCAAATGAGAAGGGCTTTATGGGGGTAACTCCAGTAATAATGACTTTTATCGATAGTCTAATATATAATGTAGACAGCCAAACATTTAATCACTCCCATTTCAAATGATAAAATCTGTGTTTCTGTGCATATTATTTTAAATTCATTGTATTCAGATTTTGTTATGACTTATTGGTACTCCTGGTTAGCACCTTTGTCAATTCCACCTCACTTCTGTGAGTGTCTACTTTCCAGTGATGAAATGCTGACAGCATCTCGGGTAACTGCTTTATTTACTTTTGCTTGGCCATGATTTCTCAATTTTTTAAAAGAAAGTAATCTTGAGCATTTAGTAATAATGGCATTCTCATTCATTCATAAATATTTACTGAGTCCTTTTATAAGGCAGGCACTGTTCGAAGCACTGGGAAAATAGAAGTGAACAAAAGATGGGGGACTTGCCCTCAAGGAGGAGGCTACAGTCCAGATGGAGAAACAGACATTAAACAAGTAAATCCCTCCTCACCCAAGAAAGGTATAATGGTCATTTGTGATAAGCACTCTGAGTGTACAGAACATGAGTTGATGAGATAAAGTAATATAGTAACGAGGGCACCTGCTGTGCATTGGGATGGCAAGGAATGCCTTTCTGAGGAGCAGAAAACTGAAGGGATGGAAAGAAGCAGCCATTTGAGAGTCAGGACCAAGTAGTTCAGGTGGAGAGAACGGTAATTAGCCCTAAGGTGAAAGAGCTGGGTGGGACTGAGAGAGACAGGTGTGTTTTGGACCCAGTGGATGGTGTGGGGTGTGATTGAGAAGAGGTTAGAGAAATGGTTGATGAAAGAGCATGCAAATGTTGGTTTTCATTCTTAGGACAGTGAAAAGTCGTTGAAGTCTTTAAAGCAGGCAGTGACTTAATTGTGTTTCTATTTCACAGTGATCATTTTGGTTATTGTATGGAGAATAGATTGGAGTGGGATAGTTAGGAAGCTTCAGTTCTGGCCCTCATAGCTAGTATGAGGACAACTAATTAAGACAGTAGAGAGCAGTAGACATATCTGAGATACATGGGTTAAGGTAGAATGAGCAGAATTTCGTAACAGATTGGGTTTGTGAAGTGAGAGATGACTTCCAGATTTCTGGCTTGACCATGCATATGGTTCTGCTGGTTTTCAGTTATAGTTGATAGTCTGTTAAATTCATAAGGAAAATAATTTGTGTACTTGATAATACTAGTCTTTTGTGAATGATTTACTTTTAGATAATTTAAAGATATGAACAATACATATTTTATGCAAGAAGTTAATCAATACCAAGATTTTTACCACATTTATAACAGTGGTGTGTGCAGCTTTTAGAGCTCACTTTTTACCTTGTCTTTACCTTTAAGAATATCAGATGAAGTAATGGAGATTTTGCTGGCCTTATGTATTATAAACTTTCACCAGTGATATTTTTGTTTTATTGCATTTGCATTTTGTTCTTATGATAATGGATTAATTGAAAAGTGATTTAAAAAATAGGTTGCTTTCACTGTTTTAGAGATAAAGGAATTTAATGTTTAAAAATAAAATGTCAGAAACAGAGTTAGTGTTACAATTGAGCTAATCCATCAGATTGAGGTTGCTGTCTAGAATAACTAACAAAGAAGAAAAATAGAAAGTAAGAAAAATAGAATTAAGCCAATCCATAGTATTTCCCCAATTTATTTTCTAAATTGTGTGCTAAGTGGGCAATGAATGGTAGTGCAGTTAGGCCACTCATCTGAAGGTTAAATTTAGCTAGAAATTTAGAAAGGAAATATTTTGACCTCCAATTTAAATTTCTTAAATGTGGAGACATTTTAAAATATAGTTTTTACCATATATTCATGTTACATGATTTAATCCTAGGGTATCTATTGAATAATTTTTTTCCTGTGATTTTATTAAGTTTTAATTCTTTTTCCACAGTATATTAAATTGAAATCTTAGATGTTTGTTAGACTTCAATATTTGCTTTGAACTTCTCATTATCTAGAAGTGAAAGAATTTGATTGTCAAGATAAATATCCAAAATATTATACCATGGTCTTTTATAAAATTCAGAATAATAGCGATATAATTACACCACATAACGAAGGTGATTCCATTACAATCCAATGCAAAAAACACTCTCTACTTATCGAGGTATTAAATTTATTTAGTTGTTTTTACACTTACATTTTGGCAACCATAAATTTGTCATAAAATTATATAAAAGAAATCGAGCAATTCCAGGCACAGATAAAAATAATGTAGCCAATATTTATTGAGGTCTTACTATGTGTCAGGCACTGTATTCTGTCAGATATTCTACACATTTTAATCTGAATACTCATAGCAGTTCTATAATGATCACTTGACAGTGGAAGAAACAACTTAGTTAAGTAACTTGCTCAACGTCACAAAGCTTGCAAGTGGTATAATTAGGTTTAAACAGGAAGTCTGAGCCCTGAGTCCTCACTCTTTACTACTCATTAGCTGATCATGACTGTAACAGATATAAAATGTGTAATTTAATGTCTCAAGCCTTAGTCATCTCCTGTCTGTACTACAGCAGCCTCCTCACTGAGTCTGTTGCTTCCATTTTGCCTCCTAGAGCAAACTCACCCAGAGAAATCTTTTAAAAAGCATCAATCATATCTTGTCTCCCACTTGCATGAAAATTACTTAAGTGGTGTGGTAGGTAGAATCATGCTCCTTCCCAAAAGATATTGGGCCCTAATCCCTAGAAATTGTAAATGTTACCTTATTTGGAAAAGGGGTCTTTACAGATACAGTTAAGGATCTTGAGATTGGGAGATTATCCTGGATTATTGGGGTGGTGGTCTAAATGCCATCACATGTGTCCTTATAAGAAGGCAGACGAGAGTTGACGTATACATGTAGAAGAATGCAATGTGAAGATGGAGGTAGAGATTGGAGTGATGTGGCCACAAGCCAAGGAATGATAGCAACCACCAAAAGCTGAAAGAAGCAAAAAGCAGATTCTACCCCAGAGCCTCTAGATGGAATGTGGCCTTGCCAACACTTTGATTTTGACCAGGTGATACTGACTTTGAAATTCTGGCCTCCAGACCTGTGAGAGAAGAAATAGCTGTTGTTTTAAGCCACTCAGTTTGTGGTAATTTGTTACAGCAGCCACAGGAAACTAATGAAAGTAACTTCCCATTTCAGATATAATACAACCCCCTACCGTGTCCTTAAATCACCCCCATCTACCTTTGTGACCTCATCATCTGCCAGTCTTTTCCCTTTCTTTCATAAGGGCAGAATATTTGTCAGTCTAGTTTCTCACTATACCCCCGGAACCTAGAATAGTGCCTGGCAGATAATAGGCACTCAAAAAAATTTTGTAAATGAGTGTTCATTGAACTTAACATTTAGAGACAATATAAATATCTACCTGAAAGACCAAGGGAACATTGGCCTGATCCACTGATGGCATTCTTGGATGAGAAGTAGGAACAGAATTTGTTTGGAAATTTGACACGTACATGTAGAATGGTATATAACGCTGATTTATGTTCGAGAGAGACTTTTTGGGGGTTTGGAGAGGATTTGGGAAATATATAATAAAGAAAGGATAAAAGGGACATAATCAATGTGAAATGTGATTTCCTTTTATTTCGGTGCATGCCCATAGTCTCAGCTGCTCAGGAGGCTGGGGCCCAGGAGTTTGAGGCTGCAGTGAATAGTTACTGACTGCACTCCAGCTAGGGCGGCATAGCAAGACCTTGCCTCTAAAAAACAAAAAAAAAACAGAAAAAAAAAGAAAGAAATAATAGGAAAAAATAATAATTTCTCCTAATATGATTATTTATTATAGAATTTTATGTCTCCTGTATATGGGTAGATTTTTTTAACATCTTATTCTAGAGTTTTTACAGAAAGCATTCACTTTATAAATACATTTGTAAATAGAAAGCTTAACTTTACTTTTTTAAAAGTCCTATTTCAAGTAGCATAGTTAAGTGAACAAACAACACAGATTGAGCATTCCTAATCCTCAAATCCAAAATCAAAATGCTCCAAAATTTGAAGCTTTTTGAGCATAAATATGATGCTACAAGTAGAAAATTCCCCATCTGACCTCATGCGATGAGGTGCAGTTAAAGTCAAAATGCAGTCAAAACTTAGTTTCATGCACAAAATTATTTAAAATATTGTATAAAATTACATTCAGCCTATGTGTATAAAATGTATATGAAACAAATGAATTTCATATTTAGACTTGGGTCCTATCCCCAAGGTATTTCATTATGAATATGCAAATATTCCAAAATCGCAAAACATTCAAAATCTGAAACACTTCTGGTTACAAGCATTTGGGATAAGGGATACTCAAGCTGTAATAATGTGTGGAACACTGTAGGCCAGGCACTATGCTTAATGCTTTAGATATATCCTTAAAAAAATCCTCCTAACAGCTCCGTGTGATGTATTTATACTCATTTTACAGTTCGGAAAATCTAGGCTTAAAAAATTCAGTGTTTATGAATATTTTATTGGGAGATTTCTAGGAAGCATGAAAGTATGTAATTTATTCTTACAGTTCACCAAGAAAAAGAAATAGTTTTGACTAAAGGAATTAAAGAGCATAAACAAATGATACAGATTGCTTTCTTCTTTGGTTTGCAGCTAAGAAAACAGGGATCTGTCTTCCTCACTGAAGATGATGTGTTCTGAGATAAGCATAATAAGCAGATCATGATGTTCCAGACCCTTACAGATCATAAAAAGCCCACAATATAGTATTCTTTAGACAGGCTAAACATTTAGGGACACTGATAGGAAGGAATGTAAATAAGAAAGTGAAATAATTCCTATAATGTAAGGTTGATAGAAGATAATCATCAGGGTCAGAATTAAGAGGTCTTGTGGTTTAGGAAGCATAAAATTATGTAACTTATTGTTTATTTCACTCAGAAAATAAAAGTATTAATGAAAGGAATTAGAGATGAACAGATTGATACAAACTGTTCTATGGTTTACAGCTTAAAAAATAAAGGTACATTTAATGCTATGCATTTTGAGAATAATGTCTTTTATGCTTTTTCTTTTTACATATATATCTATTTGTATTTAAGGACAAAATAGATTGACATTACTAATTACTTCACTATTAATAATTAAAGTTCTGTGAAACATTTACTGAGTATATAGTTTTTCTGGGTATATATAGTTATATTAGCTGGTATGCATTATAGACCTAAAAATATTGCCTTTCAGTAAATTCCTAGTGGACACCAGTGTTTTCACATATGCTTCCTAGTCATTCAGTCATTTGTTATTTTTACCCTATCTGCAATAAAAACGAACAGAAACTTCTGAAATTACTTTAAATGTGTAGTTAAGCTTGTAAGTGAGTAAGGAATGATACTAGGGCTCAAAAACAAAGCAATCCGTTTCACTTCCATTTAGGATATAGAAAGCTGCAAGAGAACATCACTCTTATTCTAATAACAGTAGGTTATCCACAAAATCCACACAGTCATAACTTCTTGAGCACATCAGAGTTGGTCACCAGGCAGCCAAGTGAGCTGAATTCTCAAGAGTAACAAACCCCTCTTAGGATAGATGGGACACAGGAACATTGACTTGGCAGAGCATAGGAGGAAGAGGTGCCCACCACATAAAGTAGTTAGCAGTATCAGCTAAGATTTTAACACATTTTTAAAGGGTGAATGTGCACTCGCACAGTTTATGTGTTTAGGATAACTTGTAGCTTAGACACAGAGGAGCTTTGCATCCATTTGCAAGCTCTTTTCCATACGTTTCCACTGTTTGATCTGTGAGAAAGACTAGGGGACAAGGCAGGAGATTGGAGAGCATCTCCCTTGGTGATAAAGGTGTGGTGGTGATGAGCTGTTGCTGAGGGACAGGAGCCAACTCTGCCCATTTCCTGAAAACCTTCTCCTTTATGAAGCAAGAGTCTAAGCTGCAGAGGGAGAAGCAGTGAACTTTCCTGCTTTTACAGCCCAGGTGAAGTGCCATTGCTTTGATGAGTTTGGTAGGAGCAAAACCCACTTGCTTCTGGAAGAGAGGTAGAAAACCCTCACTCCTCCAGGACCATGCAAAGATCACTTACTTCTGGGAGAAAGGTGGGAGCATAAGCCTTTTGACACTAGGGGCTGGGTGTGGAAGGCAGGAGATGTTAGAACTAGGACCCTGCACTGATAAAAAGCAGAGGTCTGCCACCAGTGGGGATAGGGCAAGAAACTTGACCCTGGCAAAGGTCCCCCTCCCGCACCCCAAGATACAAAGTTATAGGACAGGAACACTGAAAAAGTTACATTCCTGAGGCCCAGGCTCAAAGACCCCCTACCTAAGATGAGGCTGCACCAAGATATCTGAGAATACTCTACATCCACCATTAGCCTAGTGTGTAGTAACAAGCAACAGTTGTCTACTACTAGAGAAGGGACAAGAGTGTGGAGAGAGACCGCCTGCTGAAAACTGAGGGTGGAGCAGGAACACTGAGGCAAACCCTTTGGCATCTGAGGCTGCACGTTAAACAAAAGGTAATAGTGGCCCACTATTGGAGGTCTGAAACCTGTTGTGCTGTGATTGCCATAGCAACAAAAAGCCTGAAACCCAGCTCAACTGCTAACTAGACTGGTTATTCAACCCCCTGGACTTAACAGCCTAGCAGAGGTGGAATGTTCATTTCTGAGCATAAATACTGTTGCCCCTATCATCACTGAATATCCAGCATTCAACATTTCAAAATCAAAAATTTCTGGGCACACAAAATAGGAAAACTTACCAAAACATAAAGCAACAACAGGTCTAGTGTCAGAGATGACCCAGATATTGGAAGTATTAGAGAATTTAAAGTAACTGTGATTTATATGGTAAAAAAAAATCCACTGAAAAAACAACATGCCTGGATGTATAGGGCATTTCAACAGAGAGAGGATCTATAAAATAATCAAATGAAGATGCTAGAAATAGGCCGGGCGTGGTGGCTCACGCCTGTAATCCCAGCACTTTGGGAGGCTGAGGTGGGCGGATCACCTGAGGTCAGGAGTTTGAGACCAGTCTGACCAACATGGAGAAACCCCATCTCTAGTAAAAATACAAAATTAGCCAGGCGTGGTGGCACATCCCCGTAATCCCAGCTACTCAGGAGGCTGAGGCAGGAGAATCGCTTGAACCCGGGAGGCGGAGGTTGCGGTGAGCCGAGATTGCACCATTGCACTCTAGCATAGGCAACAAGAGCAAAACACTGTCTCAAATGAAAAAAAAATGCTAGAAATAAAAAAGATGATATCTGAGATGACGCATTTCTTCAATGGGCTTATCAGGAGTTTGAACATGTCTGGTGAAAGAATCAGTGAACTTGAAAATAGAAACTATCCAAACTGAAACATAGAGATAGAAAAGAGTGAAAAATGAGAACATCCAATGGCTTTGAGACAGCATAAAAAGAGATCTAATATATATGCAATCGGCATCTCAGAAAGAGAAAGGAGAAATGGGAAGGAAGAATTATTTAAAGAAATACTAGCCAGGACAAAGCATAGATCTAAGAAGACCAGAGGACTCAGAGCAGGATAAATGCGTGCGAGCGCACACACACACACATACACACACACCCTCACCCCTAGACACCGCACGCGCGTGCACACACACACACACACCTCCTCACCCCTAGACACCGCACGCGCGCGCACACACACACACCCTCACCCCTAGACACCGCACGCGCGCACACACACACCCTCACCCCTAGACACCGCACGCGCGCACACACACACCCCCCTCACCTCTAGACACTGCGCGCGCGCACACACACACACTCACCCCTAGACACTGCACGCGCACACACACACACCCTCACCCCTAGACACCGCACGCGCGCACACACACACCCCCCTCACCTCTAGACACTGCGCGCGCGCACACACACACACTCACCCCTAGACACTGCACGCGCGCGCGCGCACACACCCTCACCCCTAGACACCGCACGTGCGCGCGCGCACACACACACACACACCCTCACCCCTAGATACCTCATAAACTGCTGAAAATAAAAAGGATAATCTTGGAAGTAGCCAGAGACAAAGGTGACAATTGAACAGGCTTCTGATCAGAAACTATGTAGTCTAGAGGACAAAAGAATATCATATTAAAAGTACTGAAAGTAAAAAGCAAAAATTAAAAAGTCAACTGAAATATATACCCAGTTAAAATACCTTTCCAGGATGAAGACAAAGTAGCTTTTTAGATAAACAGAAATTGAGAGAATTAATTATATCAAATCTATACCACAAGAAATGGTAAAGGAAAATCTTTTTTTTTTTTCTTTTCTTTTCTTTTTTTTTTTTTTTTGAGATGGAGTTTTGCTCTTGTTGCCCAGGCTGGAGTGCAATGGCACGATCTAGGCTCACTGCAACCTCTGCCTCCCGGGTTCAAGCGATTCTCCTGCCTCAGCTTCCCAAATAGTGGGGAACAGGTCTGCTGCCATGCCCAGCTAATTTTTATGTTTTTAGTAGAGACAGGGTTTCACCATGTTGGCCAGGTTGGTCTTGAACTCCTGACCTCGGGTGATCTGCCCCCAAAAGTGCTGGGATTACAGATGTGAGCTACCGTGCCTGGCTGTAAAGGAAATTATTTAGGTAAAAGTAATGTGATACCAGATGGAAATTGATTTACATGAATAAATGAGCACTGGAAATGGTAAAAATTAGGGTAAATGTAAAGGAAATAACAATTCTACACAAATTCTTTCAGAAAATAGAGGAGGAGGTAAGAACTTCCTGATAAACTTTCAGGCCCAGCATTACCCTGATGTATATATACTCATGAGCGTAGATGCAAACACCCAAAAAATGAGAAATCAAATCCAACAATATATCAGAAGGATAATAATACATTATGACTAGTCAGGGTTTATCTCAGGAATTCAAGATTGTTTCAAAATTTAAAAACTAGTCAGTATAAATCTTGTCAGAAACCTAAAAAAGGAACACCACCATCTAATCATCTCAGTAGATTTAGAAAAAGTATATGACAAAATCCAACAACTATTTCTGGAAAAAAAAATCTTAGCCAGGTGTGATGACACACACCTGTAATCCCAGCTATTAGGAGGCTGAGGCTGGAGAATCTCTTGAGCCCAACAGTTTTAGTCTAGTCTAGGCAAGATAGTGAGACCCTGTCTTAAAATAAAATAAGGCCTGGCATGGTGGCTCACGCCTGTAATCCTAGCACTTTCGGAGGCCGAGGCAGGTGGATCATGAAGTCAGGAGTTCGAGGCCAGCCTGGCCAACATGGTGAAACCCCATCCCTACTAAAAATACAAAAATTAGCCAGGTGTGGTGGCAGGCATCTGTAATCCCAGCTACTCAGGAAGCTGAGGCAGGAGAATTGCTTGAACCTGGGAGGCAGAGTTGCAGTGAGCCGAGATTGTGCCACTGTATTCCAGCTTGGGCAGCAGAGCGAGACTCCATCTCATAAATAAATAAATAAATAAATAACCTCACAACTCAGTAAACTAGAAATAGATGGGAGCTTCCTCTGTGAGAAACCTACATGTTCAGTTAAAGGTGAAAGACTTTTTCCTAAGATCAGGAAAAGGCCAAAAGTGTCTGCTCTTAACCACTTTTGTTTAACAGTATACTGGACATTCTAGCCAGTACAGTAAGGCAACAAAAAGAAAAAGCATTCACATTGCAGAGAAAGAAGTAAAGCTGTCTTTTTTTTTTCTCAGATAACATTATCATATGTAGGAACCTGCAAAAGAAAAATGCTGGAACTTCCAAGCGAGTATAGAAAGGTTATGGGATATAAGATCAATATACAAAAATCAGCTGTGTTTCTACAAACCAGCAACCAACAATTGGAAACTGAAGTTTTTCTTAAACTATCAAAATAGCATTAAAATAAGTGATACTTAGAGATAAATCTGGTAAATGTTACATAAGATCTATAAACTGAAAACTATAGAACATTTCTGAGAGGAAATAATGAGAGAACTAAGTGAACTGAAATATAGATCATATTCGTGGATCAGAAGACTCAATATTGTGAAGATGTCAGTTTGCCCCAGATCAATGCGTATATTTAATGCAAAATAATCAAAATTCAAGTAGGTTAGGTTTTTGTAGGAAATGACAAACTAATTCTAAGATTCGTATGAGAATGTAAAGGACCTAGAATAGCCAAAACAACTTTGAAAAATAGGAACAAAATTGGAGGACTTGCATTACCTGATTTCAAGACATAATATATAGCCACAGCAGTTAATACTGTATGATTGGTGTAAAGACAGATAAAGTAATCAATGAGACATAGAGAAAGTTTAAGAAAACTCACACCTACCCCACAAATTGTCAGTTTGTTTTTGACACGGGGCAAAGGCAATTCATTATAGAGAGGATAGACTTTTCAACAAATGATGCTCAAACAGTTTGAAAAATAAATCCATACCTTGCTCCATATGCAAAAGATAAAATAGATCATAGACCTAAATGTTAAAGACTGAAATTATTAAAACTTCTAGAGGAAACCATAAGAGAAAATTTTTGTGACCTTGGGTTAGGTAAAAGTTTCTTACATATGACTCTAGAAGCATGATCCTTAGAAGAAAAATTTGATAAATTAGATCTGTTCTTCAGAAGACACTATTAAGTGAATGAAAAGACAAGTCAGAATGGGAGAAAATATTTGTAAATCACATAGATGACAAAGGACTGTGTTCAGAATTCATAAAGAACTTCTCAAAACACAATAATAAAACAACCCAATTTTTAGAAATATGGAAAAATTTTTAAGATGCTTCACCAAAGAACATTGGCAGATGGCCAGTAAACATAAGAAAAGATGTTCAACATCATTAGTCATTAGGACAATGTGAGTAAATCTCCAATACACTTGTTAAAATATCTGTACTAAAAATAACAAAAAACAAACAAACAAAAAAACAGCAATTGACCATACGAAGTATTGTGGAAGACTGTAGAGCAACTCAAACTCCCTTACACTGTTGGTGGGAATATAAAATGGTACAACAACTTTAGAAAACAGGTTCTCAAAAATTTAAATATACATCTACTATATTACTCAGCTATTTAATTCCTAAGGATTAAGAGAAAATGAAGCATCTTTTCATATAAAGTCTTATACATGAATGTTCATTGCAGCTTTACTTGTTATAGCTAAAACTGGAAACAACCCAAATATCAGTCAACTGTTGATGGATAAGTCAATTGTGGTATAACCATTCAATGATATAATACTCTTTACATATTCTGGTTATGTGTTGAAATTTCTTCTTTGACTCTGTGGCTTCTCCTGATGTTTTAGATTTTATTTTGTAAACAACATGATTGGGTTTTATTTTTTAATCCAATCTCACACTGTATTTTAATTAGAATATTTTTCCCATTTACATTTAATGTAATTGCATAGGTCATCTTACAATTTGCTTTTTCTTTTTGCCAACTGCTCTATGTTTCTATTTCTCTTATTTATTTTATTTGAATTGATTAAGTAGTTTTATTATTTCACTTTCCCCCTCATCTATTAGCTTGGAAGTTACAGACTCTTTTACTTTTCTTGTGTTAGTGAGCTTAGACATTACAAAAAGGACATATTATCAAAGTCGAATTTCATTGGTATTTTTACCCTTTTCCTAGATAATAATATAATTATTATTTAATCCTCTTCTGACTTATATGTTACTGTTGTTAGCTATTTTATTTATATATTTCAGGTCTCCTAGATATTGTTTTATCTAACCAATATCTATTTAGATTTACCCACATAGCTATCATTTTTTATTACCTGTAGTATTTCCATTTGGAATCTTTTTTTTTTTTCTGCCTGAAGAACACCTTTTAGTATTCAGTACAAGTCTGCTGGTAACAAATTATCTTTGTTTTTGTCTGTTTGAAAATGTCTTCCACATGCATTTTAAATAGATGTTTTTATTAGCATAGGATTTTACACTGTATATCTGTAGATTTCTAGAAATATGGAGGCATATTTATGGCTTTTTGACTCTGTGGCTTATTTTCTTTGGCCAGTTTTGGAAAATTCTCAGGTATCTTTTTACATGTGCCTCTGCCTAATCTTCTCTCTCTCCTCCTTCTAAGACTCCAATTTTATGTATATTAGATCTTTTAATAGTATTTCCATGTCCTTTATCTTCTTTTCTTTCTTTTCCATCCTTTTTTCTGTTTGTGATTCATTGGTGTTTTATTCTAATACACCTTCTGTCTCACTAATTCATCTGTATCTAACCTGATTTTTATTTTGATTATTGTATTTATCTAGTCTAGAATTTCCATTTAGCTTTTTAAAATCTGCCATTTTTTATATCTTAGAGAATTCTCTGTTGAAATCCTCAATTGTATCTTTTATCCTCTTGAACCATGTATGTATCATATAGCACTAGTATCTGGAGCTCCTTTTGGCATGTTTATATTTTGTATTGTTTCTGCTTATTATCTTATCTCCTTATATATGTTGATATTATTGATTATGTGCTTGGTCTTGTATTTGACAAATTATTTGTAGAAATAGTTTGAGGCCTAGGATGATATCTTTCTCATGGAAGGAATATATTTTCTTCTGGCAGACACCTAACTGCACTAGCAATAGAGTCTTACTTAACCTGATTTCAGGTACTGGATGATTTGAAGCTGGGCTGTCCTCCCCTGCAAAGGACAGTCTATTCAGGACTGCCCTTATTCCCTACTGCAGAGGGGCTTACCAGGGACTCTGCAAGGCTGTCAGAGAAGTCACTTAGGCTCTCAGTCCCTCAAGACCCTCTTCTAGAATCAGCAAATACCCCCAGGCCCAAAGCAGGCCCCAAATTACATGCTCACTTTTCTGGATATTTGTTGTCTCTTAGATCTTGGAAGGGTAATTTTTTACTACCCTGTTAGTTTCCATAGGCCTGTATGCAGATGATTTTTATGTTTTGTTCAGCTTTAAAAATTATCCTTGCCAAGAGGGTTGATTAGAGTTACCTAGTCTGCCTTTATTGAAAGAGGAAGTTCCCTTTCCTGTTATTATTCCTTCTTGATTTAATCTTAGAATGAGATTAACCCCAACATTTCTATTTATATACCTGCATAGGTTCTCTGTGCACATATATCCCTCTACCATACCCTGTCACCATCTCCACATCCACACAGATCAACTGATTGTTTTCTAACAATACGTTAGAAGTAATCAAGAACCTAAAATTAAATATTTTGCCAAAACCCTTGTGATATATGTCCTTAATTTACACTTCTAGTTCTTAAGCTTCCTTATTTTGTTGGTATGACATTACATGTATGAAGAGAAATAATTAGATGAAGGGCAAGATAAGGGGAGATAGGAAAGCAAACATTCCCAGCATTGAGAAGGAAAGAGAAGCATGCAGATTGAATGTAGATTCAAAGAACTGAGAGAAAATCAGTGTGCCTAGAGCATAAAGCAAAAGGAGTTGCCGAGACAGTGAAAAAGCCCAAATTATGCAGATCCTTAGGTGCATTATGCAAGAGAATATTCAAATTATAGTTTTAAATGCTTTGAAATCTCATGCTGACTGTAAAGTCGAAAATGAATCAGAAGAGAGTGATGTAGGATGGAATGGAAGGGATGTAGTGGGTGAGGATCACTTGGAATCTGTTACCCTTACCTGAGCAAACCTTCAAAGTAGCTTGGACTATGGTGGAAGTAGCCTGGTTGGAGAGGTGGATGGATTAAAGAAATAGACAACAAAGCAAAACCAGGACTATATGAGCAATAAAAAACCAATAGTATCAACGATAACTCCTGAAATCCTGGTTTGTAAACCAGGTGGGTAACAGTGGCACACACTAAGATAGGAGACTAGAGAAAGCCCACATTAGGACAAGAGACTGGAGGAGGCCCAGGTGTTACAGGAAATACTGTGAGCTCAATTTTGGACTTGTTACCTTTGAGATACCTTTGAGACATCCGAAGTAGAGTTTGCAGAGAGTTGTATATACGGATGTGATACTCTGAACAGGTCTGCCAATAAAAAAGTAAAATTTATACAGATTACATTTAAAGTCGTTGGTGTGGAGGAGATTGTCTACAGAGAAAATGAAGACCAAAAGTGGAGAACTGCTATTGGAAACATAATTTTACACCAAGAAAATAAGGAAGCTTAAGAACTAGAAGTGTAAATTAAGGACATATATCACAAGGGTTTTGGCAAAATATTTAATTTTAGGTTCTTGATTACTTCTAACGTATTGTTAGAAAACAATCAGTTGATCTGTGTGGATGTGGAGATGGTGAACAGGGTATGGTAGAGGGGTATGTGTGCACAGAGAACCTATGCAGGTATATAAATAGAAATGTTGGGGTTAATCTCATTCTAAGATTAAATCAAGAAGGAATAATAACAGGAAAGGGAACTTCCTCTTTCAATAAAGGCAGACGAGGTAACTCTAATCAACTCTCTTGGCAAGGATAATTTTTAAAGCTGAACAAAACATAAAAATCATCTGCATACAGGCCTATGGAAACTAACAGGGTAGTAAAAAATTACCCTTCCAAGATCTAAGAGACAACAAATATCCAGAAAAGTGAGCATGTAATTTGGGGCCTGCTTTGGGCCTGGGGGTGTTTGCTGATTCTAGAAGAGGGTCTTGAGGGACTGAGAGCCTAAGTGACTTCTCTGACAGCCTTGCGGAGTCCCTGATAAGCCCCTCTGCAGTAGGAATAAGGGCAGTCCTGAATAGACTGTCCTTTGCAGGGGAGGACAGCCCAGCTTCAAATCATCCAGTACCTGAAATCAGGTTAAGTAAGACTCTACTGCCAGTGCAGTTAGGTGTCTGTACATTGTTAGTCCTGCTCATTGCTGGGTCTCTAGGTCTCTAGCACCTAGCAGCACAGTGCCTTGAACATAATTGAGCATTTGAGTGAGTGTATATAGTCAACAGGAATCACTGAAAGGTAGAGATCCTTATCTTTGACTTCTTTCCAGTTTCCCAGAATACGTAGTATGATGCTGGGACTTGAATGAAATTAAAATGATATTATCTTCAGAATTAGATTTTCTTTGGGCTACTTTTGAGAGAGATTAGGATAGAAGGTGAAAGTATTATGACTGACTTGGGAGAAAAAAAGCCCTGTTTCCTCTTTCTTATAGATATTTGCTAGACTTTCCATGGCTGCTTTTTTTTCTAAGAGAACTGTGTATAATTTTTGGAAAAAAATATTGAATTAATTAAATATTGCTATAGTGAATCATTCAGAAGGAATGGTTCTTTATCATTCACATCCATTAACAAGATTATTTCTTTGAAAAGCACATCCTTTCTTTGCAAAGTTTTGAATTGCTGCTTATTTACATTTTAAGCCTAAATTATGAAATTCCTGTGATTCTAATTTATTACGTTTAAAAATGACTTAGCAGAGTACTGCAGCTGGAAGGCTCAGTTGCAAAACTATGGTCTTTAAATTGATTTGTTTGTTTTGATGTTCTTATGATTTGCATGGCAGCATATTTTATTGTATATTTACAATAGTCATATGATACTTGTATTTCCTTTATGGAAAGAGTTCTTAAGGATATTTTTATGTGTACCTCCTCATGAATCTTGCTAATCACTGAAATACAGACTTAGGAATGGTAAAACATATCTCCCTTTGTTATTTCTGTTTATTGTCTTCACTTCATTTTTCCCTCTCAGATTTTGATTTTCAGTGATCTCATCTAGTCCTTTACACCCTTTATTTTAGTGGTGGAATGTGGCAATCAGGGATAGGGAAAATGATGAGGTATAATCATTAAAGGTATCTTAGAACCTGGCATATTTCAATTATTCATATTTAACCTATTTGAAAGTCTTTTATAAATATCATGATTTTATAATGAAGAGGGCTATTACACTATTATGTTAATTACTAAAACCTCCCACATTTATGATCTTTAATAGCCCAGATATTTTATATGTCCCTGATCTTCAGTGTTTTAATATAGAAGTCCCTATTATTTAATTTCAAAATAATCAATGCTATCTCTAAAAATACACAGATATTTTGTAATTTTAGAGTTCCTTTACCTTTTACTAGCACTATTCATGATAAATATATTTTTCAGTTTTATTCAATAAGATTCTTTTCAGAATTTGTGAAACTTAAACACTTGCTCTTTTGGAGTAAGCCAATGATTTATTTAATGCTTTTCTATATTGTGTATTTTAAGGAGAAATATCTTCCTGATGGATATAATACAGGCTTGTTGGAGACAGCTATTTCCCTCTCTGCAAGGAGTGTATTATGTTGTTTTACAAAATGCTTTCTTGCACCACTCATGTTAACTAAAGAGCGAATTTAAACACAGACGTGTCTACTGCACTTTCCTTCCTTGAATGGGTACAGTTTTTAAAACTTGGAAACGTGCCATTAACTCTTAATGTCTCATTTCATTTTTGAGGAATTCAAGTTGGGATGCCAGCCGTACAATAGTAATGTAAGAGGAATGGTAACTGGCTTAAGGCATGCACTTAAGCAATAGAGGAATTTACTTTTCAGTGTCTTCCAAGGTCCATGAGGATGCACACTTATTTATCCAGAGAGTATGGATCTCACATATGTTTGTCCAGAGGGTGTGACTCTGTGGAGGAGAACACTTACTGGTAAGTATTGAACTCTTATTGTATTATGTTTCAGAAAAATATGTTTAGAAAATCAGTTGATTTTTAGCAGTGATGAAATCTCTTAGTCTGTGCTGGTTTCTTAACAGTGGACAGTCCCAGATGTTGAAGTCAGCACAACAAGAGAAAAACCCAAATCCTGATAAGACTTGAGGATTTTTCGAAAATTAAATGCAAAATAGTTGGGGCAAATGTTGCTGCGGGAGTCAAGACTAAGTAATACAGTAAGAAGATATGAAGTTGGAGAGCTTCTCATGTTCTTCCTTTGTATAAAGTTTGCATACGTACAAAACCCAGGACTTTAATGACTTTAAGAGGGGGCAGAATTGCATCTCTTGGAAGTTAACAGACTCATGTGAACTGGAATGTACGTTGTGGCCCTCACAATTGATTTTAATATTTATTTGCAAAGTCCTTTCTGTTTCTAAATAAAAGCTGTGCCTTCTGAAACCTGTAAGTGATGTATACTGGCCACATCAAATCTTTTAAAAGTGTTTTCCAAACCCCAAATTGTTAGTGTGGAAGAAATGTTTCTTTTGGGAACACTAAAACAAAGGGGTATGGGAGGATTGATTTCAGAGACCACTTGCTGCTTCTGCTTTATACTTTAACATTCTTTCCCTCTTTCTCTCAGCCAAGAACTCTCATGATATGTAACTGACTTTTGGTTGAAAAAACATGTAAAATAATGTTTTTGTGTATGATACAAAAGTTTAGAATAAAACAAAAATCAGCCACTCTAATATGTGGTAGGTTTTCTGGCAATTAACCATAGCACATAGACATTTGCCACAGGAAATGCCACTGCCAGATCTCCCACACCGCCACATGAAGGCTTAGCATTGCTTTAAGTCATGCCTTAATAAATGATGAATGGAAGTGCAGAGTCCGTGAGGAAGAATTCAGTGCATAGGAGTGTTTTGGCATCTGGTAGACAATTGTTTGTTAGAGTTGCCAGTTATTAGCTTGCTGGCCTTTATCAAAGTGCTTTACTATTCTGTTTCTTCTGCTGTAGAAATCCCTGTGTTATCCCCTATTGTGATGACTGACAGTGTCCCACTGTGCTGAATCAAGAAGACTGGGTATATAGGTCCAAATCATGGTTATGGAGATGTTAGGGTAGAAGACAGCAGTATGGACATGATAGAAAGAGGATTGAGAATACATTTCTATGTGATCCATTTTTGCTTTGCCTTCTATCTAATTCTGCCAATTCCTAATCTTTAGGACTCACCTCAAAATCTCTTGAAGCCACTTTTTGGGAGATGTGCAAAATGTGTGTGAAGGGAGAGAGCATCAAGAGCAGAAAGCGTAGGTGAGAGGGTAAGAGACATTTAGTCACCCGGCAGCTGCTTACTGAATGCCTGCTGTGTGCTAGGAGGTGGGGACACATGAAGCTTGTGTCCAGTTTTGAAAGATAGGCCATAAACAAATAAATATGTTGTGTATTGGATGATGGTAATGAATAAACTGGTAAAGGGGGGTAGTGAGAACTGGGATAAGGAGGTGACTTTCAGCTCGAAGTAGGGTCATCAGGGAAGGCCTCATTGACAAGGTGGTATTTGAGTAGAGGCTTGAAAGAGGTAGGGGAGCCAGCCATATGGAAATCCAGGAAAAGTGGAACTGAGAACACATACTGTAAGTCATTAAAAGGACTTTGACATTTCCTTTGAGTGAGATGGAAGCCCATTGGAGAGTTTTGAGCAGAAAAGTGACATTATCTGACTTATTTCTTAAAATAATTCCTCAGGCTACAGTATAGAGAATGGATAGTAGAGGAACAGTGATGGAATCAGGGACTGGTTAAAGGTTTTTTGAGTAATTGAGGCTGGAGAAGATGGTGACTTGGACTAGGGTGGCAACAGGAGAGGTGATTAGTGTTCAGATTCTGGATTTGTTTTGAAGGTAGACCCTTCAGGATTTATTGGTCTTTTGACTGTGGGGAGTGAGGGAATGAGAGGAGTTAAGGATGACCCCACAGTTTTTGGGCTGAGCAGCTGGAATGGCAGAGATGACATTTACTATTTATCAGGATGAGGAAGATTACAGGAGGAGCAGGTTTTAGGGAGAGATCAGTGAAGGTGCGAGCAACTGAGATTCCAACTAGATATCCAAAGGTAACATAGACAGAAGACAGTGGATATACAATAGTAATTATTTAAACGTTCATTTTGCACAAGTTGATAAATCACAAAAGTTCTGTTTAAATGATTTAAATCTTCATGAAGATGTTGCTATAATTCACATTTTATAGATTAGGAAATAATGCAGAAGGATTAATATTCCTAAGATCACTGATATGAAACTATTTTATGACTAAGTTCCAGGTTGTTCTACTGACTTTATTATATTATAAAATAGGCATATAAGGGAAATTTTCATTATTGCCATAATTGAGCAAGTAATACTTCTTGTTGCCTTTACATTACACACACAAACACACACACTTTCTCTCTCTATCTCTCTCTCTCATAGAGAAGTACAGTAATATCTTTGAGGCTTACGTAGAAAGATAGTTTTTTTGACCCTTTGGTGTGTTGAAAACATACTATAATATAGGCTTTAATTTTGGATATGCATTTTAAAATTCTTTAAATGGTGAATGGAGATGACTATGAATATAATTAATTTTTAAAAGCATATTCTTAAGAAATTTTCTTTTGAAAACAGTTTACTTCATGGTAATTTGTGTTCTCTTCAGTTGTTTAAAGGGGAAATATTTTGCATACTCTTAAGTGTATTCTTTTTTATAGTAGAATGTATGATGTTTATTTTTTGAAACACAAATACAAATAATGGAAACACATGTGATTGTCTGAGCTTTGACATTGTTCTAGGTAGGATGACAAACTGTCACAATCCAAACAGGAAAACAGAAATTAAAACCTCTCTAAAGTTTCTACTCTGTTGCTTAAAGGTTTATGTACTGTTTATAATTTTTATTCAATAAAGCGGTGGCAAGTTACTTTATCTTATAAAATCCTAAGACACTTAAATTTTATGTAGTGTAATGAGTTAAATGATCAGGAGCAGATTAATATAGTTCTCTGAAATAAGTACATATCCTTAAAGGTCATATGTCTTAATTTTGTGGAATATGACTATTTAGTTTCTACAACCTTGGATTTTTAAAAATTATAATTTGTGATCTCTCATCTATGTAAATAGCAAACTCTTTCTGATTATACAGGAAGCCCTGCATGTTGCAGGAGTGGAAATGCAGTTAACGGCTGCGATGTCATTTCTGACCATTCTGCAGGACGAATCAGTGTCAATTCATGCATATACCCACTCATTCCTCCAAGTCATTCTCCTGCATCTGGAGCACAGGGACACAGGTCAGGGGCCTGGCATGCTTAATTATATACTTGTTTATTGTTTTTTTGTGTATGGCCATGATATTATATAAATACTGTTAGCCTGATGAGGATAACTGAGTAAGGCCATGCTGCCTAGGAGTTGAGCAGTGGAATGACTTAAAATAGCTATGGCTGTCTTATAAAACCCACAAAATTTAATATCCTTGAAAGCTGAAGATCCATTAATTCATCTTATGATTTATACTTTCTTGTTACTTTTTTTCCTTTTCTAGCAGTCATGTTTATAGTATTGTACAATAAAAGAGCAAACCTTGGTTTAAAGATATCTCACCAATACTATTTTTAAAAATATAAAAATTTTCTAGATGTTGACTGAGACAAAATAATAGAGAAACTTTTTAGAATAGTAATGAAAATAATTATTTCCATTTTATCATTAAGTGCTATTGTAACTATTAATGGCTGAGTTGAAACTGAATTTGAAGTGAGACGTTTAATTTAGTATGTTTTATCTCTGTCAACCAGGTGTCAGCAATGCATGGCTGGAAACTCTTCTGTCTGTTATAGAAGTATTGCCAAAAGAAACCCTACGGCATGAGGTAATACTTTCATGGGGGCAAATACTAATAAGTAAGTCACTCTAAGGTTTTTTTTTAAAAGGTTTCTTGTCAAAAATGGTTTTTAAAAAAGAAAGTTGTTTTTCATTTTGAATGTAACACGTGCACATTGGAGGAAATTTGAGAAATATAAAATATAGAAGGAAGAAAAAAGAATTCATAGCTCTGTACTTGTCCACTTTTAAGGTCCTGATGTATTTCCTTTCAGATTTTTTTCCTATATATGGTTGCTGCTTGGCTTGCTATATCAGTGATCATACTGAATTTATATATGGTTGTTTTTCACTTAGCATTACTTTCCTATATTTTTTAAACTCATTTGATAGTAGCTGCAGAATATTTTACTTGTGAAACATTTAAGCCTGTTTTCAGGCTTATATTTTACTATTGAATAGGACATTAATGAGCATTTCTGTAGAGCTCTTCCTGTTTTTCAGATAATTTAATTGTAGCTTTCAAACAGGAATTAATGGATCAGAGGGCATTAATATTCTTAAGCTTTTGACTAACAATATGTGAAGATGCTCTTTTCCTAGACTTTTATCAGCAATAGTGTTTCTGTTACATTTAATGGGCCAAAAATGGAATTACATTTTATTGGAATTTTTAAATTATTGTGCTGTTGAATATTTTCTCATATTTATATCAGTTTCTCTTTATTCCTTTGCAATTGTTTGATCCTATCCTTTAATCACTATTTATATGTGCTATTTACCTATTATGGTTGCCAATTCTTTGTTATATTTACAAATATTATTCCCAGCATGTTGTTTGCCTATTAATTTTCAACATTGAACAGCATACTCTTCTCTAAAGACTTTAAATAAATTACAATGACAGAAGAAGAAAAATGGAAAGAAAAGTATCCACTAATGAAAAGATTTTGTATTCTTTGAACATTATTCCTATATACATTTCTTTCCAAATATGTCATGATTGAAAAAAAGAGTCATCAGCCAATGAAATGTCCTCTACTGACTTCATTAAGTGTCTTTGTCCTTTCTTTGTCTTCATACAGTTTATGGTCCTGTCACAATGCTTAAATACTGGCTTGAAAATGGGAAGATTTTCTAGTTATAAGGATGTTTGCATACTTGATGCCAAACATCTAGATGATTATGCATATTTAAGTGCTGAATGTAATATAGACATGTGATTTTTATATTTTTTTGAAAAGCAATATGCTGTATAATGCAATTTTTACTCTAGAATACCATATTATTTAACATGTGGTTTCAAAGATTTTAGATATGTAATTTATTCTAAACTTTTCACTTCTAAATTATCAATGCATATTCAGTAATTCCAGCTACTTTGAGAGGAAACAAGCCAGTTGACTATAGAGTCATAGAATTTTAGAAATTAAAGAGATCTTAGTAGGACATATTCTTGTTTCCATTTTAAATAGATGAGAAACTGGAGATTAGAAATAGCGAGATTATGGGCTGGGCGCGGTGGCTCACACCTGTAATCCCAGCCCTGTGGGAGGCTGAGGCGGGCGGATCATGAGGTCAGGAGATTGAGACCGTCCTGGCTAACACGGTGAAACCCCGTCTCTACTAAAAATACAAAAAATTAGCTGGGCGTGGTGGCAGGCGCCTGTAGTCCCAGCTACTCGGGAGGCTGAGGCAAGAGAATGGCGTGAACCCGGGAGGTGGAGCTTGCAGTGAGCCGAGATCGCGCCACTGCACTCCAGCCTGGGCGACAGAGCGAGACTCCGTCTCAAAAAAAAAAAAAGAGAAATAGCGAGATTATTTGGACAAACTAGAGAACTGGGACTAGAATCAGAGTCTGATCTTCATAGTGTTTTATGGTCTGTCAGGCTGTTGTAGTATTTGAGTGTCCAGTATATACATAATGCAATATCAGACTTGGCTTATTGTACTCAAATGACAGAATTATTTAATAGGATTTATTTGAAGCTATAATGTTTTTCATCCCATTAGGATACATATAAAAATTAATCTATATGGAATAAAAATACATTTCAAGGTATTTAGTCATTATTTGCTCTTTTCTTTTTAAAATATGTATTTCAAAATTCTACTTTTATCTGTGCATACAGAGCATTGTAAAATCACCATAAACTTTACTTCAGTTTTTTCCTAATTGTTTTAATTGCATAATTTGTAATTATCTTTACCTTAATAACTCAGAAGACAAATAAGATAATCCAAGTTATTGAGTCATGAACCTCAAATCGTAATTCAGGTTCTTTAAAAACATTTAGAACTTTAAAATACTCTGAAGGAATAGCTGACATGAGTGGCATGAATGTATAAAATTTTGTGAATTTTTTTCTCTAAATTTTCTCTTTAGATTTTGAATCCACTTGTTTCCAAGGCACAACTTTCCCAAACAGTCCAGTCTCGTTTAGTTAGTTGTAAAATTTTAGGAAAATTGACCAACAAATTTGATGCCCACACGTGAGTATTTGTATGTAATTTTCGGTCTACTTTATTACATTCGTTTAAAATGTATAATGACTGTGTAACAATATATTTGTGTTATTTCATACTGCATACAAATTTAGTTATCTTAACTATTTTAACTTTATGGAATTCTCATGACGAATTTACTTATTCAGATGCCTTTCTTTTCAATCTCATAACTTTTCAGAATTGGTAAGGTTAACTTTTTTCCTACTTCCTATCTTAATCTTCCCTATCTCATACCAAATATAGTTTTGAGGATAAAATAGCGTTATCTTATTGACTTTCAAAATTGGCAGCGGCATAAAGATAGAATTGCTGCTTTTTTACACTGTTGTTATGAATTTGTTATTTTGAATAATTTAACTTATTGTGAGGTTTTATGGAGCATGTTTATAATTCATGTGCTACTTCTTGCCTGCTTATTAAATACCAAATGAAAAGAATGGAATGTTTTATAATTATGATACAAGAGTAAAGCTGAAGAGTATTTTGGTTGATGGTTGCTAGACTCAGATATTCTACTGCTACAGCCTTTTATCTTAGCTATAGACATTTCAACTGCCAATCCAAAATTAACCATTATTTTAAAAAGACTGTGTGATATACATAATTTACAAGTAGCTAATAACATCCAAATTTAATAACATGTAAAATACCTTGTAAACTATTATTTTTTTTCTATTAAAGTACATTTGTTATTATTAAGGTGAGTTAAGATTTTAATGATAATTGTTTGGGAATATTATTCTGAAACACTCATTCATTTGCATGTTTCTTTTCTCCCCACCTTCAGCATTAAGCGAGAAATACTTCCTCTGGTAAAATCACTCTGTCAAGATGTAGAATATGAAGTTCGATCTTGTATGTGTCGGCAATTAGAAAATATAGCCCAGGGCATTGGGTAGGTATACTTTGAATTCCTTATGCCATTTCCATGAAAACATGCCATTGAAAGGCTGTATTTGATCTTTAAAAATGATCATAACAAGTACCTCCTCTATGTCTGGATTAAAAGAGATAAAGAGGAATGTGCTTAGCATGGTGGTAGGCGTTTGATTAATGTTAATTTCTTTTTTTCTCACCTTAGTTGCTTAGTTATCATTCCAGACACCTAGATTCAGGAAAGAAAAGATAGCCCAATATAAACCATACTTGGAATATGTTTGACTGGCTATTCTTTGACTATATTATTGGGTCATTTCAGATGGGATTGCAGTTGTCCCTCCATATCCTTGGGAACTTGGTTCCAGGACCTCTTTTGGATACCAAAATCTGAGGATGCTCAAGTCTCTGATATAAAAGAGTGTAGTATTTCCATATGACTTGCTTATATCCTTCCACATGTTTAAAATCATCTCTAGATGCTAATAGTACCTAATACAATATAAATGCTATGTAAATAGTTATGCTGTATTGTTCAGGAAATATTGACAAGAAAAAAGTCTGTACATGTTCAGTAAAGAAGAAATTTTTTTCTGAATATTTTCTATTCATGGTTGGTTAAATCCACAGATGTGGAACCTGCAGATGTTGAGGGCCGACTACACTCTAATGGAAGCCTTTCTATAGCTCCTGTGCAACTTCAGGCTTCCAATGTTTGTTTTGTTGCTCTCCTTGTTCTTTTTTTTTTTTTTTTTTTTTTTTTTTTTGAGAGGGAGTCTCACTCTGTCACCCAGGCTGGAGTGCAGTGGCGCGATCTCGGCTCACTGCAAGCTCCGCCTCCCAGGTTCATGCCATTCTCCTGCCTCAGCCTCCCAAGTAGCTGGGACTACAGGTGCCCACCACCACGCCCGGCTAATTTTTTGTATTTTTAGTAGAGACGGGGTTTCACCGTGTTAGCCAGGATGGTCTCGATCTCCTGACCTCGTGATCCGCCTGCCTCGGCCTCCCAAAGTGCTGGGATTACAGGTGTGAGCCACCGCGCCCAGCTGTTGCTCCCCTTGTTCTATGGGTGCCTGAAGCTCCAGGAGAGGCATAGCAGCCAATCTCTTCACCCATAAGAACTGATCTCATTTCAATCTTAGAAGTGTGATATTAAAGGGAGTCTTACCTAAAAACCATCTTGGGAAATCTTTTCTTTTAAAAACAAGATTCAAAATTGGTACAAAAATCATTGGAACCTCTCATTTTTAGCAGAAGTTGCACTGATTTCATCTGGTTCTTTGTTGCACAAGCTAGGACAATCAGATTGTGGTCATTGGTACCTTTGTTAATTTTTTAAAAATCTGGGCCAATATTTAAGGCTCCGAAAAGGCTTTTGAATGTCACACAGGGTATGGTAGAGTGTCACACAGGGTATGGTGGAATGTCACACAGGGTATGGTAGTGTACTCTGTCCTGTGTCCACTGTTGCTAAATAGTATTTAAGTGTCGTGTTGGAAGTTTAACACAATTAATGAAAGAGTTATCTGTTATGATTATTTTCTTTTTTAATGCCCAGAGATAATTAAGTTGAATTTGCATCACTGTCACATGTTTTTGAAAAAAAGAGAACTCTGTTTAAAGATTGAATGGAAATAACTTTTACTATAGAGATGAAATTATTTTTCTTAAACTATTTTCTTTCATTGTTAATAAATTCAAGGATTTCAGTAGGTATACAAATATATTCTGAGCAAAATTTATATGAAATAAATTTTTATGAACTTTGGATTTGTTCTATCACATTTTACTCTTCTACCTCCTCTGTCTATATCCTGTATTTGCTGAATGTTTGTGAAGTACTGGTAATGTTAACATCTCTATCTGTATGATCTAGATCAATCTCTTAGAAAAACATGTTTTTTTGTGGCTCTTCAATTGCTTAAGTCCTTGTCATTGTGGTATGCTGCCTAATATGGTAGCCCCTAGTCACATGTGGCTATTTTAGTTTAAAATAAGGAAAATTAAAGAAAATTAGAGCTTTAGTTCCTCATTCATAATAAACTTATTTTAAAAAATGCTCAATAGTACCCTACTGAAGAGTACAAATGATAAACATTTCCATCATTGGAGAAAGTTCTACTTGACAGCATTGTCTTAGAGTCTTTGAGATTTGCGCTGAAATTTTTAAAAGTTTTCTACAACTCTTAATAACTTTCTTGGACTCTATCAACATCTTATGTCAATTATAATTGATGCTGTTTTCCATCTTGTACCCAAGAAAGCTAACCACATCACAAGGCTCTCCTTGATCAGAGTGTTTGTCATTACAGTGACACCTTATCATGAGGAATAAGCAGAAACAAAATGTTGAATACAAACTATTTGTGATTGTATTATAAATATTGTATACTCCCTAAAAGTATTTATATTATGTTTCATTCTGCTAGGTAGGACACCTAGAGTGATATATCATCTTCTATATAGAAATTAGTTACCATAATTTCATGTATTAGGTGAATGGAAAATAATTTATACCCTGAAATCTAGATAGAAATATATTATTTAGGTTTCTGCAGTTACTACTGATAAGTTTTTCTAATTAGTCCAGATTTTTGCTGAAGTTGCTTAAAATGGAAAACTATATTATAATTTATAAAGTTTGATATAAACTCTTAGTTATTAAGATTTCTGTAGGTAACAATATTATGCTGGAGGAAGTGGGATTGATTGAAATCATTATGAAATTACTATTAATGTTTCTTATATGTATGGTGTGCTTTCCCAATAAGACTGAAAGCTTCTGGAGAGCAGGAACAGTATCTTTATGATTTTTCATATTTTCTGCAGCAACTAGCCCAGTCACTGGTTTTTAGTAAGTTCCTGCTACACATTTATTGATTTGATTTATTTTCTTCTATTGCTTATTGTGCAGGACAGAACTTACAAAAAGTGTGGTGCTCCCTGAATTAATAGAACTTTCTAGGGATGAAGGCAGCAGTGTACGACTTGCAGCTTTTGAAACTTTGGTTAATCTGCTTGATATATTTGATACAGGTAAATCATGTGGCTACATCTTTGCTTCTGAAAACAGTGTTTTTCTACATGTTTTATGTCACTAATAAGGAATAAAAGTAGATTTAGAATTTCCTATGTTAAGCCTCCCTTCCTCTCCCTCTTTTTATGATTCATTCTGTTTTCGTGTCTTCTTGGCTTTCACTTTTACCCTCATGGTGTCGTAGTCCATTTTGTGTTGCTGTAACAGAATACCTGAGACCAGGTAATTTATAAAGGAATTTATTTTGGCCCACATTTCTAGAGGCTGGGAAGTTCAAGATCAGGCAGCCCCATCTGACCTGTTTCTGATGAGGGCCTCATGCCACCTCGTAATCTGGCAGAGAAGTGGAAGGTGAAGCAGGCCTGCAAAAGGGAGAGGGAACAAAAGAAGCTGACTTTGTAACAACCTGCTCTCCAGAGAACTAACCCAGTCCCACGAGAGCTAACCCAGTCACTTGTGAAGGAGATCTCAATACCACAGGAACTTCACCAGTCAACCCACGAGGGTGGAGCCAGTGGGTGGACCCATGCGGCCCCACCTCTTAAAGATTTCACCTTCCAGTATTGCTGCACTGGGGCCAAGCCTTGACAGGCATTTTGATGGAGACAAACCATATTAAAACCAGTACCCTATGGCATACAGTGTTGCTACATATTCCATCTCTCTTTTCTCCCATCAAAACTTAACTGACTTGTGTGTGTATAGGGCTAAGAATTTGACTTTAACTTTTTCACCTAATTGACATTAAGACAGATCCTGAGACATTGTCTACATGAGTTTCCTCTCCTTAATAATATTTTAATGCTAGAGATCTCATGGCCATTGGGGGAGAAATTTGGGATGGGGTATTTGAGTGGGAGAGGGTAAAGAGATATTCCTTAGTGTTATGTAAATCATGTCACAAAGACAGTTAACTGCTCTACTGAATGTATGGCTAGACTCTTGACTAATGCTGGATATTAGTTATCAGTAAACATTAACTATTTTGATAAAGAGAAATTTGGAGGAGTAAATGTCAAGTACTTAGGTACAGAATTCAATCGTATAATTATAGTATTACATTTACTTGGATTACCAACATTTTATCTGAACTCTAGGAAGCCTCTTAAAGATTATTGCAATATGGACAATAATTGTGTTTGGAAATTCCAGAACAGTCATTTAGACAATATGACAAACCAGAGGAGTAAAACTGCAGTACATGATAAGTGAATGAATAAATCTTTTTTCCTCTAATAATGGGGCATCCCCAGGCTCCAAACTAGAACCTTGCCATCATCTTTGATCTTTTCTCTTTTACTGCCCACACCCATTTATCACAGAGCTGGGCCTAACCTGTGTTTGTGGCTTTATTTCCTACCATTCTTTCCCACTCCTCTTGTGTCTGATGCTCCAGTCCCACTTCCTTAGCATACCAGATTCTTTCACACCTCTAGTCTTCTCTCATACTTTTTCTTTCTCTATTGTTTCCTTCCCTCTATTTTTGTCCTAGCCAACTCCTTCTGCTTCTTTTTTTTTTTTATTATTATAGTTTAAGTTCTAGGGTACATGGGCACGACGTGCAGGTTTGTTACATATGTATACATGTGCCATGTTGGTGTGCTGCACCCATTAACTCGTCATTTACATTAGGTATATCTCCTAATGCTATCCCTCCCCCCTCCCCCCACCCCACGACAGGCCCCGGTGTTCGATGTTCCCCACCCTGTGTCCAAGTGTTCTCATTGTTCAATTCCCACCTATGAGTGAGAACTTGCGGTGTTTGGTTTTTTTGTCCTTGCAATAGTTTGCTGAGAATGATCCTTCTGCTTCTTTAGTTCCCAGTTTAAATACAGTTTCCTCCCTGACATCTTTCTAAATCCTTTACACCAGGGGTTGGCAAACTATGGCCCTTAGACCAAATCTGGCCCACCGCCTGTTTTTGTGAATAAAGTTTATTGGGACAGAGCCACACTTATTTGTTCACATATTGTCTGTGGCTGTTTTTGTGATGCAAGAACAGAGCTGAGTAGTTGAGACAGAGCCTGCAAAGCCTAGAATATTTACAAAAAAAGTTTATAGATCCCTGCCTTATACCAGCTATTAAGACAGTGATCACATTGTCTTATATTTTTTGTGTTTGGCTTTTTTGCTGGTTTACATTTCTCAAAATCAGAGACCATTTATTATTCATATTTCTACTTCTACTTAGTTACAAGGCTTGTTCTGTAAGAAATACAGTGTGTTGAATGAATGTCATTTAACAAAAATAGTAGATATGGCACCGAAATGTAATGATAATAGTAATAATAATACTCATAAGCCTGTTATAGCATTTTATTTAGTATTTCTAGATAATAAAGAAGTGATTCATTTCTGAAATTTAAGAAAACTGTGAGAAATTTGGAGAGCATTTAGAATTGAGACTTAAAAATCACCAGTATGTCAGATACTTATGACCTAAGCAGATGTACTCAAATAATTGATTAATTTTTTAAAGAAGAGCCATCTAAGAAGTAAAAGTGATGAAATTCAATACATAGAACATATTATAAGCTAATGTAATTTTAGTAATAAATGAAATGATAAAATGGGCTTAAGCTGTAGCATGGTATGAGATGTGTGTAAAAGAGAATAAGAAAAGTTTCCTTTGCTTACTATTTATCTATTTATGTTAATGGTGTTAGAATTCTTTTAGTTATTCAGGCTCAAATCCTCAATCATCTTAGCTTTTTAATTCATAATCACTCTTTATATTCTGTTCCCAATGGCCTGCAGTATGAAGTCCAAACCCCTTAACCTGACATTAAAGTTTTTGATCATTTCAAGCCTCCTCTTACCCCTTTTTCACCACCCACCTCCATCGTTGTTGCTTTCAGGTATTTTCTATTACTATGAGGCTAACATAGTAATTTTTCTTTCTGGAATTTGTGTGTGTATTAGTTTCCACATGTGCAATGTGGACGACTGAATTTAAAGTATGTATTATTTTGTTTTGTTTTCCAGATGACAGAAGTCAAACTATACTTCCCTTAGTGAAATCATTTTGTGAAAAATCTTTCAAAGCAGATGAATCAATTCTTATTTCTTTATCTTTCCATTTAGGAAAACTATGTCATGGACTATATGGTATGATATATCCTAAGAATTTTGAGACTGTAGATAATTTTTCCCTTTTTTTTCTACCTCAGTCATTAAACTTTGGCTCTTCAGTTAATTGTAAAGCCTAACTCTTAAGTATATAAAAATCTTATGAGATCTTAGAATTTTGATAGCATCATTTAGAGCACATTTAGGAATGACTTTTTCACCAATAGAACCTATTTGAAAGAACAGTGACAGAATGAAGTAAGCATAGCTCTTTAAATCTCTGAATATTTTATAATTATGTATTATTTGGTATGTGATAATAGAAGCTCAGGCTTATTAACTATTTGTACGTAGTAAGTATACACTTATTAACCATTTATTGAATAATTTATTATATCATTAGAGAAGTTCAGCTTGGGATGTAGAATAATGCCATAACTCTTGGCATTTTGAACACATAGTTCTTAGCTTTCCGTATCGATGTGAGATAGACTGTTTAATAATGAACTCGTAACAATATATTATGAGTTTCTAGCTCCTTGAGATAGTTAATGAAGTGGAACCATTCCATTGATTAAAAATATTTTGAATTTATTTGCTGTCTTTCAGATTCAATTTTTAAGCTCCTTCCCTGCAGAGACACATACACACATGCATGTGTCTTTTCTGTCAGCAATTTTAGAACATTTACTATAATAGCAGATGTATAAATAGCCACAATGTTACTATTAGTGACTTTTTAGTGGCCTACAATATGATACATGCTGCAGCAATTAATGCAGCTACAGTTCCTGCGTTATGTAAGTTATACTTTTGAAATTAAAATATTACTGGTATTAACATGAGGTAAAATAATGTGATCTGTTAGATTCCTAACAGATACTCTTTTCATGTTCCTTTTATTTATAAAGTATCTGTAACCATTTATTTAAGTATTTGGCTCCAATTATATTTTTATTGTACTTTGATTTTCCCTTTTTAAATTTTGTTTTCAATTGAAATGTTGAGCTAGTTTTTTATATTTGTTTTAGGAATTTTCACTCCAGATCAGCACTTGAGATTTTTGGAATTTTATAAGAAACTTTGTACATTGGGTTTGCAACAAGAAAATGGACACAATGAAAACCAGATTCCACCCCAAATCCTAGAGCAGGAGAAGAAATATATTTCAGTACGGAAGAACTGTGCTTATAACTTTCCGGTAATAAATATGTATTTATATTTACTGAGGATTTTTATTATAACTTTAAAATATGTGCATAGATGGCATTCAAAATATTGCCATTTTTGACACTTGCTGCTTGCATTATGTCTAGCATACATAGTATGTGCAGAGTAAATATTTGTGAAATTTATATCTCTACGTATAAATCAGAATAATAGACACATATTTGGATCTTCCAAATATGATTTTTAGTTAAATTACAATTCAGAGAACATGATTTCAATTTAAGTGAAACGATTATAATATTAGGTATTGATGCATGTTTTTCTTTCCTTCCCACTCATCTCCTCCCTTCCACCTCCACCAGGCCATGATTGTTTTTGTTGATCCTAAAAACTTCCACATGGAACTCTATTCTACATTCTTCTGCCTTTGCCATGACCCTGAAGTACCAGTCAGATACACTATTGCTATTTGCTTTTATGAAGTAAGTCTGAAGACTTGATATCACTTTACGTTTGTTGTTAATTCTACCTATGTATACTAGATGATTTTGTGCTTATAGATTATAAGATATAGACTGGATATCTCTTTCATGTTCTAGTCTTAAATCTTGTTTAAAAATTTCCTTAATTTTCTTCTTTTTTAGTATGTTTACTGAATCATTTCCATAAATACATTATATTTGTGTATTCTTTTATTAACCCATTCATTCAGCATATCTATACCAAGTGTTTAAACCAGACATTGTGGTAGATATGGGTGATGCGGATTTTAAAGTAAAATCAGTTTTTATATGCTTTATAATATTTACAGTTAACTTTGCACCTAAACTTAAGCACTTGAGAACCAATAGAAAATTGAGACACATTAATTATTTTTACTACAAATGGATGGTGTTTCGTGAGCATGGCTTTTAGATTCTGCTATTATGACTATAAAGTAAGAGCAAAAATAAATTGAAACTTTTATGATGAATTTAACTTTTTAACCCTTGAAGTTGAAATTTGGGGCATGTTTCTTGAATGACAGCAAGAAGTGCACGTATGCCGTGGTTGCAATAAATACGGATAAGCTATAACTTTCAACTTCAAAACTGACACATAAAAGCCTCTGGATAAGTGGTACAAGTTCTTATTCTCAGTGAGAATATTTCACCCCCTTCCTTGCACTGTGTTCCTATGTCAGAGCACTTTGATGATCTGCAAGTGTGCAGGATATCCATCCATAGCATCATTATTAATGTTGCTTAGATTTTTTTTTGGCTATTGGGTGATAGTTTTGCTTTTTTAAAAGAACGCTTTTTCTGGTATGAAAATATATATGCATTATACAAAATCCTGGACATCTTCTCTTTAAATTAATTTCAGTGCTGCACAATTATATCATCTTTGTAAAACACACCTGTAGAACTCTGCTTTCGGAGGAGCGGGGATAGGGCAGAAAGCACTGGCCAGCTGAGCAGAATATTCACCTCCAAGATGCATTAAATGGTCACTTAGGCTTGGTTACCATGTCCACATGTACTTGTTAGATCAGTGGTCTCCAGAGAGGGTTGTACAAGTTTGGAGTCTGAGAATGCAGTATTTATGCAATTTTAGACTTTCTATTTTTTTCTCATCAGTTTAATATTTAATTTTATTTATGTTTTATAGTAGACATAACATAGCACCATATAATTAAACATATGGAAATGTACATGTGTATACAAATATGTTTCACTGGTGGAAGTGAGTTTGATAATCATTGATCTATATTTGCTGGGTGGCTAGTTTCCATATTCTACCACAATCATACCATGTAGGTAGGGTAAGAATGATGTGCCTCTCCATAAAATGAGGGGCTAGTGTAAATTTTTTTTTTTTTTAAAGTAATGAAAATCCACTGGTGGATTTAAATTTTTCTAACAGTGTCAATGCTAGAGTCTGATAATTGCTTTTGTATTCTTTGTTCTCATTTTTCAGAATAATAACACTTTGGAAATATTTTTGACAAGTCAAAAACAACCCTGTTAGAGCAAAGAATTTTAAAACACTTTCTTTATCCAGGGACCATTTTTTTTTTCAAATAAAACTTTATTCAAGCCCAGTGTGTTTTAGAAAGAATAAGGTGAAATAGAAACTGGTAAATTCACCATTGTGGGCTCCGAGTTTATAAGGAGGAGACAAAAAAACTACTGTCTACAAGGGGAACTGTATTATTCTGGACTCTCCCAACTCCTCTCATGCTGGTTAAAGTCTTTGATGGGGAAAAGTAAAGTTGGTTTGCTTTCTTAGGAGTTATAACTACCCCGACATCACTGTAGGCCTTCAGTAGAAGTTACCCTTTGGGAAGTTCTGAACTGGTATGAACACTTGTATGCCTAGGATATCCTTTAAGACCCTGTTGGCTCCTCTAAGACTTTAAAATGTGAACTAGAGGCCCCTGTGGGCTTGTTATTGCTGTTGATGTGAAAGTAATGACTCTGGTAAATCCCATTCTTTTGTATTTCCTCACCCCATGTGTGTCTGCACATTCCAGCATGTCACGAGGCAGACTAGAAAGCTGGTTATTTGTGCCACTAATTTTTATAGAATCTAATTTTATATTTGTGTTATAACATGGCTTTATTTTAGAAGAAATATATAACAAGGATGTATTTTTAAAAATTATTATTGTAACCTGTATCTGTCTAGTACTCTCAAATCTGAGAGACTTTATTGCTATATTTTAGGTATCTAAGCTTCTGAATTCTGGAGTATATTTAATACATAAAGAACTAATAACATTATTACAAGATGAATCACTGGAGGTAATATTTTCTTACTCTTTGATTTTTAATTCTTTTATGTTTGGTCCAAATATACCAATGCCTTTTCTCCCCTTCTTCTTGGAATCGTGTCAACTCTTTCAGCTGACTAGCCCCAGAAGCTTCAAATTGTTGTACCACTATATCATAAATAGGATATTGGGAAGATAGTTTAAAAAATAAGGTTTTAAAATATATTCAGTTTTAAAACTTAGTATATGTATATTTGTTTATTAAGAAAAATTTAGGAAGTGCCAAAAAACAGACAAAAGAATGCCTTTAATTTCAATTACTGTTACTATTTGTTTTCTTTTTCTTTTTTATATGAATATTCTTTTCTATATAAAGGTTTTTATTTTACTCAATTGTAATCATATATCACATTTTATAACTTGTTTCTCTTGCCATTGTGTAGTATTTTACCACTTAATATGTACTTATGAAGACTTTGAAATACTTTATTTTGATGCTATATTTAGATATTCCTTTCACCTAAATGACTGTTAGTTTGCCAAAGCGCAGCTCATGAATATTTTGATATCACTGAGAATATTATCCAATTTAAACAACGTTTCGAAAGTTTGGAGGCAGTTTTTGAACATGTTAGTTTTGTAGAAGTAGCTGTCTCAGATTTAGACTATTTGGACAATGTCAAGAGGCAGGTACACTAATCTCTTTTTGAAGGTTGGCCAAGGCAGTTGATCATGTTTCTAAGACTTTTCAGCAAGAAGATGGCAGAGTAAGAAAATACAAATCCTCAAAATGTTATTTGGGGGAAAAAAAAAAACCACTACTACTATATAGAAATTGACATGTAGAATTAATCTAGCAAAAACATAGTAATCACTATAACAGTAATCAATATCTCTGTTAAAAGGTACTAGATGCTCTTATAGATCATCTTCCAGAAATCTTGGAACTTATGTCTACTGGTGGAGAAAGCAGTGTTCAAGAAAATAAGGTAAACTTCATCTTTCAGAAACATTCTGAGTTGTGTAAATATTATCCTACTCTACAGGGTGTTTTGAGGCATCAATGAAAGAATGTTTGGAAAACTTGTAAAATAGTGCATGCCACATAGCAGGTGGTCAGTAAAAGCCTATTAGAGTTTGAACAGCTTGAATTTCCTCTATCTTTCTTACATTAATAATTTTAAATTACCATGATTGTTGTCTATTGTCTTTGGAGTTTATGTTCATATTTTCATTTTTCATTAGCATTAATGATTATTCCAAGAATAGCAAATAGGACAAAAGGGTAGAAATTTATTCTTTATTATTATTTTTTAAGCCTCTGTGTAACCTAAGAAAAGGGTAGGATTTAGGAGGTCAAAGCTTATTGACAGTAATAATATGTAATACATTTTACTGTAGTTGGAAGAGTTGCTATGATAATCTGACAGGAAGAAGAATGAGTTGTAGTTTTTATTTCAAAATTTGGTTCCCAGGAATCATACTTTTTACTTAATGATTTCTTTTAAAAGTGTTTGATTTAACCAGATAATTATCTCCTTGTGACAACTAAGATGTCTCCTAAACTCTGAAATGAGAAGGAGTATTCTCTTCCCCAATGTGTTATAAGACTGAGTAATTTTACTGAGTGCTGCAATTTATTTATAATTGATTTTTTGATGCGTTTCATTTTCAGTTATCTTCTCTGCCTGACTTGATTCCAGCACTCACAGCTGCTGAACAGCGAGCTGCAGCCTCTTTAAAATGGAGAACTCATGAGAAGCTACTTCAGAAATATGCCTGCCTGCCACATGTCATATCAAGCGATCAGATTTATTACCGTTTCTTACAAAGAATGTTCACAATCATGATGACAAATGTGAGCTCAGTACCTTTCATCTTATTCTTTTGAACTCATGGTTGGTTCTGGAATTACCAAAACTCTTCATATTTTCAAAATAGTAGAACAAACTCAGTTCATTCCATTCTACCTAGGAGGATGTCAGCTTCGTAGGTCCAGAAGAGGGGACTCAGGTTTCCCTTTGCCTCCCCACTAGGTCTCCCTCTGAGAATCTTCTCTCTAGCTGGAGAGAGGAACGACTAGGTGGCACTTTCACCTACCCTTTGTTTATATACTGCCAAGAACAGAGTAGACTCACTTCAAACTTGAAATAGTTCTTCTTAAGAGGAAGGTTGACAGGACTCAGTGACCTTGACTGCAAAGGACCTTCTTCTGTTCTGATGTGCACCTCTGATGCATCCACAACCTTAGTGTTTGACCCCAGCTATGCTGTTTTGCCAAGGCACCCCTTAAGCTTCCTACTATAAGTTTGGTTACTTTTAGAGTGTGGCAATGGAACAGAGAAAGCTTATACAAATACATGGATGCCCTGCTATTGATAACCTTATAATTAGTGTTAAAAGAAAAAGACTCCTCCCTCAAAACAAGGTGGCACTCAAGCCTCCCCACAAAGTTAATTGTCTACTTTTTTCACAGAAATTTCCAAGGGGATTATTTAACTCATAATTCACTGTACATTTAACATGACATCCTATTGCAATTTTTTGAAATATAGAAACATTCCATGGCTCTGTGATCTCGGCACAGAAGGCTTGGGACAAGCCCAACTGGTCAGGCCTGCCTCTGGGGCAGATGCTGAGTTGGGGTAGTGCAAGCTGGGTGGGCCCCACACTCATCTGCTGGGCTGAAAACCCTGGGCTGCATGTGCCTACCTGGTTGTATACCAGTTGTACCACTGCCCTGCCCAGGGATCTCCCATCTTTGACCCACTGCACTGCCAGACTACCAGCAGACATACCTTGCAAGCTCCTCTGAGCTGGAATCAATCCTACTGAAACTATTCAAAAAATTGAGGAGGAAGTGTTCCTGTTTAACTCATTCTACAAAGCCACCATCACCCTGATACCAAAATCTGGAAAAGACACAAGAAAAGAAAACTGCAAGTCAGTATTCCTGACGAACATCAACATAAAAATCCTCAAGAAAATACTAGCAAACCAAATCCAGTAGCACATCAAAAAGTTAATTCACCACAATCAAGTGGGCTTCATTCCTGCAATGTGAGGTTAGTTCAACATAAGCAAATCAATAAATGTTATTTGCCACATAAACAGGATTAAAAGCAAAAATTACATGATCATCTCAATGGATGCAGAAAAGGCTTTTGATAAAGTCCAGTGTCTCTTTGTGTTAAAAACCCTCAGCAAACTAGGCATTGAAGGAACATACCTCAAAATAATAATAGCTGTCTATGACAAACCCACTGCCAACATCAAACTGATTGGGCAAAAGCTGGAAGCCATCCCCTTGAGAATTGGAACAAGACAAGGATGCCCACTCATACCACTCCTATTAAACATAGTACTAGAAGTCCTAGGCAGAGCAATCAGGCAAAAGAAAGAAATTGAAGGCATCCAAATAGGAAAAGAGGAAGTCAAATGATCTCTCTTTGCTGATGATATGATTCTATACCTAGAAAACCCTAAGGATCTTGTCAGAAGGCTCCTAGACCTGATAAACCACTGCAGTAAAGTTTCAGGTTGCAAAACCAGTGTACAAAAATCAGTAGCATTTCTATACACCAATAATGTTCAAGCTGAGAGCCAAATCAAGAATGCAATCCCAATTTTAATAGCCACAAAAAAAATATCCAGTAACACATCTAACCAAGGAGGCGAAAGAGCTCTGCAAGGGGAGCTATAAAACACTGCTGAAAGAAATCATAGATGACATAAACAAATGGAAAAACATTCCTTACTCATGGATTAGAAGAATTAATATTGTTAAAATGACCATATTGCCCAAAGCAATCTACAGATTCAACACATTCCTATCAAACTACCAATGTCATTTTTCACAGAATTAAAAAAATTATTTTAAAATTACTCTTGAATAGCCAGCGCAATCTTCAGCTGCTATTTCAGCCCTCTGTTTACCCAGTGTCCTATCAGCCTTTTACCTGTTAGTTGTAGAATCCATTGATGATCCTTGCTTGAATTGGTGATTTCATTATAACTTGAAAAATAATTTTAAAATTCCATCATTTATGCATTTTTAATGGTGGCATTCTGTGAAGAAGTGCATTCCTTTGTCCACATTGGTTATTTGATTACCTTGAGCTACGTTTACTAATGTAAAGACAGGATGAATTCTTAATTTTTTCCCTTGAATTATCAATTTTCAGAGCTAGGAGGTGGCGTAGTAGCTATTTTTAATGGTGACAAATGCACTTTGTTTTTAATGTTGACTCTCTTTTAGATAAATGTTATTGCAGTTATTATTTTTTGTGCACAAATTGTTACAACTTCTTTAAGCTGGCTCTTATGTGCTTTTGACTTGATTACATTTATCTTTGACTTCTGGCCCAAAAGAATACCTTATGCCATAAACTATAATATATATTTTATATGAGGTACAAAATATACATGTTTTCATATGACTGTTATATATGTATTTGAAATTCTATCAGTATATATAAAATGAAAGAAAAGAATAATATGCTTTTGTTTAGTTCACCATTTATCAAAAATTCATTTTCCTTAAGTCTAATCATGTTTCTGCTTATGTATATTTTTTAAATTTTCTTTTCTAAATCATAGGAAATACCCTCTTTTTACATTCAACAGATTAAAAACCCCACTCAAATTGTACCCGATAGAATGTGAATAGCTCATATAAAATATGAGAGGAGGTAGCAGGCAACACTGTCTCAGCAATGTAAAGTTTCAATTTGAATTTCAAGGATCCCCACTATAATATTTGGGATCTTTAGTAATTCAACATTATATTTGTATGTAAATCAAGATAATGAACATGAATTTATACTGGACACAATACGTCTGGTTGAGAGATTTTTCTCTAATATATGGTTTGAACCCAAACCCAGGAAAGATAAATGGCCATATTTATTTAGAATTAAGGTTCTGCCTAGTGGTGTGACAGAAATTGAAAGGACAAAGGGACTTGAAATACTGGTAAGAATGATTGACATGGTGTCCTTTGGATTCTAAATGTCATCTGTATCATGAAGAGCTAGAATTAAGCCAGAAGGATTGAAGAGTATACCTGATCACAGGATCTCTAAATTAATATTTCAGTAGTGGCATATTTTTGGTGATGTACCTGACACATGGCATGTTATAGCAAATGTTTGTCAGATGAATGAATGACAAAGTCCAGGGAACAGCTAAAAGAATAGGTGGCAGGGGTGTATTTGATCATGTAAGATGAGATGGCAAGGAAATGAGAGTCAAATCTGGAGGATTTGGACATGACTATGCCAAATTAACTTTGTAATATAATTATTGGTTGATTTGCCTGAGTGATTAACATTAAATTATGAAGATACTTCCAGAAGGATGTAAGTTCAGTGAGTTGAGAGGCAGTGAACACTTTAGTTTTGTCAATAACTTAAAATTGATTTGGTGGGGTCAAATTATCTAGACTAGAATTAGCCTAGTGTAACTGTCTGTCTTACTTACTTCTTCAAGAATGTTTTACCTGTCCAAAAGGCGGCTTCACGAACTCTATGCATTTTTCTGCGTTATAATCGTAAACAAGAACAGAGACATGAGGTCATTCAAAAATTAATTGAACGTAAGTAATCATTGTCTACTATTTTGAAAAAGGAAAGTAAACAAACTAGTTGGCTTTAGTTATGTCTAACTTATGTATCATTTTGCTGTGAATAATTAGGTTACTATTGGGTTTTATAAGATGATTTTTATTTTCTAGAAATCCTTATGGCAAGATTAGATCTGTGATGAATGAAAGTAATAATTACTCTGTTTTCTTTTGTAAATGTCTACACTTTAGAAATTAAAATATATTTACTTATATTGAAAGCCCAGTATCTCCCCTGATGAAATAGCATTTGGAACTAAAATATAAATAGAATATCCATGCATCTAATCATTTATTTTATGGTCCTATTTCAATATTCACATAATTAACAGAATCTGGGATTTTTCTTTGAATAGAGTTGATAGTATATTTGAATATTAATTTGATGAGCCTAGTTGGTTTATAATGTCTTAAGAAACTAAGTCAGTTTACAAATGCAAATTTATTTTAATTTGTTAAGAGCTAAAATCAAGGCAAAAACATTTGGTTTATAGTATTGATTCTAGAAATAGTTGCACACACCTATATATACTTAGTGAGTTTGTTAATTATTGTATATTTGCTTTGCCCATAATGTCTTAATATTTTTACCAAACTATATTATCCAGCATAGGCAGGTAATGGGATTTTCTAGTTATTGGAGTTTACCAGTTTAAGTGTGTATCACTACTTTTCAAAAAATTAGAGTACTTTTATAAAATTCCATTTAAGAAAAAATATGCTCAGTATACTTTAATCTTTCTTTTTATAGTCTTATTTTAATTCGGTTTTCATTTTTCAGTGGCAAGAGCTCATGTTTAGAATGTTTTATTTTGAAAGAAGATTCAGTTTGGTTTTATTTTTGAACATTTATGTAAAAAGTAGAAAATTAACCTTTTAAATATTGACCTGAATTATTGTCAGTAATGCTGTTTATATATGACTGTATCTACTTTAGGCATTTTTAAGGAAACAAAGGGAAGAAAACAGTTAATTTGATTATTAAAACACTTAGAAGTTATACAGAGCTGTGTTTGAATTCTAGCTCTGCACCTGCCAGCTGTGTGACTTTAAACTCACTAAATCTTAGTATCCTTATCTTTTAAGAGGAAGAAGTATGTGCATCCCTTGGGCTGCTTTTCAGGGCTAAATGAGATAATATGTGTAAAGTACTTAGCACATAGTGGGTGATAAAAAGTAGTAAATACAGTCATTCCATAGTTAATAAATGCTTATGAAATTGAATGAAATGTTTGACAAAACTGTTTTATGGTTTTTGAGGTGTCATTTTGGGGATTTACAAACCTGAGGTATATAATAATGATATTTTTCCTCTTATGTCTTGTATTTGCTAGCCAAATTGTGGGTATGAAGAAACTTCTTATGCATTTTGTGTGTCTAACTTTGTCACTTTAATTTCATATAGGAAAAATTAACTTAAGATAATTTTTGTTGTTGTTTCTAGAATTGGGCCAAGGAAAAAGTTACTGGAATAGACTTCGATTTTTGGATACCTGTGAATTTATTATAGAGATATTTTCAAAATCATTTTTCTGTAAATATTTCTTTCTACCTGCTATTGAACTGACACATGATCCAGTAGCAAATGTGAGGTATGTTATCAATGAAGGAAAATATTGGAAATTGTATTTATTTTTATCTACTATAGTGAACATATGCAAAATCTTTTCCTTAGCCAATTAAAAACTTAAGTCAAGAATTTACACGTGCTTTGAAATTCTTAGTATTCATAATTGATGGGCATCAGTAAGACTTGGAAGCATACTCTTTCAACACTGTCTCAGATCTTTTGTCTTTACTGGGTTGAGAGCAGTTAGTCAAAGCCAGATTGGTAAGCTTCTTCGGCCATTTGGATATACACATTGAAATGATTAGAAGGTTGAGTAGATGTTATTAATTTATCTACCATTAAAACTAAAGAAAAGACGGTCAGTAGCCTTATCACTTCAAAGTTGTTTGGTGAGCATCCGTTAGTTTCTAGAGGCCCATTTATTCAAAGAAGTAGAACTGCTTCAAAGTCTTCATCTTGTCTTCTATGTTTTGCCTTATATTATTGAAATCCAGTAAAATGTTAATTGCATTTGATTAACTGTTAAGTTGGAAGGAACAGACCTGAAAATGGCTTGCCTGGAAATGGAAAAAAATAATAAATATATTTTGTCCTTTTTCTCTCCAAAAGAGCACATCACTTCCTTTTTTTTTACTGTGGTAAAATATGTATAATATAAAATTTACTATTTTAACCATTTATAAGTGTATAGTTGAGTGGCATTAAAGTACATGCACATTATTAAGAGCTATTTTTGTACATTTGATAATAGAATGAAAAGAATGTTAAACCCTCAGCCATTAGATTTCTGTGTTCTAAGTCCTGTGTCTCTATTTTGAACTTGAACTCAGATCTGCAGGAAAGAGAGACATCAGAGTCAGTTGGCCAAAGGCATTCCTGAACAAACTCTAGAACTCCCTGCTGAATTTTCATACATTGGGGCACTTAGTCTTATGCATCTGAAAGATGCATATGTACCACTTTTATAAACAACTGATGTGAATTTTAGGCAATATGTAAAACATCAAAACTTTTTAATAGGAAGAGTTGGTGAGATAATAAGCTAACTGAGATTAATAGTCTTGGTGTTGAGATATATATGAAGATGAATTGTCAAAAGATACCGAAAAGTTCAACTTAAGACTTTTATGAGCATTTTTTAATGGGAACAAATCTAGAAGTTTTTCTTTTGTATTTTAAATGTGAGAAAATACAGAAAGCACAACTGCATTGACTTTAGTTTTTGTTGCATATTTCTTGTGCTTTATAAATGAGAGGTGGGGTATTGCTGACATTTAAAGTGAATTGAAAAGAACCTTTTGGGCTGGGCGTCATGGCTCATGCCTGTAAATCCCAGCACTTTGGGAGGCCGAGGCAGACAGGATCACTTGAGGCCAGGAGTTTGAGACCAGCCTGGCCAACATGGTGAAACCCCATCTCTACTAAAAATACAAAAATGAGCCGGTCGTGGTGGCACATGCCTGCAGTCCCAGCTACTTGGGAGGCTGAGGCAGGAGAATCGTATGAACCTGGGAGGTGGAGGTTGCAGTGAACCGAGATCACACCACTGCACTCCAGCCTAGGTGACAGAGCAAGACTTCGTCTCAAAAAAAGGAACCTTTGGTAATTCTTTAGATTTTAGCTCTTCCTAAACAACTAATGGGTCCATCTTTATGAACATTTTGTGAATTAAAATTGTGATTCTATAAAAGCAACTTTCAATGTGATGTATTGTCACTTATCAGGCAGTTGACAAAAATAATTTGAAAGGAAACGAAATCATCTCTACTTTGATCAGTGTAACTAAGAGCATAACATTGACTCTTTGAGAAAGAAATCTGCCAATTCAAAAAACCAAATGAAGAGTAATTAAATATTACTCTATTAATTTCAGAGATCTGCAGGGCAGCAGATTATTGTATAACTGTGTGTCTTGGTTCCTACTCTCTTGCCTGGCCAGCTGCCAGCCAAGATATGTGTCCAGCAACACTGTATGCTAACTGGCTTTGGGTATAAAAGCCCTTGCTCAGTGCTTTAGGGATGTGCAGATAGAATGAAAGCCATCACAGGCAAGGGTGGTAGGATCATGTTGGTTAGGAGGACAGTTTCCGGAGCCACACTCCCTGAGCTGAAATTCCAGCTCTATATTAAATGTGTATCTTTAGCCAAGTTACAAAACTTCTGTGTGCATTGATTTCCTTAGTACCTAATTTATAAAGTATTCTGAGGTACAAATAACTGAGATAATATACATAAATTATCTGAAAGGTGTGGTCCCTAATCTCAAGAATTTGATCATCTCATGGGCCCAGGAGTCTCATAGAGATGAATCATTACGATGGCTTGGGTAGCTTCTGCTGAATATCTGTTTTCTAGACATGCCTTGGGTTATAAAGAATGGAGTGTGCATAGATTGTTAAGTGTTTTTGTTTTTCCTTAAGTTAATGTTTAAAATTTAAATTCACCAAGTTTAGACAATGTCAAGCTGGAAAAAGACTCTTGGTATTCAGAGAAGCCTTTTCCACAGCTGCCAGAAATGAAATAATTTATTTGGGGGGATTGATACTCCTTAATTAGAGAAAGCATTACTAGGTTTAGCTGTATCCGTGGTGAGCTGTGAATGAGATTGAGACCATTGTTGCTATTTACAATGCTGGAAATTCTACAGGAGGAGCTTCTTTACCCTTTTTGGTTAAATCAAAAGCAAATTTTGTTGTATATGAAGAATCCTCAAGTAAAAATTCAGCTGAGAAAGTGTTCTGGAAACTCTAAAAATGGGATTCAGGTGTCTCAAGGTTGCAATAAAAATAAAAAATAATAATTTGTAGAGCATTCAGATGAATAAATGAATATAGCAGCTATAAAATAGATACCCACCTAGCATCCCTCTCTAAAACAGCCATGGAAAAAGAGTAGACTTTTAGCTTAGCAAAGGAGAGTATTTCCTCTGAAATGCCTCCTCCTGGAAAGGCTTTTTTTTAGGCTCTGGGATTTACTCTTAACTTCCTGGCATTCTTCAACCTCCTTGTTTCTTCCTTTCCAACCCAGTCTAGACTGTGGTAGTGCCTTAGACCACCTTAGACTAGGTCCTTTTATCCTTTTCTTCTCTAACTGTACACATTACTTTGGTGATCTCTCCCATTTCATGGTTTAAATATCATCTCCTTGCTGAAGATTCCTCACTCTATCTCCAGCATTGACATCTACCCTGGACAGCCAACTTATTGAGCCTGTTGCCCACTTGCATTTCCATTGCATATCTGATAGAAATCTCAGACTTAATCTGTCCAGAATTAAATCTTCATCTTTCTTATCTGCTTTTGCTCCTTCTGTAGTCTTCTCCATCTCAGGAAATAACCATCACATCTGCTTAGATGAAAACCTTAAATAAATTCTTCTCTCTGTCATTCTACCTCCAATCCCTCAGCACATCCTGCTGCTGGTAAAAGATATTCAGAATCCGGACTGGGCGCGGTGGCTCCTGCCTGTAATCCCAGCACTTTGGGAGGCCAAGGCAGGCGGATCACAAGTTCAGGAGATCGAGACCATCCTGTATAACATGGTGAAACCCTGTCTCTACTAAAAATACAAAAAGAAATTAGCCAGGCATGGTGGCGGGCACCTGTAGTCCCAGCTACTCGGGAGGCTGAGGCAGGAGAATGGCATGAACCTGGGAGGCGGAGCCTGCAGTGAGCCGAGATCACACCACTGCATTCCAGCCTGGGCGACAGAGCAAGACTCTGTCTCAAAAAAAAAAAAAAATGGTATTCAGAATCCAACTACTTCTCACCACCTTTTACTGCTACCACTCTGGTTCAATGTACCATCATCTCTTGCCTGAATTATTGTAAGAGCTTTTCCTATTGTTTCTCTTTTTCTGTTCTTGACTAGCTGCAGTCTAATTTCAACACAGTAGACAGATGATGCTTGTAAAACATTGTCAGATCATTTCACCCCTCTGCTGAAAACCTACCAATGGCTTCTTGTCATACTCAAAATAAAAGACAATTTCCTTACAGTAGCCCTCAAAGCCTCTTATTTACCACTCTGAGCTCTCCTGCTAGTCTCACCTTCACTCTGTTTAGGCATAGTGGCCAATTTGCTCATTTGGACCAACAGTAGAGACAAGCTCTCTATATTTGCTGTGATGCTCTTTTCCAGATATTCACATAGCTCATTCCCTAATTTTCTTTAGGTCTTTGCTTAAATATCATCTTTTCAGTGGAACCTTCAATGACAACCCTCTTTGGCCACCTGCTTTAAAACTGATTAATCCCCTGCCCCTGGTACTCCCTTGTCTTTATTCTTCACTTTATTTTTCTCCATAGCATTTAACACTATCTGACAGATTTTACTTGTTTCTTTTCTCTTCTCTGCTCCCATACTAGAATGTAAGTTCCAGGAGAGCAGAGAATTTTGTTGGTTTTATTTACTGTTGTATCTCAGCATCCAGAATGATGAATGTTTGACACATAATAGACACTCCATGAATATATCTTGCATGAATAAATGAACTCTCAGGCTATCTAAAACTTGATTTTTGTTTTATGTTTCTGTTATTCTTAGTTATTAACTTCACTCAAGAGTAAATACTATTTTATTGTAGAATGAAACTTTGCTACCTGTTGCCCAAAGTGAAATCTACTCTGAAGATTCCTGCTGATAAGCATCTACTTCAGCAGTTAGAAATGTGTGTGAGGAAACTCCTGTGTCAAGAAAAAGATAAAGATGTTCTGGCTATTGTAAAAAGAGTAAGTATCACTCTTGCCACAATGTTGCATTTTTTGCATTAAGGCAGTAAGAATCTTAGCTTCACTATTTCAGCTTGACAGGATAGCAATATATTACAATATTTTTATCCTTGCTAAAATTGTAAGAATTAGTAAATGATTTGGTTGATATGTGCTACAACTGGATATGAAACTTTCGAAGGGCACCTAGACATTAAACCTGTATTACTAGTAATATAAGCCCATGTTGAGAGAGTTTGACACATGTTAGGTGCTCAATAAACACTGTTCAATTAATAATGAATGTTTTATTCATCAGACTTTCTTTATAAGTGATTATAATCCAGTGAAACTTTGTTGGTAAAATTGGCAAAGTCACATTTTATAGAAACTTATCCCTGGAAGGGCCCTTTGAGTTAATTCAGGGGTCTGTTTGACTTTATAGAAGTTATATGCCTAGAAATATTGTGTCTACTTGAGATCATATTAGTAAGTAGCAGAATCAGGAGGACTAGAATAGAGACCTCTTACCTGCTCCTGAGTGCATTTCTTTGTAAATAATGTAACATTGTATCCTATGAGTTTTTTGTTTGTTTTAGCATGAGATCTTAGTATATGGATTCTTTGGAGATGTTGGAAAAACTAAACAGTAAAAATTTGGGTTAGTGAGCCACATCTTAGAATAATTTTTACTCTTCAAAAATTGTTTATGCTGAATATATAACTAATATTTTTATAAGTTGAAGTGAAATTATTTACTTTTATGAATCTGAATATAAACTTCAGGACACATTGTTTTTGAGCATTTATTTATAGTGAGGGAAATTTCCTTATTAGTGTCATAAATAAATTAGCATACATGGTGAGAAAAGAGAGAATTCTTATTTTTTCTCTTTTTTTCTAGAAATCATTGCCAGATGTCACATGAAGAATCTTTTAATTAAGTGATTTGATGACTTAGTATGAATTAGTATAGTTTTAGTTTTAATGAAATGTGAATTCTTCTTTCATTAACTGGTATAACCAGAAATACGTAGAGTTGCACATGCATTTAAATCTACACACACACACACACACACACACACACACACACTTGTTTCTACCAGACAGTTCCTTCCTTACTATTTAATATTTAAGTATAGAAGTTTAGGCAATGGAGTTAACTTGTCAAAATAATAAACATGAGATGGTTAATTACTTTTCCAGAATAATTTATTAATTCAAGAGACAATATAAGCTAATGCTATACAGGTGTAACAGTGATGTAATAAAATTAATGGATTATTAGTCTATAGTGGATTATTCTGGAGTACAGCTCTTATTTTCAGTATGCTGCATATAGTGAAGCCAGTCTGTCACATGGAAATTCTGTAGTATAATGAGACATTAGTATGGAAAACTCCCAGGAAGCTACACAAAACTTTTGGATAAAAATTGAATAGTTTCATCAGTTTTATAATATGAGAAGTAACTTTATTTAAAAAGAGAGTCTTTCATGGCATGCATTATGAATTTTTCATAAATTTCAGCAGAAAAAGCTTCCACTAAATTTTATGTTTGTCATGGATAGCTTTGGGCATATGCATATCCAAATGTACTTTATTTTGGCCATTAGGGTTACTCTTGTAGAATAAGTTTTAGAAGTACTGCCCTCTATCAGAGACAGAACCCTGGGTTAGATTGACCATTGTTTTGATTGGGATAATTTGTTTCAAACTAGTGTATTCCAAAAGACAAATAGTAAATTGAGAGAATATTTTCAGAGCAGATATAAAATTTCTACAGAAGGGAACTAAGGATTATTAGGCCCCATGATGGCTTGTCTCATTCATATATAGCTAAAAGACTTTTTAAAACTTCAAAAGCTACATTATGTTTCTGAAAATTCAGAAAAGATTGGCACTGGGAGTTACTAGAAATTAGTTAGATTATATGCATTTGGTATTTGAAATATGCCTGTAGACTTGGTCTTCTTAAGGTTAAAAACTTTCAAAAGTTAAAATTGACCCTGGCATGATTGTATAAAGATTGATTGTAAGTACAATGTAGAATTGGGCAGAACTTTAGTTTTCTGACTTAGTCTTCCCCCTAGTGCAGAAGTCTTCTATTTGAACCTCCATTTGCAAAATAAGTTGCTGAGAAATGATTGGTTGTTTTAATTTAATTACTTTAGAATAATTTTAAAAACTTTCCTTATAGACTGTATTAGAGTTGGACAGAATGGAAATGTCTATGGATGCTGTAAGTATACTCTCTTTACCTTATTGTGTTGGTCCATTTTCATGCTGCTGAAAAAGACATACCCAAGACTGGGCAATTTACAAAAGAAAGAGGTTTAATTGAACTCACAGTTCCACGTGGCTGGGGAGGCCTCACAATCGTGACAGAAGGCAAGGAGGAGCAAGTCACATCTTACATGGATGGCGGCAGGCAAAGAGAGAGCTTGTGCAGGGAAACTCCCCCTTACAATACCATCAGATCTCGAGAGACTCATTCACTATCATGAGAAGAGCATAGGAAAGACCCACCCCCATAATTCAGTCATCTCCCACCCGGTCCCTCCCACAACATGTGGGAATTAGGGGAGCTACAAGATGAAATTTGGATGGGGACACAGAGTCAAACCATATCATTTATATTGAAAGGAATATTTTAAACTTGGCAGAAACTCATCACTAATGTTTCACAATTTCATTTTAAACTTTAAACAGTTTCAGAAAAAGTTTTATGAGAAAGATTTGTTGGATCAAGAGAAAGAAAGAGAAGAACTACTTCTTTTGGAAATGGTATGTTGTTTTCACATGCACACACATATACTCTTTTCTGATTAATAACTGTGTTTTTTTATTAAACTTAATCATTTCTTTCCATTTCACCATTTCACATTACTCTTTTTTCTTCTTAAATGATAGTCCAGTTTTTTGAAATCTGTTCTTTTATGAACTAGATAGAAAACTATATTTGAGAGCCTTTTAAAAAAACTACTTTGCTGAAGTATAATTGACAACTACATATATTTAAAGTGTACTATTTAATGAATTTTGACATATCGATGAAACCATCACCACAATGAAAATATGAAACATTTCTATTCCTTTAAAGATTTCTGCCCCTTTGTAATCCATGTCTTCTACTCTAGTCCCCAACAACCAATGATATAGTTTCTGTCACTGTAGATTAGCTTGCATTTCCATAATTTATATAAATGGAATCATATATTAGGTATTAATACTATTTTTGGTCCTGCATCTTTCTACCAACATAATTACTTTGAGATTCATCCATATTATCGTATGCATCAAGAAGCCATTCCTTTTTATTTCTGAGTAGTAGTCTATATTTCGGATATATCACAATTTGCTTATCCATTCACCTCTTTATGGACATTTGGCTTACTTCTAATTTGGGGATATTACAAATATAGTTGCTTTGAACATTAGTGAAGAAGTCCTTGAGTAGACCTGTTTTCATTTCTCTTGGGTAAATACCTAGGAATAGAATGGCTGATTTGTATGGCATGCTTAACTTAAAAATAAAATAAAACTAAATTTAAAAAAATGGCCGGGTGTGGTAGCTCATGCCTGTAATCCTAGCACTTTTGGGAGGCCGAGGCAGACGGATCACGAGGTCAGGAGATCAAGACCATCCCGGCTAACATGGTGAAACCCCATCTCTACTAAAAAATACAAAAAATTAGCTGGGCATGGTGGCGGGTTCCTGTAGTCCCAGCTACTCAGGAGGCCGAGGCAAGAGAATGGCGTGAACCCGGGAGGCAGAGCTTGCAGTGAACCGTGGTTGTGCCACTGCACACCAGCCTGGGTGACAGAGTGAGACTCTGTCCCCCCAAAAAACAAAACAAAACAAAAAAACCTGCTTTCAAGTGGTTGTACCATTTTACATCTACATTGTCTATGCTGGAAAGCTTTAGTTACCAGCCATACTATTGGGTATGTAATGGTATCTCATTTTTTTTTTAATCTCTTTTTCTATTCCTGATGCCTAAAGATGTCAAGCATCTTGTCTTTGCTTACTGGCCATCTTTATCTCTTATTTGATAAAGTTTGTTTTCAGAATTTTAAGTGGGTTGTTTATTATTGTTGAGAGGTAAGAGCTTTTAATTCATTCTGAATACAATTTCTTTCACAGATATACATATTATGAATTTTTTCTTGGAGTCTGAGGCTTATCTGTTCATTTATTAATGGTGTCTTTTGAACAACAGAAATATTTGATTTTGATGAAGCCCAGTTTATCAATTCTTTCTTTGATAATTCTTTTTTGTTCCAAGAATCCTTTGTCTGTCCCAAGATCATAGATTTTTTCCTCTATTTTCTTTTAAAAATTTTCATTTTAGGTTTTATATTTAGGTTTATGATCCATTTCAAGTACATTTTTATATAATATATGTTTATTTTTTTCCATAGGGAATATTCATTTATTCCAGCACCATTTGTTAAAAAGCCTTCTTTTCCCCATTGAATTGTCTTAGCGTCCTTAAGAAATAGTTGTACACATATGTGTCTATTTCTTGACTTCCTATTATTCTGTTCCACTTATTTATAAGTTTATCTTTTAAGCAATACCAAACTGTCTTGATCACTGTAACTTTATAGCGTTCTTGAAATTTGGTAGGATACGTTTTCCATCTTTGTTCCCTCTTAAAATTGCTTTGGCCAGTCTAGGGCCTTTGCATTTTGATATGAAGTCTGGAATTTATTTCTACGTATTTTATGTTTTTGGCATTATTATAAATGGAAGTATACATTTTTTTATTTCACTTTCCAGTTTTTTGTTGCTGGAGTATAAGAATACTGTTGATTTTTATATATTAACCTTGTATCTTATAAACTTTCTAAATTTGTTTATTCTAAAAATTGTTTTTTAGATTTTCTAAAACTAAAATTTTATACGTAAGTGATCATATCTTCTTTAAATACAGCAATATTACTTCTTTCTATTCAATATTTATGCCTTTTGTTTCTTTCTTTTGTCTTATTGCAAGATCCAGGACCTCCAGTAAAATTAAGGTGGTACAAGTAGGCATCCTTGTCTTTTTACTGATCTTAGGGGGAAACAGTTCAGTCTTTCATCATCAGGTATGATGGTAGAAATAGGTTTTATGTAGATTCCCTTTATCAGATTGAGGAAGTTACCTCTTACTCCTAGTTTGCTAGGAGTTTTTATGAATGGTTGTTGCATTTTGTTGTATCTAGAAATGATATTTGATTTTTCTCCTTCATTCTGCTAATATACTGAATTACACTGATTTTTCAAATGGTAAACCAATGTTGTCTTTTGGAGATAAACCCTATTTGGCAATGGTTTATTGTCCTTTTTCTCCATTGGATCCTTGGCTAATGTTTTTGTTAAGGGATTTTGCATCTGTATTCATAGATTCATAGTGAAATTGGCCTATAATTCCCCTTTTTGTCATTTTTGGGATTAGATTTGGTATTAATGTTATTCTGGCCTCATAAAACAAGATGGATGGTATTCCCACCTTCTCTATTTTCTGACCAAGTTTGTATAACTTGGTTTTATTTTTGCCTTAAGAGTTTTATAGAATTCACTAGTGAAGTTATCTAAGCCTGGAATTTTCATTTTGGAAAGTATTTTGATAATTGATTCTATTTCCTTAGTAGACATTAGATAATGTAGATCTTCTGTTTCTTCTGTTGTCAATTTTGGTAAGTTGCTTCCCTTCCACCCCAGTTTACATGTTATTTAAACTGACAAATCTGTTGGCATGAAGTTATTTATAATATTCTATTATCCTTTTAATTATGGCATTAATCTATGATGATAACCATTTTATTCTTGTGTTAGGGATTTCCTCTCTCCTTTTTTTGGAAATTTTTTTTGCTTGTTTCTCTAGGGATTTTAATATCCATACCTAACCTTTTACAGTCTACATATTGTTATTATTATATCATGTCACTTAACAATAATACAAATCTCTTTACCTCCTCCACACCCATTCTTCATGTTACAGTTGTCATATGAATTATATCTGCATTGAAGACCCCACCAGTGTTGTAATTTTGCTTTAAGTTGTCATATGTATCTTGAAGAATACACTCTTAGTGTAAACTTTTACATTTACTCAGATCTTTACCATTTCCAGTGCTCTTCATTCATTGCTTAAGATCTAAATTTCCCTCTGGTATTTTTTTCCTTAAGATAAAAGAATTTTCTTTAGCAAATCTTGAAGCACAGGTCTTCTGGTGACAACTTCTCTTATTTTTTCTTTATCTAAAATGTCTTATTTTTACCTTCATTCCTGAAGGATATTTTCACTGGGTATAGAAGTCTGGGTTGACAGCCTTTTCCTTACTGCATTCTAATAATGTGTTTCTGTCTGTCTTCTGGCCACCATAACATCTGATAAAATAGCTACTCTCATTGAATTGTTGATGCTTCTTTATGAAGCATTGTTTTTCTCTGGACACTTTAAATATTTTTTTCCTTTAGCTTTTGTTTTTAGCAGCTTACTTTTGATGCATCTAGGCATTATTTACTTGAAATTTATCCAGTTTGGATTTGGTAATCTTACTGAACCTGTAAATGTATATCATTCCCCAAATTTGGGAAGATTTGGTCATTGTTTATTTAAATATATATTCTCTTCCAATTTTTCTCTCTCTTATTTCTGGGTCACCAGTTGCACATATATTAGATCGTTTATTATTGTCCGTAGGCCAAGAGGCTTTGTTCTTTCTCAATTTTTAAAAAAACTCTGTGCTACTCAGTGTGAATAATTTCTCTTGATGTATCTTCAGTGTTACCAACCCTTCCCTGTCATCTCCATTCAGCTGCTGAGCCTATCCAATTAATTTTTTTATTTCCAATATTATATTTTTCAGTTCTAAAATTTCCATTTGGTTCTTTTAGTGTTTTCTATTTCTATGCCAAGAATTTGTGTGACTAAAGTGGAAATTTTATTATTTCAGCAGCCTTTCAAAGCAAGATTAGAATTCAGGATTGCCAGTGGGAGAAACTGTAGGGAAGACTCTAAAAAATTTTAGGACCAAATGACCTAGCCCAAGACAAAAACAGACAATAGAAAGAGAACCGCAGATAATCCTGATACTGGAATTAGTAGACAAGGACTTCAAGATAACTGTGATTAATATGATCAAGATAATAGAGGCAAACATGTAGAAAATAGATAACTCCGTTAATCCAACCCAATGAAAATTTTCAGTTTTATGCTTTATTTCTGTTTTAGAATTTCCATTTGATTTTTTTATGTAGTCCACTTCTATGTGGAAATTCTTTATCTTATTTTCTCCATATTTTTCCTTAGTTTACATGTGCATTTGAAAAGAATATTTATTCTCCACTTGTTGACTCTAGTATTCTAGCATGTCAGTTATACCAAGTTTGTTCAGAACTTGCTGTGTTTGTTGATTTTCATGCCTATTCTGTTAGCATAAGGGCCTCCTGTGTTTTGGTAACGTTTTGTTTCATGATATTGGAGCTGGTTATACAAGTGCGTCTATTTTGGGAAAATTCATTGAGCTATGAATTTGTATACCTATAATTTGTGTACTTTCTTTATACATATTTATGTATGTATATTTGAGATGGAGTCTCACTCTGTCACCCAGGCTGGAGTGCAGTGGCATGGTCCAGGCTCACTGCAACCTCCACCTCCCGGGTTGAAGTGATTCTCCTGCCTTAGCCTCCTGAGTAGCTGGGATTACAGGCGTGCATCACCATGCCTGGCTAATTTTTTTTATGTTTTTAGTAGAGATGGGGTTTCATCATGTTGGCCTGGCTGGTCTCAAACTCCTGATCTCAGATGACTCACCCATCTTGGCCTCCCAAAGTGCTGGGATTACTGGTGTGAGCCACTGTGCCCAGCCTCTCTATGTATATTATACTTAAATAAAGCATTTAAAAATATCCAAGACCATTTTCTTTTCTCTCAATCTTTTTAAAGAAAGATATTATTTAGCCATTTACCAATCTGAAATTGAAACGACCAAAGTAATGGATATTTTGCTAATGTGATTTAGGAAATACCGTCTAGAAAATGAAGGGTAATTATTACAATGATACCAAACTCATTGTTTTAGCTTGACAAACCCTCAAGGGCATAATTCTGTAGATATGAAAAGAGCACAAATCTGAAAGAACCCTGAATTCTTTAGACACTAACATTGGAAAAAAATACTTCTTTTAGGCATTTTTATGAACTTTACTTGAATCTCTAATGCTTAATTTCTCAGAACAATTTTCTAGACCTACTTCAGTTGTACCTTTAATGCAAGATACTGTCTTAATAACAGGAACAATTAGAGAAAGAAAAGCAACAGAATGATGGAAGGCCCATGAGTGATAAAATGTTTGAAAAGAAACGTAAGTAGTTTTTCTATGTCTTCAACACTTAATTACATAATTAATGTTGCATCCTGGTATTCTGAAAGACCATGCTGAATTTTTTATTTGATATGGAAAATTGCTTTACTTTCTTTCATTTTTGAAAAGTCGTTTTTGAAAATTGGCCACTTAATGTGGTACAGATGTTAAGAGTACATGAATGAAAGGCAGGAACCAGGGTGGACGTTCAGATGCTTCAAAAGAAAAGCTTCAAGTCTGATAACAGCTGTAAGATTGTGAAATTGATCACTGAATAACAAAGATTGAAATATGTAAATATTACCAAGTAAGAATATTTGGAAAAGAAAGCTGCTTAGCTAGGGATAGTGATTCATATTGTCTGAGTTGTCTTGTGTATTTATGGAGATTAATAAGGACTTAGAGGAAATTATACAACTTAAAGCAGAATTTATTTTAGGTAGAGACACTAAGACACCAACGCAAAGTCTGCCCAAGAACATCCCCATTTCTGTTCCTGGACCCTCTTCTGTCACCCCATCGACAAGTAAGAAATAACTTCTTTTTATATCTTTTTGTAATTTTTCTTCCTTGTATACAAATTGCTGGGAAAGTCACTCTATTAGATGAGATACAGTAGGATAATATATCTCATTCTAAAGCACTTTTCACCTTCTATCATTAGGTGTTTTGGTAGTTTTTAATTGGTAGTAAGGGTAAGAGATACTTCAGTGAGCTCAAATTAAGGAAAAAAGGCTAAAGCCATCTGTGTTTTACTGAAAATGATGGTAGTTGGGGAGGGAATGGGGGTTGGAGCAGCCGAGGATGAACTGAATACATTTTTCTTTTTTCTGCTTATTGCTCTAGGTAAAGAAATCAAGAAATCCAAACTGATTCGAAGCCAGTCTTTTAATAATCAAGCTTTTCATGCAAAATATGGCAACTTAGAGAAATGTGCTAGGTACGATCTGTAAGCCCTTCAATTTTTAACATAATTTTTATCTTTATTCACATCTTCATATATATGAGTTTACATTTTATAAAAATCAGAATTAATTTTGAGGTTTTTTTATAGGCCAGTATTTTGTGAGTGTTCTTCTGTAGGGATTGTTATATTTAAAAATAAGAGACCTCCAACAATTTTCACAAAAATAGGTATTCTGGCATTCTAGGAAGAATACTGACATGATACTATTTAATAATATCATAGAATCCATATATTATTTCATGAGGGAGATAGTAGTATATCACATGTGCCACTTAACTTTTAATACGTATGAGTATGTTCCATTATCTAAATGTATATAGACATCCCTTTGCTACTAATATTGTTTCTGTCTATAAAGAATCCATTGGCATGTTCATATGATAAAGTGATCACAGCAGAGTTAGCGTGACAATAGATGAATGTCTGGTTTCCCCTTTAGCCCAGGAGACAAAATTACAAGCAGTTAAGATTAGGATAGAATCAATATAAGTTAAATTACCATGATTTTTTATATGTGCTATACAAACTGCTGTATGTCAATTGACAAGCAAAATAATTTTAAGAAAACAAATATCTTTAAAACTATTCCTTTGTCTATCAAGATAAATTACATGTTTCAGGAAAAAGTATTTTTCTTTTATTAAAGATAGCTTCTTACAGAATTTCAGCTGTGTTTTTGGGCATTATCAGTAGATCCATCAAGAGTACCTGGCCAGTAGAGTGATCTCAAGATAGAAAAAAGAGATTATAACTAAAGATAAGTTTTGTTTCCAAGAAAATTTTACCCATTTTAGCTGCCTTGCTTGAACCTCAAAAGAAAAACTGTAATTCTGATGAAGCAAAAGTTTAAGGAAATGCTTTCAAGTTATAGACGAAGTAAGTGTTGTGAGGCATGAATATAAAAAAAATGAGAAATAAAAGCAACAAACGTTTCATAAGTAGAGGAAAGCATTAAAAAGAAGATTAAAACAGCACAAGTGTTAGATGACTGAGATTGTAAGAAGTGTGTTTTTGTATTTTAAACTAAATCATGTTGTTTTCTAGTAAAAGTTCTACAACAGGATATACAACTTCTGTCTCAGGGTTAGGAAAGACTTCTGTGCTTTCACTAGCTGGTAAGTAGCAATCTAAGTTCTTCAAAAAGTTGCTAAATTTAACAAAATATTATTTTCCTTAAATGACCTATTTCTTTAGTACTAGATGTAGTGTTTTCTTAAATCTAAATCTTTATCAGGTCCCTAAGAAATTAAACTTTTGTCTAGCAATTGAGAAAATATTTGACTAAACTATTTTGTCTTCACTGTGTCAAGACTCAAGAGTTTAGTACTTTTAAAATAGAAAAAGAACAAAAGTGATAGGGTATGTTTTGCCATACTGGGAAGGTTTACTGAGGCACAGACAAAAAGGTTTTGCAATAATTTTTAGGGAAGTTAAAAACAACAGGACTTCACTGTAAATCTAGATGAACAGCTAGACATTTACAATATTATGTATTTGGAAGTTTGTGGCAGGGGTCAGCACATTTCCCTGAAGGGCCAGAAGGTAAACATACAGGCTTTGTTGGCCAAATTGAACTCTGCTGTTACTGAGTAAAAGCAGCTATAGACAGTACATAATGAATAGATATGGCGGTGTTCCAATAAAACTTTATCTACAAAAACAGGCAGTGGATTGACCCACAGACTGTAATTTGCTGGCCTCTGGTTTATATAATAGAGCATAGAATTATACTATAAATAATGTAGACTATATTGTTAAAATTACTAGTGGCTAAATGTGTGTTTTTAACTTTATGCTTTGGAGATACTGGTTGAAAATTTTACTATTGATCTATGGTAATTTTTTTAGGTGTAAATAGTAGTGAATCTGCTCAAAGATCTGAAATTTTTAAGAGATTAGTTACATTTTCTTTTTAGGTTACATTTTGAGTATTCTGTCTTCTTTTTCTTTTTCTTTTTAATTCTTAGGAGGAATGTATATACTCATTGGCTCTTCTGTAAACTGGTTCATTTGCTGGAAGAGAAAATCTTTCTAGCATTAAAGCATCGACATTCACGTACAGTATATAGAGTGGTTTTCTGCAAGGTAGATGGTGATTATCGCAAGAAATAATTTGATAACAGAAAGTTGATTAACTAAAATTTTCCCCATATCTTGGACTATAAATAATAAAACCATTGATTACTTTCAGCTCAGTAAAGCTGTGAATTCTTTAGGAGGTACTAAGGAACATTCAGAGTTTAAGAACTTTATTTAAAATATAGAGTGCCTTTAAAAATTTTAGTGTACAAAACCAGTTTGAATTAGCTTCGAGCTAATGGTGCAGATGATTATAGATGTTCATAAGGGGTTCTTCAGACTTGGATGGATCTCACCTGTCCTCTTGGTACTTCTTCACTTAGCTGTAATGAGCATGTTTATTCATGATTTTGTAACATTTTTTGTCAAGAAATTTCTTTGTCTAAATCATTAAGAATATTGATTCAGAAGTGGTTTTTAAAAGTTTTAATTAAGTGCATTAATTTATTTAGTTTTAACTTTGCTAGTTTTTAAGTGACCTTAAGAACCAAGAGAGTAGATATGGTCCACAGATTCTAAAACTTACATCCAAAGTCTTAAGTTATGTATTTTATGAGGTGTATTTGTCTGTTCTCATGCTGTTAATAAAGACATACCCAAGACTGGGTAATTTATAAAGGAAGAGGTTTAATTGACTCACAGTTCCACACGGCTGGGGAGGCCTCACAATCATGGCAGAAGGCAAAGGGAAAGCAAGACGTGTCTTACATGGCAGCAAGCAAGAGGGTGTATGTAGGGGAACTGCCCTTTTATAAAACCACCAGATCTCGTGAGACTTATTCACTATCACGAGAACAGCATGGGAAAAATTCGCCCCCATGATTCAGTTACCTCCCACCGGGTCCCTCCCACAACACATGGGGGTTATTACAGTTCAAGGTGAGATTTGGGTAGCGACACAGAGCCAAACTATATCATGAGAGTAAATATTTTATTAAAATATTTGAAAAATATTCTATTTTAATGTCTCAATATTATTTTTAGTTGAGGGAGAACTGTAGGTTGAATGAAATATCTCCTAGAGTTCTTGGTTAGAAAAAGGTGCTTATTATTGTTATTCATTACTTAAAATAGAAACTGAAAATATTTACTATGTAATACATCTATAAAGAGAAAATGGAAGCAGAACATCTTTTAACAAATTTGTCAGATGTTTGCATAGAGAAGAGATCTTATTTGTCGGACTCAAAACAGGCTTCAAGATGATTATGTCATTTGAGATGAACCTTAAGGTATGCTAGGATTTTGACAGGCAGAGATGTGTATAGAATAACATTCCATTCACAGTACCGGTCATAAACAAAAGATGATTGTTGGTGTTTTCAGGGAGCAGCAGCTGACTAGTTTGGCTGGAGTGTGGAGTGAGTATAATGGAGTAGTGTTACATAAAACTGTAAGGAGGCCGGGCGCTGTGGCTCACGCCTGCAATCCCAGCACCTTGGGAGGCTGAGGTGGGCAGATCATGAGGTCAGGAGATCCGGATAATCCTGGCTAACACAGTGAAACACTGTCTCTACTAAAAATAAAAAAAAAAAAATTTAGTCGGGCGTGGCGTCAGGCGCCTGTAGTTCCAGCTACTCAGGAGGCTGAGGCAGGAGAATGGTGTGAACCCGGGAGGCAGAGCTTGCAGTGAGCCGGGAGAGAGAGCGAGACTCCATCTCCAGAAAAAAAAAAAACAAAAACAAAAACAAACAAACAAACAAACAAAACTGTAAGGAAAGGTCAGAGTCAGAGCTTGGAATGCCAGATTGGATACTTTTTACTTAACACGAATCCACTGTTCATTGTGTGGGGACTTATGCCTGTCTTCAGTTATACTACTCAAAACTGTTCAGGAAAGTCTGAGAAACTGTCACAGCCAAGGAGAGCCTAAGGAGAACTAACAAGTAAATGTGATATAGTATCCTGGATGGGATCCTGAGACAGAAGAAGTTGCTATTAGATAAAATAATAACTACTATGGATTTTAGTTAATAATGTATCAGTATTGGTTCATTAAATATAATAAATATAGCATACTTATGTAAGCTGTTAGTAGAGGAAATTGGATGAGGGGAATATATGAGAATTATTCTGTCATCTCAATTTTTCTGTAAATCAAAACTGTTCTGAAAAAGACAGTTTATTTAAAAAAATAACATTTACAGTATCTTCAAAAACACTAAGTGCTCAGGGACAAATTTAACAAAATATGCTAGAGATACATAAAAAACTTTGAAATATTGCTGAAAGAAGCTAAAGACCTAAATAAATGGAGAAATATAACATGTTTATGGATTGAAAAACTTAATATTGTTCCAATGTCAGTTTTTTTCTAAATTGATCCAGAGATTCAGTGAAATCCTAATTAAAATTCTAGTAGTCTTTTTGCAGAAATTTATAAGCTGATTCTAAAAATCTGTATTGAAATGCAAAAGGACCCCAGTGTAGCCAAAATAGTTTTGAAAAAGAAAAAGCTGGAGAACTTAAATATAAGTTTGATTTCAACAATTACTATAAAATGCTGGTAATCAAGACATTGTGTTCTATGTTGTCATATATAGTCAGTAGATTTTAACAAAGGCTTCAAAGATAAATCAATGGTGATAGAATAATATTTTAAAAAATGGTGCTGGATGGACCAATTCCTGGAAAGACACAATTCATCCAGGTGCAGTGGCTCATGCCTGTAATCCCAGCAATTTGGGAGGCAGAGACGGGTGGATCACCTGAGGTCAGGAGTTCAAGACCTGCCTGACCAACATGGCAAAACCCTATCAACTAAAAATACAAAAATCAGCTGGGTGTGGTGGTGTGCACCTATGGTCCCAGATACTCGGGAGGCTGAGACAGGAGAATCGCTTGAACCTGGGAGGACGAGGTTGCAGTGAGCCAAGATCATGCCAGTGCACTTCAGCCTGGGAGACAGAGTGAGACTCCATCTCAAAAAAAAAAACAACAACAACAACAACAAAAAAAGACTCAATTCAAAACTCACAGAAGAAGAAATAGACAATCTGAATAGGCTCATATCTATTAAAGAAATTGAATTGGTAATTAATAATCTTCCAAAACAGAAAGCATCTAGCCCAGATGGGTTCACTGATAAATTCTACCAAATATTTGAGGAATAAATTTTACCAATTATCTACAATCTCTTTCACAAGATAGAAGCAACGGGAATACACCCTAACTCATTCTGTGAGGTCAGCATTACCCAACTACCAAAGTCATTCCAAGAAAAGAATAATACATACCAACATCTCTCAAGATCACAAATGTGAAAATTATCAAAAAAATTAGCAAATCACATCCAACAATATATAAAAAGAATTATACACCAAAACTGAGTAGGATTTATAACAGTTATAGAAGACTAATTCACCATTTGAAGAACCCTTAATGTAATACATCACACTAACAGGCCAAGGAAGAAAAATCACATGATCATGGTAATACATGAAGAAAAGACATTTGACAAAACCCAACACCTATTCATGATAAAAACCATCAGTAAGCTAGGAATAGAGAACTTCCTCAACTTGATAGGGAACATCTACAAAAAACCTACAGATAACATCACAGTAGTGAGGAACCAGAAGCATTCCCTCTAAGATCAGGAACAAGACAATGATGTATTCCTCTCACCATTCCTTTTTACCATCATACTGGAAGTTCTAGAAAAGGAAAGAAAAGATATACTGATTTTGGAAGGAAGAACTCAAATTGTCTTTGATCACAGATAACATGATCATCTATGTAGAAAATCCACAAGAATTGGCAAAAACACTCCTGGAACTAAGAAGTGATTATGGCAAGGTTGCAGAATATAAGGGTAATATATGAAGGTCAATGTAAGGTTAATGTGCAAAGTTGAGTATGTCCTATATTCCAGCAGTGAACAGGTAGGAATTTAAAATTAAAAGCAAAATACCATTTACTATCAGCACTCAGAAAAATGAAATACTCAGGCATAATTCTAACAAAATATGTACAAGATCTATATAAGGAAAACTACAAAATTCTGATAGGAGAAATCAAAGAACTAATAAAGAAGGAGATGTCTCATGTTCATTGCTAGAAATACTCAATATTGTCAAGACGTCAGTTCTTCCCAACTTGATCTATAAACTAAATGCAGTCTCAGTCAAAATCCCAACAAGTTATTTGGTGGATATCAACAAACTGTTGCGAAGTTTACCTAGAGAAGAAAAGTCCCGGAATAGCCAACATGATAATGAAGAAGAACAAAGCTAGAAGATTGACACCACCTGACTTCAGGACTTAGTATAAAGCTACAGCGATCAAGACAGTGTGGTATTGGCAAAAGAATAGTCAAACAGATTGAAGGAACAGAATAGGAAGCCCAGAAATAGACCCACGTAAGTGTAGTCACATGATCATTAACAAAGGAGCAAAGCCAATACAATGGAGAAAAGATAGTCTTTTCAAACAAATGCAGCTGGAACAATAGGACACCCACATGAAAAAACAAAATTAGATCTTTTACACCCTTCACAAAAATGTATTCAAAAATGAATCGCTGTTCTAAATGTAAAATGCAAAACTATAAAATTCCTAGAAGTTAACATAGGAGAAAATCTAGATGACCCTGCTTATGGTAATGACATTTTAGATACCATGTCAAAGGCGCAATCTATGAAATAAAGAATAAGCTGAAATTCATTAAAATTAAAACTACTATTTGAAAAATACTGTCAAGAGAATGAGAAGGCAAGCCACTGACTGGGAGAAAATGTTTGCAAAACACATAATCTGATAAAGGACTTTTATCCAAAATATACAAAAAACTTGTAAAACTTAACAGTAGGAAAACTAACAACCTGATTAAAAAATGGGCAAAGACTTGAATAAATACCTCACTGAAGAAGATATATAGATGGAAAACAAGCATATGCAAAGATGTTCCTCATATGTCATCAGGTTTATGCAAATTAAAACAATGAAGCCCCATGACACACCTATTAGAATGGTCTAAATCCAAAACGCTGACAGCAAATGCTGGTGAGGATGTGAAGCAATGGGAACTCTCATTCATTGCTGGTGGGAATACAAAATGGTACAGCCACTATGGAACATCAGTTTGGTAGTTTCTTACAAAACCAGACATTCTTACCATATGATCTAGCAGTTGTGCTCCTTGGTATTTATCCACAGGAGTTGAAAACTTACATCCACACGAAAATCTGAGCATGAATGTTTATTCATAATTGCCAAAATTTGGAAACAAACAAATTATTCTTCAGTAGGTAGATGAATAAACAAACTGTGATACATCCAGACAGTGGAATATTATGCAGTGCTAAAATGAAATGAGCTATCAGGCCATGAAAAGACATGAAGAAACCTTAAATACATACTACTAAGTGAAAGAAGCAAATCGAAACATTCCAACTATATGACATTCTGGAGAAGATGAAACTATGGAGACAGTAAAATGATAAGTAGTTGTCAGGGGTTCGGGGGAAGGAGAAATGAATAGATGGAGCACAGATAATTTTTAGGGCAGTGAAAACACTCTGTATGATACCAAAACGATGGAAACATGTCAATTATATATTGTCCAAATCCGTAGCATGTACGCCATTAAGAGTGAATCCTAATGTGAACTGTGGACTTTGGGTGATAATGACATGTCAATGTGGGTTCATCAATGCAACAAATGTACCACTGGTGGGAGACATTGAAGTTGGGAGGCTGTATATGAATGGGAAGATATGGGAGATCTCTGTACCTTCCACTCAATTGTGCTGTAAACTTAAAACTGTTCTAAAAAATAGAGTCTACTTAAAAAGTAGTGCTGGAACCATTGGATATCCATATTAAAGAAACAAAAACAAAAACAAACCCTGAACCTTAATTATTTGTTAAATTTATATAAATTTAAGGCATACAAGTTCAGTTTTATTACATGGATATATTACACAGTGGTTAAGTCTGGGCATTTAGTGTAACCTAATAGTGTACATTTTACCATTAAGTAATTTCTCATCCATCATCCCCTCTGACACTCCCACCCTTTCTAGTCTCCAGTGACAAGTATTCTACATTCTATGACCACATGTACACATTATTTAGCTCCCACTTATAAGTGAAAACAGGCAGTATCTGACTTTCCGTTCCTGTGAATCTCAAGTCTTATCACTATACACAAAATTATACTATACTCAAAATGTATTATAAACCTAAGCATAAAAGTGTCTATATTTTCTAAAGAAAATACAGAAGAAAGTCTTTGTGATTTTGGAATACACAAAGATTTATCTTGACCATAAAACAAAAATATCAACACACTGGACTTAATCAAAATTAAAGCGTCTGGGCTTTGAAATAGAGCATTAAAAAAATAAAAGGCAAGGCATAGATTTGGAGGAAATACTCATAGCATATGTACCAGACAAAGAATTTGTATCCAGAATATATACAAAGATGTCTTTGTAAAAATTAGGCAACCAATTTTAAAATGGGAAAAAGGTTTGAACATGAACTTCACAAAAGATACACAAGTAAGTGCATGAAAAGATGCTTAACGTCCTAATCATTAGGGAAATGGAAATTTAAAAGCAATAAAAAAAGCACCCAAGGAGATATCACTTCACACTTGCTAGAATGTCTAAAACTAGAAAGACTCACAATATCAAGTGTGTGTGAGGATGTGGAGTAACTCTCCAGAATACTCACATGTTCCTGGCAGAAATGTCAGGAAAGAAAAGAAATTCTGCACATCAATTTGGCAGTTTCTTTTGAAGTTAAATATATATTTAGTCTATGACCCAGCACTTCCACTCCTTGGCATTTACTGAGAAGAAACTAAAACATATGTCCACACACAGACTTGTACGTGAGTGTTCATAGCAGCTTTATTTGTAATATATAAAAACTGGAAAAAAATAGAAATGTCTATCAACAGATATTATGGGTAAACAAATTTTGACAGATTCACACAATACCAGTCAGAAATAGAAAGGAAGGAAGTATTGATACATAAAACATGAATGATTTTCAAAATTATGCTGAATGAAAGAAGCCAGACAAAAAAGAGTATATGCTGTATGTTTTCATTTATATAAAATTCTAGACAATACAAACTAATTTATAGTTGACAGGAGTGGTTTGGAGAGGGAGGAGGAGGATTGTGATGGGGTATGAGGGACTGTTTCATAGTGATAGACATGTTCACATCTTGATTGTGGTGATGACTTCATGGGGGTGTACATATGTCAAAACCTTAACTTTTTGCAGTTTGTTGTATGTAAATTATACCCTCATAAAATTGATTTAAAAGGTGAAAAAGTTAGCTATCATTAACCTTTTCTTCTCTTTGGTTACCCTCTTTGTTAGTATATTTGGTATGTCTGACTTTATATGTATTGCTTTCAGATGATTCATTCCGGACTCGTAATGCCAGTAGCGTTCCATCTTCCTTTTCTCCTAATACTCCCTTACCGAGTACTTCCCGTGGGACAGGTAACTCAGTTGACCCCAAGAGCAGTGGAAGTAAAGATACACAACCACGGAAGGCTACCTTGTAAGTAATCAAGTGATGTCAGACTGAGTGTATTATCCTCCTCTTTTGCTTAACACACTTTCCTTCCCACTTAAGTACTTTCCAAAGAATAGAAAATGTCTGTGATGAGAAAATGTTATAAATTAAAGGGTATTATTGTCACATGTGACTCTGTTATGTTAGTTTATATAGAATAACTTATATATGGCAAAGGCATTATAACCTTAGGGAATCAACAGGAAACATTTAAATGGCTCCCACTAATGTCTGAAATCTATTTTTTTTCTATGAAATGTTTACATTTAGGGAATTTATCTCTAAGAAGGCATCCCTTTAAACACCTAGCTTAAGGATATGGTATTTAATCACCCAGTGTGCAGAAAGATTGGTAAAGCTGATGTCACTTAAGAAATAAGTGGCAGCATGGAACCCAGAATTGTGAGTCCAATAAACTGAAGAGATTTACAGACTGTACTTGTGTCTTGAAGCTGAGGTTATAAAGGGCCTCCTTTCTCCTTTTCCCCCATGATTCCTTTTAATGTGCTGTTTGTATCTTGATTTGCTGAAGTCTTTCTTTTACCTTAAATATTTAAGAGAGGGGTACCATAAAAATCACCATGATAAGAGACTATATCAGGGTATAAATGATTCAGCCAGGATACCCAAACCATAGTTACAAGTTAGCCATTTCATATAGGACACCTGAACCTTCTGGTTGGAACAGACTTTTAACAAGATTTAGATTTTCTTTTAAATGTATTTTAGTGAATGCATGGGCATTTTTGAATAAAGTTTCTTAAATACATTCTTTTGCAAAAACTGTGCTGGAGTCCCTTTTAGGATCTGATTTAGGCTGTTTTGCATTGCTATAAAGAAATACCTGGGCCTGGGTAATTTATGAAGCAAAGAGGTTTAATTGGCTCATAGTTCTGCAGACTTTACAGGAAGCATAGCGGCATCTGCTTCTGGGGAAGCTTCAGGAGGCTTATTATCCTGGTAGATGGTGAAGCAGGAGCAGGCACATCACATGGTAAAAACAGGAGCAGGAGAGAGAAAGTGGGGTTGGGGGAGGTGCCACACACTTTTAAATGATCAGATCTTGCGAGAACTCACTGTCACAAAGAAAACACCAAGCCGTGAGGGATCAGCCCCATGATCCAAACACCTCCCACCAGGCCTCATCTCCAGCATTGCAGATTACAATTCAACATGAGATTTGGGCAGGGACAAACATCCAAACTATGTGTATTCCAAATTGTAATTGGTCGTTGGGTATATGCCCAACTTCATTCAAAATTTAGAAATAAGTTTAGAAATAAATTTATTGACTAGAGCTCAAGGAAAGAGGACCAATGTACTATTACAAAAATGTAATAGTAATAGAAAAAAATGAACATTGATATTACAGGTTAATGTCAATGCAGAGTATATTTTTATTTACAGAGAATGCTCTTTAGCTATACAATTATTGCTCCCATGATTATACGATGGAAGTTCCACTTAAAAGTCATGAAAGTGCCAGGTGCAGTGGCTCACGCCTGTAATCCCAGCAATATGGGAGGCCGAGGCAGGTGGATCATCTGAGGTCAGGAGTTTGAGACCAGCCTGGCCAACATGGTGAAACCCTGTCTCTACTAAAAAATTACAAAAATTAGCTAGCTGTGGTGGCATGTGCCTGTAATCCCAGCTACTCAAGAGGCTGAGGCAGGAGAATCGCTTCAACCCGGGAGGCGGAGGTTTCAGTGAGCTGAGATTGCGCCACTGCACTCCAGCCTGGGCAACAAGAGTGAAACTCCGTCTCAAAAAAAAAGTCATGAAAACAGAGGCAGGACATGGTAATGGTGTATAGAGAGCTTTGTGTGCCTCGTTCCCAGCAGCAGCTAAGTGGTTGTGCAAAGTTCAACTCAGCGCACTGGCCCTCGCTGTGCATGTCTGTCACATGACAGGGCTGTCTCATGGTTCCTCCTCCTCTAAGGTGCCTTCTAGCTCTGGCATCCTGAAATCCTCTTTATTACCCTAAACCCTCTTCCTCTGAAAAGATTGCCCTGAAATTCTTCTGTTGAAGAGCATATTTAGTAACATCAAAAGTAATCTCTTGTCCACTTGCTATATTTTTCTAAATGCCATAGGCATTTTTTACAGTAAAGACCATTGAAACCCAGTATATTTATGCTGGTTCTCCTTTCTTTCAGATTACTCTCTTTATCTGTTGTTTCACTGTTGAGCATGCTTTTCCTTTTCATAGACTGAATTTTTTCTTGTTCAACATACGTAGTATGTAGTTATTTATATAATTTATATATATGTATAATTGATTAAAAAGTGAATCTAGAAACAAACATTTTGATAACACATCAGGTTTATTTAGTCTTTTCTGATTCTAAAGGAGGGACGTTGATATCCACAGTTGCTTTTTTAACTTGTGACTGGGTATACAAGTTTGTAACTATATTTCCATCTGATGTGGCACTTATATGGATCTCTCTTGAGTGCACACTGCCACATGGCTGGATGGGTGATGATATCCACATTGGTCTTTCTTCTGTGAAATAGTATCCACAATTCAAAACAGGCCATATCCAAGTGAAAATATGTTCTTTTCATTTAAAATAAGCCTATGAGGTGATTTTGGAAAGTATAATTTATCTTAATTTTTGCTTCTCAAATTCTATGCAATACATTCCCCAGCTTTTCAGTGTCATTGAGATGACACATTTGGTATTTAGGAATATTAGTGTCTTAAAGGAAGCATAGGTATGTTATTATATCTTGTCTTTTAAGGCAGTTCATATATTTATGCCTATGTAACTTCCATTATGGTTATACAAAATTAAAAATGTAGGAAAAATATGAATTAAATTGAATGCTATGTTATATATATACACAGAATTTTTGGTAATTAAAGATCATTCCAAGTAATCTTTAATGTGTAATTCATTTTTTCCCTTAATCAGACTTCTCATATATTAGAATTATTCAAAGTAGAGTATCTATATATTTTTAATTTACTTTGTACACATTATATGAATAACATTTTTCATATTTTTTTCTTTTTCTCCCTTTCTCACTCCCTCCTTCCCCACCCTCCCTCTCTTCCTTCATTTCTTTCTTCCCAAAGAAAATCCAGAAAATCCAATCCTTAAATCAACTGCTTGATGAAGGAGGCAAAACAAAGGCAGCAGGAGATAATGTGATTGGTACACAAAAGCTAAAGCAGTGGCTGGGGCTTTGTTTTTAAATTTTGGGTTTTTTTTTTTGTTGTTGTTAATGAGCAGAAAGAGAGACATAATGACAGCTGATGTTAAACTTTTCATATTTCAAATTAGATTCCCTAGGAGGTATAATATATATTTCTTGAGTAATAATGTGGTTACGGAATTCCAATGTTATAGTGAAGTGTAATGAAAAACATCTCTAGGAATGTGCTTTAACCACTGCTGCAAAAGAGACAAGTCTGCATTTATTTGTGCAGGAAACCAGCCATTTAATTGTTCTAGAGTTTTAGCATTTAAAAATCGTATGAAAGTCTACATCAGCTGAATTGTCCTAGCTTGATAAGCACTTGGAGGGGGACTTGGAAGGTGAGAAAGATACTGCATTTTCTCATGAGTCTCCAAGCCCACTTGAAAAGTCACACTGAAAGGATGCAAATAGCCGTCTGCGATTTTGGCGGCCCTCCGGATTGTGGTGACAATATGTTGTACCCGGACATTCCCAAATTTAAATTTGGCAGTGAAAATTCCACAAAGATTTCTGGTAACTTTGAGCTATAAATACCTTAAAAATAATAGATTGATGATTTTCTTTATTTCCTAGAGAATTTATTTTATAAATACTTTGTTTACATTTTAGATTGTACTTGTCTTTATTTAAAATGATGAATCTAGTCTGAATCAGCTGTTATTCCAAGCTATCATGCTTAAGCTATGTCAACAGCATTTATTTGTACTAATGCTAATATTTCCATCAAAATTTGCCTGTGGAATATATACAGTTCTTAATTTTAAACTGTCAGTTCTTGAGATATACCGTGTGAAGCTATTGTCAGCTTCTCTATTTCAAAATGCAATCAGCATATAACTATATTGATATTAGAAGATATTTGTTTTTTAAAATATATTGATGTATGATAAAGATGATCTAATTTGTGAATGCATATGTATGTGTGGTTACTTTTTATAATGTGAAATAATGAATAATGAATTTACTCAAAATAAAACATAGGTTAATGAGATACCTGTGTTTGTGAAAAAAAGTCTTAAATACTTTCCTGCAGTTTTTATTCTATAATTAAAGAGTAAGATAGTTCATTTTTAGGTAGTGAATAAAAGAAATATACCAGCGTCAACTATAAGAGCATAGTTACTCAGTGAGAGACCTTTTCATGCCATTTGTTTTCCTTCTTCCTTCCATATGGCTTCTTTATGGCTATTTTTAGTGATTCTTAATAATATCCTTTGCCAAAGGACAATCAGGTAAATGGAATTGTTACTGCTCATTTTGTCAGTAGTTAAAATTCAATAGGTATGAGAAATTTGACAGTACTGGTTAATCAGTATACTCGCTGTGGATTTCATTTAACTGTTTTCATTATGTCTCCTACTAGCACCAATAATGTGGAACTGAATATATTAAGATCTGGAGAATGTGGTACAGAACGAGACATCAAAATTGCATCAGTTTTTTTGGTGCTTTGATTCATAACATTCTATTAATTTAATAAAATGGAGAATTTCAATGTATTTGTTATAATAAATTTAGCAGAATTATAAGGTTTCACTTTCCCATGATGCAAATGGGAAAAGGGGACACTGATTTGACAGAGAGAAACAACTACTGCTTATAAAGTTCAGGAATGTAGAGCAGTCAATTGCAGTCTTAGTCCTAGTTAGTACTAAGTTATCAAAACTGTTCATCAAAATTACTTTTGGAAGTTTTTTAACAGAACATGACATTTCCTAAAATCTTTGAAATATTTATTAAAATTATACTCTCAAGGACAGATATATAGAAACAGGATAAACAGCAAATTACTGACAGTTATGAATAACTACATGTATCTCCATTTATATCAAAAACAAGATGGATACTTTTGTGAAAGTTCTCAGTTTAACAACTTATCAAATTAATCCTTTAAGCTAGTTGTATGGCAAAGAAAAATCTCCCTCCATCTGTAGTTGTAGGGAAAAGGGACATCTTCATCATCATTTTGTTAATTACTAAAACTTGCATTTTTAAGAACAAGTCCAGGAATTTCACTAGTTAGCCTTACAAGCTAACTGTAGAGCTCACTTTTACTGCAGAAATGGAGATAGGTCTATAAAGGATTTTACTTAATAGAGGTTAAATAAGGAGCACATAAAGTTTTTCTTTATAACCTCTTACACATTTAAAAAATCATTTCTATTATTTGACTTCCTGAGCTTGAATATCTTAGTCTGGAGATGAGTCAGTTTTGCCATACAATTAGTGGATATATGAGAAATCTTTGAATTGAAATGAAACAGGCTCTTCAGCTGGAGTGGAAGTTTTACAATGAAGATAGAATGAATTAGATTAAGTCAGTAACCTGTTCTCAGTTGTTACAGCATATATATGTGAGAACGTGTGGTTGAGTGTGTCTGTGTAGGAACAATTTTTAAGACTCGACACTTGGCCGGGCGTGGTGGCTCATGCCTGTAATCCCAGCACTTTGGGAGGCCGAGGCGGGCAGATCACAAGGTCAGGAGATCAAGACCATCCTGACTAACACAGTGAAACCCCATCTCTACTTAAAATACAAAAAATTAGCCGGTCGTGGTGGCAGGTGCCTGTAGTCCCAGCTACTCGGGAGGCTGAGGCAGGAGAATGGCACGAACCCGGGAGGTGGAGGTTGCAGTGAGCTGAGATCGCACCACTGCACTCCAGCCTGGGTGACAGAGCAAGACTCTGTCTCAAAACAAAAACAAAAACAAAAACAAAAACTCGACACATATATAGTGAAGACTTCTACAATGTTAAGATTTCCCCCGCTCGGTTGGAAACCCTGAATTTGTGTGTATGTATTTGTGTAAGGTAAGTTACATTTTTTATTGGTCTGCGTTTTTCTGTCATGCCTGTGTACTTGGGAAATCTGAAACTGAGTGTCTTAGGAACTTCTTAAAGCAAATGTGAGGGAACATTAAAAAGTATATTTAAAATATAGAATAGGTCCATTTTCTACCTTAAAGAGTAGTATATTAAATACAATTATTATGCTGTTGTTGCTTTGCAGTGTATGTGGTGGGAAGAAGGCAGGAGTTTTTTATCTGCATGCTATATGAATCCTTCAATAATAATGTACCTTTTTATTACTGGGTTTGGCCATATTGATTTCAGTGAGTATTGTGCTCTCACAGACTTATTTTTCCAGATTTCATCTCTTAAAAGTGGGAAATTGGACTGGATGCTACTTTATTCCTCTTTCTACTATTTTTCCACAAACAAATCTGACTAATTGAACACAAACAAGGTGACTTAAGAATGTCAGATAGAGTTAGTCCTCTGTCTTTGGCCCTCTAGGGCCTAGAATTGCCTGTCCCTTCATAAGTGTCAATTAGTACTCTTGGAATGAATACAGGAATGAATTTTATTTTATTAATATGCAGTCTAAATACTGACTTTTCATCAGTCCAGGTTATGGAATGATGAAAAGTCAGTATTTAGACTGCATATTAATATTATTACCTATTCACATTACTCTGAATTATATTAAACAACTAATCAATAAATGAATTTTAGGTTTTTTTAAACATTAGATAGCAGACAGACAGAAATCCAATTAGGCATTTAGTTAACATAGTTCACACTGTAAATCAGCTCTATTCAGGATTCTCTGAATATAGTCTTTTCTGTTTCTGTGACAGAAAATAACTGCCTAAGGAAGATCAGGGATATTTACGATTTTCCTTTTCACCCTGGGACAAAGTTCATGCTTATATTCTGTTTAACCCCCATGGGTAGCTGTAGTGCATGCTGTTTACCTGGTCCCCATCAGATGTTTTAGATGGAAGGAAGAGTAAAAAGGGCTTGGAGACTAGACTCAGGAAAGGTAGGCTTCTGACTCTGCCATTGCCACACTGGAAGACCTTGGACAAGTATTTTGTTCCCACTGGTATATAAGGTATGACTTATCCACTAGATGCAGAAGACACAGTGCCCAAGGCTGACAGTACTGTAAGGGCCCATGAAGGTGTTTTGCTTATTGCCATATGCTAGACATATAACTTTGAAGCTAGATATGCAACTTTGAAAGACGAATATATTCATCTTTCTACCAATGCAGCCATAGAACATATATATCTTCATGAAGGAAGGAGGAGTCTACAAGGTTAAACGTGCCTAGGGCCCATGAAAGTAAGAATATGGACCTGTTTCTGGGTCCCTCTTTCTTTCCTTTGTAAAATGAAGGTATTGAACTAGATGATCTGTGATTCAGCCAATGCCTCTGCCAAGCGATTTGATGCACCATGGAAGCAGATGCTGTGATCAGGACTGGTTAGAGCTATTTTCTTCTGATGTCAGTCAGCAAGAAATGACTCCGTAATAGATTAAAATAAAACACTTATTTTGCACCAGAGAGAAGGAAAGAGAGAGAAGCACATGACTCAAGGAGAATGTTTACATGTGTTCCTCCCAAAGGCTTTATCTTGACATAGTGTTCTCATCTGCAACTTTTTAAAAATGAAAATATGTGAGCAACAGAGAAAAGATATTCTACCCAGCTAGTCTTTAGCCAAGTAACTAAGGTTCTTAGAAACAAGCTTAAAATACCAGACAGATTGCACAAACATCTTAAAAAATATGTATCAATTTAATGCTTTTGTAGTAGTCCTCCCTTATCCATGGTTTTGCTTTCTGCAGTCTCAGTTAACCATGGTCAACCATGGTCCAAAAACATTAAATGAAAAATTCCAGAAATAAACAATCTAAAAGTCTTAAGCAGCATGCCATTCTGAGTAGTGGGATGGAATCTTGCATTGTCCTGCTCTGTCCCACCCAGGATGTGAATTCTCCCCTTGCCCAATGTCTCCACACTGTCTATGCTCCTCGCCCATGAGTCACTTAGTAGCCTTCTCTATAATCAGTTTGACTGTTATGGTATTGCAGTGCTTGCATTCAAGTAACTCATTTTACTTAATGTTGTTATTATTGTTAATCTCTTACTGTGCCTAATTTATAAATTAAACTTTATCATAGGTATGTATGTGTAGGAAAAAATATATATAAGGTTCAGCACTGTCCACCGTTTCAGGCATCTGCTGGGGGTCTTTGAATGTATCCCCCTCAGATAAGTGGGGACTACTGTATTTATTTGAGAACACCCTAAACTAGTTAAGAACAAAAGGAACACTCTCCCCTGCCATCCATTGCTGGTATCCTGTGTGTGTTTGATACCTCAGATTCAGCATCTACTACAGCACGAAGTGCTTATGCGTGTCCTGAATTATAGGAGAGTCGGATTCACCACCCTGCCCAGAAACAGAAGCATTCCAGAGGTTTCTTCATAGATCATGAAATGAAATGGCCGGTCCACTTTGATGACAGGAGGCATGGAATAAGCAGTAATTTCTGACAAGATTCCTGCCACTGCCTCAGTGCCCCTTTCATCAACTTCAATCACTGTTCTTTGTAAAACCTGGAAAAAGGAAATAATGTGAAAAACCATTTGTGTGGCAGTGCAAAGGAGGAATTAAATGAGCCCCTTGAAATTCTTCACAGTGGTCCTACCCATGGGGTCATGCTCCTGGGATTTAGTGGAGCAGGCCCATCTACGTTAAGAGGAGTGGTCTGGGGTTGCACCAGGGACTGCCACAGGAGTCTTAAACAATACCAGGAGACCTCAGGAACCCAATGTGAAGTATTGTGGAATATGTGAAACACATTCCGGGCATGGACTCAGGATGCACTCATGCATCAAATCTTTATTGAGCATGTAATTTATGCTACTAATTCTTGAGCTGAGCTGGTGCTCCTAAAAGGTTTTCAAGCTGCCTGGATCCCTTGATCCCTGGATCCCTTGAGTCCTCTGACTTTCCTTTTGGCAGGCAAGGTGGAGGCAGGGAATGGCTAGTCTTCTGTAGCAGCTTCCCAGCACCTGGTACTACTCTGAGGCATTTTTCTGGGCCAAGCCCAGGGGTCCCTGGAGCCTTCCTGAATTCTGGCTGCCTATACTGTGGCTGCTTGCTATGTTTGGGAGGCCCTTTTTTACAGAAACAAGATGTGATATGAGTGATGTACCTATATAATTACTGTGTTATAAGAGATAATGAAAACATAACATGTAATTACACTGATTTTCACTCCAGGAAATTCCCTGATTTCCTAGAGGAAAATTAATTCCCCAGAGCAAACAGAGGGAGAATATTTAATCATTTACAGTTTAAATTTCATGATGACCCTTCATAAAGCAGCAGCGCATTTCAGTTTTTCATGTGTTCATAGCAGAAACACTTTCAGGTGCTGGTCTGACGGATTGTTTTATTTAATTGTCTTACCTCTCTTGAGGTTGTAAGACCTGATTCCAGGCCACAGTTACCCTACTGTGTCCTACTTAAGTGGATGCCATTTTTAGTCTCTCTTGGAATTGAAAATTGCAATTGTATAAGAAAATATTAAACCACACAGCTAAGGAAGAATGTAGAGAGATGTAGCTGCCATTTGGAAATGTGTGGGAGCATTTTTATAGTGATGACTGGAGTTTCCTACTGGCATTAGTGAACATGGGCCAGCAATGCTAACCAGTTCCCTGCAACATGCACAACTGCTCTGGACAACAAGCAGTTCCCCTCAAAACCAAGAACCCTTCCACTGAGAAACACTGAGTAACTGAAGGGATTCTATGTGGATGGTGACTAAACTTGTTCTTAGAAGTTTTAGAGATAGAACTAGGACCAAAAAGTATGAATCAGAAGTTACAGGACTCTCTCTCTCTCTCTCTCCATATATATATGTATGTCTCTCTCCATATATATATATATGTGTGTGTATATATATATACACACACACATATACACACATATACATTTATACACACATACATATATACATATATATACACACATATATATATATACATATAACAATTTTAGCTATTTGTGGATTGGGCAGCTCTTCAAAGAAATGGTGAGTTTGATGTCACTGGAAGCATGAAGAGGAAGAGAAGTTGGAGGGCTATTTCGTAGGGCTATGGAGGGGATTTCCACAAGGAGGGAGAAGTTGGGCTAGATGATGTCTAGGGGTTTGTTTCATTGTAAAGGTGGTGTAATTTCATGAACTATTCAAGTTGTATTCAACATAAATGATGATGCCTCTGTAAACCAGTTCTATTTCAGGGTCAAATTTCTCCCTGAGCACTTTAAGCAGAGGGGGAGAGGTCTGCTTAAAATAAATTAGTTGAAAAGTTATTTTAATGAAGTTGCTTGAAATTCTTAAAACATCCAACCTGGGTGCTATTTCAAGTATTTGGGACTTAAATCTAATTTTCCACTACAATTAGGTATTTTATCAAAGTTAAATGGTTTGTAAAAGCATTTGTTTTGGTGACATTTCATGCTGAGGTTGGGCTCTGATGAAAGATCCTGACTTACCCTGGATACTTGGAGATTTCTTCCAGTAGCTGAGAGTTCACTAAGGTCAGCAAAGGGTGAGAAGATTCTTCTGATTCCCATCTGCCTAAGCAGCTCATGCATCTCATACTTCTGATCTAGCTTGAACTTCGGAAAGAAAACTTCCATGTTTCTGTGGTACAAGAACAGATGATGGTGAAATGTAGACAAAGCCCTAGTCTGTGGACACCAAAAAGGTCACAATTTTTGTTCTTTAAGATTATTTCCATTAATGAGTCTTTCAGTTGACTATGTAGTTCATGCCATTCTTTTACAGTGGTCTACTCAGGGAAAATATTTCTAGCTTATCAAATAGTACTTCAGCTTCAGTGAATGAGTTTTATTCCTCAGCCAGTGACTCACGTTTTCTTTAGCAAAGTACTTATGTGTTCATTTCCCTATATTTTAAAAAAAACCTGAGTTAACAGCTGCTTTCAGCAGTCCTGCAGCCTCCTGGATGATGGCTGTTTTCAGCTCCTGGATTCTGCAGACCCGAGGAGTCTGGGGATGGATGGGGAGGGGAGCAAAGAAAACTTTCAACCCCTACCCGTCTTTAGCCAGAGAAGCTCTGATACCATCTATTTTGTATACTGGAGTCCTCCTTTGAAAATATGTTGCTTGAAAAGATGAGTTCTGTGGCTCAAAATAAAATTTTTTTATTTATTTAAAAATAATTGAGGACATGACGTGTCTTGAAGATTAATTTAAAAAGTTATTCATTCAGCAAACATTACTTGAGGGCTTATGATGTTTGGGGTTCATTGTTAGGTGCTAAAGATATGAAGAAAAATGAAAGAAGAATAATGAAGATAAAACTAACCCTGGGGACCTTTAGCTGCACTTGTCTGCCAAAATCTGAGTCACAGGATTCAGAAGCCATAGCCATGGAATTCGTATTGCAGCCATTTTCCTTGTACTCCAATAGGTGGATTAATTTATTGGGCAGACATTTCAGTGCCCACTCTGTGCTTTCTTTTCCTCTCCTCTATATTTACAGACCCCAACCCTGTCATGTGTCTAGATTCTAGTTCTGTGTTGATGACCGAATTTATATCTCCGGCCTGGACCTCACCCTAGACTCCAGATCCACCTGTCGTCTTGACATCTCAACTTGGATGTCTAATAGATATTTCTGATCCAAGTGTTTAAGACTGAACTTCTGCACTTACCCCAGACCTGTTCCTCCCCCTTTCAGTAAATGGCAAATCCGTCTTTCCAGTTGCTAAGGCCAAAAACTTTGTGATCACCTTTGACACCTCTCTCACCCACATCCAATCGATTAGCAGATCCTGCACTTCCTAATAGATCCAGAATCCAGCCACTTCTCACCACTTCCACTACCACCACCGCAGTCCAGGTAGCAGCATCTCTACCTGGATTGCTAGTAACTTTCTAACCACTCTCCCTTGCTTCCATCCTTACCCCCTAGTGTCTTTTCTCAACACAGGAGCTTATGTGATCCTTTAAAAACAGAAGTCAAAATCAGGTTGCTCCTCTACTCAGAACCATCCAGTGGCTTCCTGCCTCTCTCAGGAAAGCCCAAGTCTTTTCTGGGGACTGGGCCCCTGTTTCCTCTCTGATTTTATCTCCAACTGCTGAAGCCACACTTGTCTCCTTGATGTTCTTCAAACCCACCAGGTACACTCCCATCCCAGAACTTGTACACTTCTGCCTGTAACATAACACTTCTCTCCCCGAATATATCCACATGGTTTATCCTTCATCTTCAGATGTTTGCTTACTGTTACCTTCTTGGAGAGGCCTTGTCTAACCTCCATCTGCATCCTGATGATGCTTCTTGTCCCCTTCCCTGCATTATTACCTATTTTTAATTTACTCTTTGTCTTCCTTCAATAGAATGTAAGCTGCATGAGGGCAGACTAATTTTGCCTGTTTTGTTTGCTGATGGATCCCTGGCATCATATATTTATCACAGTCGCAGAACGTAAAATACTGATGGACTCAATGAATGAATCAGCCAGGCACCCTGTGACAGATGCTGGGGATAGAGTGGAAAAAAAGACAAATGCTGCCCTGCCTTCAGGAAACTTATAGCTCACTGGAGGAGACATTAAATCACGGTGCATTCAATGAAATTGTGCTGAGCGTTTGCCAGTACAGAAAGGTAGAGTTTGTATAGGGTGTGGGCAAGAGTTGTACCTGGTTTTCATGTTTCTGAGCCATGTCTCCACCAAGTCTGTGGTCAGGTAGTCTTCAAGGGCGAGGTGGTCACCCATTTTCTCCATGAGGACCACCAGCATGGTGGCATTTCCTTGGTAGGGCAGTTTGAGGACATGACAACGAAAATTCTTGTCAAAGGTGGAGGCAAACTTGCCTGCACCGTACATCATGGGCACCTTAATGGTCTTGTACTTGTCCAGGTGGAAAGTGTCGACTTCGGTGAAGACAGGGTCAAATGGGGTCAACCATTTCCCTGAACAAGTAAGAGAAGAACTCATTGCAGAAATTCCCTCTTTGAAAAGCATTGTTCTTGCTCAAATAATAGAGAGGGAGCCTTCTATCTCACTTCTCTCACTTCTCGTCTTCTCGTTCCAACTAGGAAAGGCGTTCCCTAATTGGGTTGGCTTTTCCACAGCTCAGGCAGGCAAAATAAATTTCCCCAAAATTTTCCCCGTCCTCTAGCCCAGCTAGCAAAATGCAGCTCCACTCGCAGGCCCTATTGGGAATCGCACACGAAAGCAGGGAAATGTTTCCTAACAATCCCTGGCTCCTCTCATTGTCCTGGACCTGAACGGAATTCACAGTCGTTCCCTCATAGTTGGCTCCAGCTTAGAGAAAAGCCTTTGCCTGGCACCTCTGACTGCCACTTTGTCTCATTCACACCAGGCACAAGCACATGCAGAGTCCAAGGTGGCAGGAGTGACACTTCTCACCCACCCACTGTTTAGTGTGGTTCTGAGAGAAGGCCCCACAATGCAGAGGCTACTAGCAGGCAGGTACATTACTCTCTACATAAACGTCTGCCCTGGGGGTGTGGCCTGGCTGGTTGTAAAGTGGCTTCCCCTGCCGGGGCTTTGTAAGTCTGGTGCCAGCTCTGCGAAAGTGGCATCCAACCCACGTCCAGTGCCCCATTAGGGAGGCAGGGCTGGACAGAACCTAGGATCAGGGGGTCAGGAGGCCCTTGTTTGGGTTTTGCCTCTGCCACTTACTGTGTGACCTTGATCAAGCTAACGTCTCTGAGCTGGTTTCATCTTTAGAAAGGAGACAACTCCTGCTCTACCTGCTGATTGGCAGTTTGGAAGAACAAGTAAACAATAGATACTCAGTGTCTGCTATGTGCCAAGCCCATCTGGGCACTTTACATTCATTGTCTCATTTAGCCTCTAACACTGTAGTAGGTGGAGTGTCCCTATTTTCTATAATAGGAATCTAAGGGCAGAGAGTTGGTCAAAAAGTAAAAATGAAGGAGCAATGATGCAATCCTAAATCCCCCAGATAATCCCCCAGCCCCCTGTTTTTTGGAAAGACCCTATGCTTCTAAGTGTCAGAGGGGAGCTATGTAGAGTGCTCTGAAAATAATAAGGACTACAAGCACATAGGATACCAGGGAAGGGCCTCAAATGACAGCGTCTGGCACTGTTCAATATGTGTATCAATCTGTTTTTGAAACGTGAAAACACATTCATAGAAAATCACGTAGCGTTAATCATATGCTGGCCTAACGAAAGGAAAGGGAGAGACAATCGTAGGGCCCTGTGGCCTTGGGAGAGCAGAACATTATCAAAGTACCTTTGAACAAGATGTAATCCACAAGAATTAATTTGGTTTCAGGATTAATCTCATCAAACAGTTTGGGAATTTTCCCCCGAGTCTCTTTGTTAATGTAATGATTCATGAGCCTTTTGGCCTGTGAGGCATTGCGAAAATTCATAGGCACGCACTCTGTATCAAAATACCTCTTGGATAAATTGAAGAAAGTCTCTTTGACATCAAAATCCTTGTGGATGAAGGCAAAACTCCCCTGTGTGAGGCCCAGTTCCAGGTTGCGGGAGAGGGTCTCTCTGAGTCCCTTAAAGAGGGAAGGCAGGAGCCCGGGCTTGGTGGGCTTCAGGGCCTGCAAGTGGAGCCCTCTCTTGATCTGGGTTTCAGTCGGCCCTGTGGCCCCCAGCATCAAGCCTGTCATGGCCAAGGACATGCCAAATGGAGAGAAGACCATGTTGCCATCGTGCCTCATGGAGATCTTTCGCAGCAGGCTGAATCCGAAGTTTGAAGTCTCCTTGGCAAGCTGCTGCCTGCTGGCCATCAGCCAGGCTTTCTCTTCCTCACTGGCCTTCTCCTCGCTGGCCTCCTGCTCATCTTCCTCTTCCTCCTTGGGAGCCTGCACTACCCTGCTGGTCTGGTTCTGAGGGGCTGGGGTCTCTGGCGACTGAGGACTGGGGGCCAAGCCGGGTACCAGCCACACCTGTGCCAGGAGGACGGAGAGCAGGAGACTTGGCACCACCTTCATGTGATCGGCTGCGGAGGCCAAGGAGTGCCTCCCTTCAGCTGCAAGACTTCCTGTGGAGAGGAGAGGATAGAGATGGTTTTAATGCCTCCTAAAATGTCTTTGTGGATAGTAAAAGCTTCTTCAGGGACCCTGCCTCCTTCCTGTGGCTCAAGTAGGTTAGCCCTGCCCCAGGGAGACCTAGAGCAAGTGTGGGTGACATTTGCTCACCCAAAGAGGGGACATTATTTCACAGAGCAAAACCTCCTCCAGTTCCCATTCCCTGCCAGGCCGGCAGGCAGCTCTCAGTCCTGACCCCGTTTTCATTCATCCCGTCTCCTCCCTGAGGGCCAGGGCAAGAGAGTCCACTCTGGGAGCAGGAGGCAGCACAGAAGGTGGGGGTCCAAGCAGGTGGAATCAGGGGTCCTCACACACCTTTCCTTGATCTGCTTCATTCACTGCCCTGACCATCTGGTCGTCAGGCTGCCCATCCAGATGGGTGGCCGGCCTTGCCCAGTGCCCTGTTTGGCTGGGGATTGGAGTGCCTGCATGCCCGTTAGGCAAGGAAGGGGGAAAGTATTGGAGCTTTCCTGGATTTTTTATCAAAATTCTCTTTGCACTGCACCTCTGCTACACAGTTCCTTGGAGGTCTTCCTTCCTTCCTTCCTTCCTATAGCTGCAGCTCCCGGGTAGCAGGAGGCCCCGCAATTCATACAACCCACTTCTGGGCTCCCTCCACTGTGGCTTCATAGAGCCCTCAGCCACCTGGGCTGCATGCCGGTTCTCACTGTCCTAGGCTGCAGTGTGGGAGCTACACTTCTTCACCGTTAGCTGTCCCCTTCTCTGTCGCCTTTTAGGCTCCCTCCACATCCTTGGACACAGAGCCTGGCTCCTGAATACTTCCATGTTTTCCATCCAAATACATGGCTTGGGACTGGCCTGGGCCACCTGGCTGTGTCCAAACTCAGTTCTGGTGTTCAGCCACACTGCAGGCCTGATCCCAGAGGCTGGCTGGGCAGAACCCCTGGGACACCTGCCCTCCCTCATCCTCTCTCTGGGCCCACTGCCCTGGGAGGGTCTGGGTGGGGTAGGCCACCCAGCCCAGTGAGCGCAGGGTGGATGCTGCCGGCCTCACAGTAGTTCCCATCAGCAGAGACCCTTATTCTTGACCAAGGTCACCTGCGGCAAAATGTATTGACAGGCGGTGCTGCCAGGCCTCTTCCTGATGCAGGGGCTGAGTCCTTATCTATGCCTGGGACAAAACCGCCTCCAGCGCCAGGGCCCAGCATGTTGCCCCTTGCTCGGGCTGAATGGCACCCCGGAATTCAGGGCCTCACTCTGCAGTCTGAACGGCACTACCCTCTCCCCTGTAGAAGCAGTGAAATACTTCCACTGTGTTTCCCAAAGGACACTGTTGAGGAAGCTCTTTTTGACTCTAAATGGCAAGCCTGCATTCAACAGGTCACCCAAGTATTGTAAACGTTGGGTAAATAGCTCTTTCAGTGTAAACGCAGCCCAGTTTCACGCTTTTATTGTTATGGACTGAATGTGTCCCCTGAGAATTAATAAGTTGAAGCCCGAACCACCATTGTGATGGCAATAGAGTTGGGGCGCTTGGGAGGTGATTAGGTTTAGATGAGGTCGTGAGGGCAAGGCCCCTGTGATAGCACTAGTGCTGTCATAAGAAGAGAGCAGAGTCCCCCTCCGCACCTCCTCTCCATGGGAGGACACGGTGCGAAGGTGGCCATCTGCAAGCCAAGAAGACAGCCCTACCAGAATCCGGCCACGCTGGCACCCTGACTCGGACTTTCAGCCTCCAAAACTGTGAAAAATCAATGGCTGTTGGAGCCACCCAGCCTGTGGTGTTTTGTTAGAGGAGCCTGAGCTAAAACGATTACGTGGCATCATTTAGTGCTACTTTCTACATTAAGACCACACAGAATACTCCTGAATTCAAGGTTACTTCTCCCTGTACAATGGTCAGGAAATTAGCCCAGCACGCCAACTAGATGTCACCACCTCCAAATGCTGAGTCTTACCTTCCTGTTCTTGGAGCTTGTCCTGCAGTCTGCAGTGGTAGCCCAGTAATTCCTGGGTGCTCCTGGACATATATCGCCTAAGGTCTTTGTAAAGTCTTTGCTCATCTACCCAACCCTTTGGAGTCTAGGCCAGGAGCTCAGGGGGTGCTCCTGGACTAGGACACCATCCAGCATGGTGAGGACGCACCTTCCTAGACAGAACCTGGGCAGTAAGGAATCACCAGCTCACCTGCCACTTCTCAGCCCTGGGACAGCACACATCCCTGCCTCCCCTCAGCCCTGGGAAGGGGAGACCTGCTTACTCCGGCAGTGAGTGGTGGTGGGTGAAATATCAAGCCTTTCAAGCCTCTTTCCCTTGGCCTCCTTCCTGCAGAGGAGCCCCTTGTGTCTATAATTCGCCTCTTACCCCACTCCAGCTCCCAATCTGTATGTACAGTCCCTGTGGAGTGTAGGATGGAGGTCTTTGCACTGCTCAGCCACACAGCCCTCACGTTGGAGCCCGCCCAGGGATGATACCATCCTTCCCGGTCCCTCCCTGATTAGACTCATTGAAGGTCTCCTGTAACCCACTGCCTCTTACCAGTGTGTGGCCTTGGGTCCTGGAAAAGTCCTTCATTTAGAGCAGAAACCAAAGCTTCAGCTTTGCAGCCCAGAACCTTCAGCAAATATTTGCTATTCCAAAGTATGATCCCCTGTGGGACGGTTACTGATTAACATCCTGCTTGTGATGGTGGAGTTTCTGGAAAACCAAAGACCAAGTGGGAGGCTTCCCATACTCCCCAGCTCCTCCTATAACCCGGAATATGACCCAAATCCCATCACGAGAGCTTCTGCCTTGCAACTCAAGGCTTCGCCCCAGTAAGATTCAGCTCTGTCTGGGTGGGGTGTGGGGAATTTGTCTTGAGCTGTTCTAGGTGCTGAACACCTCGAGAAAGAAGGCACTGGGGGATCCCATGGATGCTTCCTGAGTCCCCAGCCTGGTACTGGACACTATGAGGATGTGGGTTGGGGGGCACAGCAGAAATGTTCAGGACCTGTTCTCTCAGCCCCCAAGGAACTGGTCAATCCAGTGGGGGAGGCAGACAGGTAAATCACTACTTAGAGTACATAGCTCCTTTCAAGGTAAATTTCCTGCTTCACAATGTTGCTGGACTTGAGACTGAATCCTCGGGCACTCAGAGTTGAGGCTGGTGGAGACCGTTTATGGCAAAACTTTTCAGACTTCTCAGACTCTCTTTTTTAATATATATAAGTAAATATTTTGTTATGTGCCCCTTACTACTACCATTGAAGTGAAACGTATAGCTAATATAATCTACCCACAAAATTAAAAAAAAGATAATGCTGTAATGATAATATGGAGGCATAATAAAAGAGAATAATGTGTCCCTGAATATGGCAGTGCTGTGGCCTAAGGGCCTGGGCAGGTGCAGTGAGGCTGTCCAATGTGGAGCCCACGGGAGGTCGCTTGTGTGCTGCTCACTGCTGGCCGGTGAACAAGAAAACCAATGGTACTACCAGGGATAGAGCTTTTGAAATGGTAAATAATGCTTGGTAAAGTTTCAAACAAAATAAAATATAGATCTTTCCCTGATTTACACGGTCATTGTCTTCACAGAAAATGCAGTGTGTAGTAAAACCTTGGATAAATATTATATTTTTATATGAAATAAAGCAGCCCCAGGACTGACAGTCTAGGCTCAGATAATCCCACGTGAACTTGAGGTGGACATGTGAGTCCTGGGGAACCCGGCGGCCTCTTCATCATGGGAGACTGCCCTGCGTGTTCTGGTATGTCTGGCATTGCTAACCCTCAATCCTTAAATGCTAGTAGTACTCCCCCCAAACGTTTGTGAAAGGCAGAAGTGTCCCAACAAGTTTCCAGAGTGTTCCTTTTGGGCAGTACCTGCTCTGTTAATAGGCAGTTCTTTAAGAGGTGAAAGTGAGGGTGTAGAGGGGCCAGGCTGGACTCACACCACGCACAGGAGTCAGCCTTTGCCTGCCCATCCAGGTCGAGCTCTGCAGCTGCGGGCTTGTGGATTCCCAAAAAGCAGGGGCTGTTTCCTCCAGGCCTGGGAAGGTGTCTGCTTTGCTAAATGTCTGAGCGGAGCCAGCGAGTGTGCAGGTCTTAGGGCACAGGGTTTCTTTCTTTTTTTTTTTTTTTTTGAGACGGAGTCTCTGTCTGTCACCCAGGCACTGTCTGTCTCAGCTCACTGAGACCTCCACCTCCCAGGTTCAAACAGTTCTCCTGCCTCAGCCTCCCGAGTAGCTGGGATTACAGGCGCCTGCCACCACGCTAATTTTTCTATTTTTAGTAGAGACGGGGTTTCACCATATTGGCCAGGCTGGTCTCAAACTCCTGACCTCGTGGTCCTCCTGCCTTGGCCTCCCAAAGTACTGGAATTACAGGTGTGAGCCACCGTGCCTGGCCAGGGCACAGGGTTTCAGAAATGGATCCTTATAAAGGAAGGCAGCGGAGTATATTGGGAAGATTGTGAAGGCTTCAGCCAGGCCATTGCCTCCTGCCCTGGTGTGAATCTGAGGTCCTCTGCTCCCGGTTCCTAGCTGCTGGGATGTAAGTTAACCTCACCGAGCCAGCCTTTCTTCCTCTGTTAAGTGGCCAGAACTCAGACTCTGTCCTATGAATATCTCTGCAGCACCGAGGAACCAGGAAGGGGGTGGACGATTTTGCTCCTAAGGCTGTGAGCCCTGGACCCCAGGGTGTGGCTCAGAAGTCCCCCTCCTTCAGGGAGGACATTATTCCTGTACAGCTCCCAACAAGGGAGCTGCCCACTCTTTGACCTTTAGCCCTCCAGTTAGATGGGAAAGTGAGAAAACTCAATGCATAGCACTGTAGCCTGAGCTCTTTTACCAGCAGCATGACCCTGAACAAGCTACCTAACCTCTCTTAGCCTCAGTTTACTAATCTGTAAAATGGGGTGCCCCAGGCTGAGCTGTTAGGACTTCTGAGAGGATGAACTGAGGTGGTGCCTGTGGAGTTGAGTATCTCGCCCGGTAGGAAGGAAGTGCTAAAGGAATGGCATTTGTTGCATAATTTTAGAGCCAGATTGAACCTCAGAAGTAAGTAACCCTGTCCCCAGGCTTTGATTTTATAAAGGAAGATATTCAGGCCCCACCATGAAGGCCTTTCCTGCTAGAGTTAAAGCAGAATAGACCAGGCTGTCTGACTTCCAGTTGTTATGAACTTTAGCTTCTCACACTCCTTGGCCAAAAACGATTGGGAAAGCTCTGACGGGAAGGCCTCTGGTGATCCAGATAAACTCATAGGCGATGCAGAACCCTTCCTGGAACTCCCCTCAGGCAGGAGGCACAACTTCTGAAAGCCACTCTTCAGGGCGACATCGAGGGGCTTCTAAAGCAAATTTGTCCAGAGACCTACAGGGTTAAACGTCTGAAAAACAAGCGTTAGGGCAGTCCTATGAGACCAAAAGCAGACTCCAGGAAACAGTGAGAGAACTGCAAGAGTTTACTTTGTGTGGATCAGATGAAGGGGGTGTTTGGGTAGGTGGGTAGTAAAGGAAACCAGACTATGTTACCCCTTGATATGGTCTGTCTGTGTCCCCACCCAAATCTTATCTTGAATTGTAGCTCCCATAATTCCCACGTGTTGTTGGGGGGTACCCAGTGGGAGATCATTGAATCATAGAGGTGGTTTCCCCCATACTGTTCTTGTGGTAGTGAGTAAGTCTCACGAGATCTGATGGTTTTATAAGGGGATTTTTAAGGGGAAATTCCTTTCGCTTGGCTCTCATTCTCCCTCTTGCCTGCTGCCATGTAAGACCTGCCTTGATTGTGAGGCCTCTCCAACCATGTGGAACGGTGAGTCCATTAAACCTCTTTTTCTTTATAAATTACCCAGTCTTGGGTATGTCTTTATTAGCAGTGTGAAAATAAACTAACATACCTCTAAATATGCCTTTCTGATATAAAAATTATTTTTGAACTGAAGGTAATTAAGAAACAGCAAATGGAGAAATAGTTTTCTCTATCTTTCCCCCTTTCTTCCTAAAGACAGATAAAAATTCATCTTTACTGGAAATGACTCTAGACTCTTATCAACCCAGAGATGGCATCAGAGGAATATGCAAACAAGCCTTATTCCTTTAGTTTCCTCCCATATATTTACCTTCCATGATTTCCTGCCCTTGGAAGCATAAAACCACTTCCCTTGTCCCGATCCATGATTTTCCTGCTAATTTATTGCTCTTTACTAAAGGTAAGTGGAGTTCTAAGGCACCATTTTGAGTTACTTTTCATGCAGGTTTCTCCTGTGTGAAGTGCATGGCCCATGTTGTAAGCTGATTTTTCTCTTGTCTGTCTTTTGTTACAGGAGTCTATCCCAAAAAAGAACTAAGATGGGAAGAAGTCAAGTTTAGCCTCCCCCCACAGTAGTACAGAGGTAGGAAAAAAAGGGCTTTCCAAGTCCTTGCAACATACACACACACATATGCACATGCACACACAGGTGCAAATTTCTCGCTGATTTCCAGACATCCCTCCTGCCTTGAACTTTAAAGACATCTTTCTATTGTGTTATGGCTTATGTGATTTCTTCTTTTTAAACTTCTAATTTAGAAATAACTTTAAACTTAAAAAAATTTGCAAAAATCATGGTCTCCACATCTACCCTTCACCCAGCTTCCAAAAATATGAAAATATCATATGACTATAATACATAACCACAGTGTATTAGTCCATTTTCACGCCGCTGATAAAGACATACCCGAGACTGGGAAGAGAAAGAGGTTTAAATGCACTTACAGCTCCACGTGGCTGGGGAGGCCTCAGAATCATGGTGGGAGGCAAAAGGCACTGCTTACCTGGTGGCGGCAAGAGAAAATGAGGAAGACGCAAAAGCAGAAACCCCCAATAAAGGCATCAGATCTTGTGAGACTTATTCACTATCACAAGAACAGTATGGCGGAACCACCCCCATGATTCAAATTATCTCCCACTGGGTCCCTTCCCACAACATGTGGGAATTATGGGAGTACAATTCAAGATGAGATTTGGGTGGGGATACAGAGCCAAACCATATCATTCCGCCTCTGGCCCTGCCAAATCTCATGTCCTCACATTTCAAAACCAATCATGCCTTCTCAACAGTCCCCCAAAGTCTTAACTCATTTCATCATTAACCCAAAAGTCCACAATCCAAAGTCTCACCTGAGATAAGGCAAGTCCCTTCTGCCTATGAGCCTGTAAAATCAAAAGCAAGCTAGTTACTGCCTAGATACAATGGGGTTACAGGTATTGGGTAAATACGGCTGTTCCAAATGGGAGAAATTGGCCTAAACGAAGTGGTTACAGGGCCCATGCAAGTCTGAAATCCAGCAGGTCAGTCAAATTTTAAAGCTCCAAAATGATCTCCTTTGAGTCCAGGTCACGTTGATGCAAAAGGTAGCTTCCCTTGGTCTTGGGCAGCTCTGCCCCTGTGGCTTTGCAGGGTACAGCCTCCCTCCTGGCTGCTTTCACGGGCTGGCGTTGAGTGTCTGTGGCTTTTCCGGATAAATGGCGCAAGCTGTCGGTGGATCTACCATTCAGGGGTCTGGAGGACGGTGGCCGTCTTCTCACAGCTCCACTAGGCAGTGCCCCCATAGAGATTCTGTATGGGGGCTCCAACCCACATTTTCCTTCTGCATTGCCCTAGCAGAGGTTCTCCATGAGCACCCCGCCCCTGTAGCAAACTTCTGCCTGGGCATCCAATCATTTCTGTACATGTTCTGAAATTGAGGCGGAGGTTCCCAAACCCTAATTCTTGACTTCTGTGCACTCGCAGGCTCTACCACGTGGCAACTGCCAAGGCTTGGGGCTTGCACGCTCTGAAGCCACGGCCTGACTCGACGTTGGCTTCTTTCAGCCATGGCTGGAATGGCTAGGACACGGGGCACCACGTCCCTAGGCTGCACACAGTACGGGGACCATGAGCCCAGCCTACAAAACCATTTTCTCCTAGACCTCTGGGCCTATGATGGGAGGGGCTGCCATGCAGACCTCTGACATGCCCTGGAGACATTTTCCCCATTGTCTTGGGGATTAACATTCTGCTCCTCATTACTTACGCAAATTTCTGCAGCCAGCTTAAATTTCTCCTCGGAAAATGGGTTTTTCTTTTCTACCACATTGTCAGGCTGCAAATTTTCCAAACTTTTTTGCTCTGCTTCCCTTATAAAACTGAATGCTTTGACAGCACCCAAGTCATATCTTGAGTGCTTTGCTGCTTAGAAATTTCTTCTGCCAGGTACCCTAAATCATCTCTCTCAAGTTCAAAGTTCCAGAAATCTCTAGGGCAGGGGAAAAGTGCCACCAATCTCTTTGCTAAAACATAACAAGAGTCACCTTTGCTCCAGTTCCCAACAAGTTCCTCATCTCGATATGAGACCACCTCAGCCTGGACCTTATTGTCCATATCGCTATCAAGCTTTTGGTCAAAGCCATTCAACAAGTCTCTAGGAAGTTCCAAACTTTCCCACATTTTCCTATCTTCTCCTGAACCCTCCAAACTGTTGAAACTTTGCCTGTTACCCAGTTCCAAAGTCGCTTCCACATTTTTGGGTATCTTTTAGGCAGTGCACCACTCTACTGGTACCAATTTACTGCATTAGTCTGTTTTCACGCTGCTGATAAAGACAAACCTGAGACTGGGAAGAAAAAGTGGTTTAATTGGACTTACAGTTCCACATGACTGGGGAGGCCTCAGAATCATGGTGGGAGGTGAAAGACACTTCTTACATAGTGGTGGCAAGAGAAAATGAGGAAAATGCAAAAGCGGAAACCCCTGATAAATCCGTCAGATCTTGTGAGACTTATTCACTATCATGGGAACAGTATGGAGGAAACTGCCCCTGTGATTCAAATTATCTCTCACCAGGTTCCTCCCACAACATGTGGGAATTATGGGAGTACAATTTAAGATGAGATTTGGGTGGGGACACAGAACCAAACCATATCACATAGTATAATGGTCAAAACCAGGAAATTGCAGTGATTCTGTATATTGTCATTATTCAAGCTTTTTTTCAGTTGTCCTACCAATATCCTTTTTTCTTGTACAGGGTCCAATCCAGGAACCCAATGTTGCATTGGGTTGTCACATTTCTTCATTCTCCTTGAGTATGGCACAGCTTCTCAGGTTTTGTCTTTCTTGACCTATGACCTTTTGAAGAATACTGGCTAGATATTTTGTAGAACGTCTTTCAATTTGGAATTTTCTGATATTTTACATGTCAACTTTAGGTTGTACGCGTTGGGCACAAATATGGCAGAGGTAATATGCCTTTCTTTGTGTATCATTTCAGCTGGCTGGCATAATTTCTGATGAGAAATCAATCCTTATTTTGATCTTTGTGCCCTGTATGTAATATATCCTTTTTTCTAGCTGCTTTTAAGATTTTCTCTTTATCTTTAGTTTTAAGGAATTTGATTATTAAAATTGATTTTTAATTATTGATTATTAAAAGAGCACCTTGGCTGGTGTTCTTTCTCCTGCTTTGGGCTTGTTGAATTTCTTGGAACTGTGAATTTATAGTTTTCATCATGTTTAGAAAATAATTTAACCATTATTTCTTAAAATATTTTCCTGTCCCCTAAACTGCCCCCTTCTGGGGCTCCAATTTCATGTGGTGATGTAATGGTGAGGGCTTAGGTCATGTGTAGTTTTATGTGCACTACTGCTGATTTTATAGCTTGTTGGGGTGATGTGTAAGAAATATTCATGCAGCTACCATTATCCTACAGTCAACCAGAATTTTATGACTTATAGAATAAATTAGCTATTTAAGGATATGAATGGCAAGATTTTTGGCACTTTGTTATTTGCCTTTTAAATTTGATTATACTTTTAAAAATGTTTGTGTGGTTGAATGTATCTATCTTTTCTTTAGTCATTTCTGGATTTATAGCATTCTTAGATAAGTCTTTCTCATTATGAGATTATTTTTAAAACATTCATTATATACTTTTTATTTTAGGATTTCAATTTTTTATATAAATCTTTGATCTATCAGGAATTGATCCTGGTGTAAGGATGACAGTGATTCTAATTTACACTGTCTTTCAGCTGGCTACCCGATTGTCCCCAAACATTTTAAATAAATGTTTTAACACAGTTTGTTTGCCCCATTTATTTGAGATGCGTTTTTTTTTTTTTTAAGAGAAGTCTCATTCTGGTGCCCAGGCTGGAGTGCAGTGGCGTGATCTCAGCTCATTTCAAGCTCTGCTCCTGGGCTCAAGCAATTTTCATGCGTCAGCCTGCTGAGTAGCTGGGGCTACAGGCGTGTGCCATCATGCGTGGCTAATTTTTTGTATTTTTAGTAGAGACGGGGTTTCACCATGTTGGCTAGGTTGGTCTCAAACTCCGGACGTCAACTGATCCACCTGCCTTGGCCTCCCAAAGTGCTGGGATTACAGGTGTGAACCACTGTGCCTGGCCTGAAATGCCACTTTTCGTTTAAAAATGAAAATTTTAAAACTGTATTGGTTAGCTTATAAAAGTCAATGATGTAAAAAGCATACTAAAAAAACAAAAACAGAAACAAAAACAAAAAAATGAGTAAGACGCATCTACAACCATCTGATCTTTGACAAACCTGACAAAAACAAGAAATGGGGAAAGGATTCCCTATTTAATAAATGGTGCTGGGAAAACTGGCTAGCCATATATAGAAAGCTGAAACTGGATCCCTTCCTTACACCTTATACAAAAATTAATTCAAGATGGATTAAAGACTTAAATGTTAGAACTAAAACCATACAAACCCTAGAAGAAAACCGAGGCAATACCATTCAGGACATAGGCATGGGCAAGGACTTCATGTCTAAAACACCAAAAGCAATGGCAACAAAAGCCAAAATTGACAAATGGGATCTAATTAAACTAAAGAGCTTCTGCACAGCAAAAGAAACTACCATCAGAGTGAACAGGCAACCTACAGAATGGGGGAAAATTTTTGCAATCTACTCATCTGACAAAGGGCTAATATCCAGAATCTACAAAGAACTCAAACAAATTTACAAGAAAAAAACAAACAACCCCATCAAAAAGTGGGCGAAAGATATGAACAGACACTTCTCAAAAGAAGACATTTATGCAGCCAACAGACACATGAAAAAATGCTCATCATCACTGGCCATCAGAGAAATGCAAATCAAAACCACAATGAGATACCATCTCACACCAGTTAGAATGGCAATCATTAAAAAGTCAGGAAACAACAGGTGCTGGAGAAGATGTGGAGAAATAGGAACACTTGTACACTGTTGGTGGGACTGTAAACTAGTTCAACCATTGTGGAAGACAGTGTGGCGATTCCTCAAGGATCTAGAACTAGCAATACCATTTGACCCAGCCATCCCATTACTGGGTATATACCCAAAGGACTGTAAATCATGCTGCTATAAAGGCACATGCACACTATGTTTATTGCGGCACTATTCACAATAGCAAAGACTTGGAACCAACCCAAATGTCCATCAATGATAGACTGGATTAAGAAAATGTGGCACATATATACCATGGAATACTATGCAGCCATAAAAAAGGATGAGTTCGTGTCCTTTGTAGGGACATGGATGAAGCTGGAAACCATCATTCTCAGCAAACTATCACAAGAACAAAAAAACAAACACCGCATGTTCTCACTCATAGGTGGGAATTGAACAATGAGAACACTTGGACACAGGAAGAGGAACATCACACACTGGGGCCTGTTGTGGGGTGGGGGGAGGGAAAGCATTAGGAGATATACCTAATGTAAATGACGAGTTAATGGGTGCAGCACACCAACATGGCACATGTATACATATGTAACAAACCTGCATGTTGTGCACATGTACCCTAGAACTTGAAGTATAATTAAAAAAAAGAAAAGAAAAAGCTAAAAAAAAAAGAAAAAATGAATAAGACGAATTCAATCATTCACCAAACAGAAACAGTGTTCCTGGCGCTGTAGGGGGTAGTATCATATTAGCGCAGTGTTAGGGCAACTGCCATAAGATGGCCCAACCCCAGCCTCTACCTGGGGTTTTGCTTCAGTGCATGTTGCTTTTGCAATAAGAAAGGAAAACCAATGAATGTTGGAACTGATTCTGTGTTACTCTCTTTTCACACTGCCATGAAGATACTACCTAAGACCAAGTAATTTATAAACAAAGGAGGTTTAATTGACTAATGGTTCCACATGGCTGGGGAGGCCTCAGGAAACTTACAATCATGGCGGAAGGGGAAGCAGACACATTTTACTGGCAGCAGATGAGAGGGACAGTGTGTACAGGAGGAAATGTCAAACAATTATAAAACCATCAGATCTCATGAGAACTCACTATCATGAGAACAGCATGGGGGAAACTACCCCCATGATCCAATCACCTCCCTCCCTGGACACATGGGGATTACAGGCTTCTCCCTCCACATATGAGGATTATAATTTGAGATGAAATTTGGGTGGGGACACAGAGCCAAACCATATCACACACATCTGCTGAGTCTCCTCCTATCTTTCTAGAGTAAGACTCCACTGTTCACCCACAACAGGCTTCCAGCGTCAGCTGCTCTGGTGGGGGCCCAGAAATGTCCAACCCCTGCCCCGCCCCCCCCGCCCCAGGAAACTTTAAAGACTAGAAACCTTAAAAGACCTTCAGTATCTTAGCTCTCATGGACCTGGCTGGGATTCTGTCCCTTTCCCACATACCTCCCTGCACCGCCCTGACCCCTAAGACCCATGACAAATTAAAGATGCCACATTCGTCTGCAGTTGTCAGGGCTGTTAAATCAAGTTTAGCCTAATGCGGCCTCCTTACATATTTTAAATTTGGCCTAAAGATTTCTCAGTACATCATGAACTATAACAAGTAGAGGGACGAACAGACCATAGCCTACACTTGTGCCAGTCACCGAGTTTTGGCTGATCAAAAGTAGCCAAATAAGACAAACATCAACCTATAACCAATCCGGCTGTTTCTGTTCCTCTCTTCTGTTTTCTGTACATCACTTTCCTTTTTCTGTCTGTAAATCTTCTTCCACCACGTGGCTGCACTGGAGTCTCACAGCTGAGGAGGCTGTCCGATTTGCGAATCATTCATTCCTCATTTATACTTTAGATTTAGTTCAGCTGAAGTTTGTCTTTTATTAGGGAAGAGGGGAGGGTTTGTTGGCCAGAGGAGTTGCTCCTCCTGTGGCAGTACCAGGTGTTATGACCTGAATGTTTGTGTCTCCCCAGATTGATACATTAAAACCAAATCCCAAAGTTGATGGTGTTAGAGTTAGAGCTTCTGGGAGGTGATTAGGTCATGGGTAAAACTCTCATGAATGCGATTAGGACCCTTATAAAAGAGGCCCCAGAGAGCTTTCTCTGCTCTTTCTGCCTTGTGAGGACACAGCCAGAAGATGCCACCCCTGAACCAGGAAGCGACCTTCCCCAAAACCCAACAAGGCTGGCTTCTGATCTCAGACTTCCAGCCTCCAGAACTGTGAAAAATGCATTTCTGTTGTTCATGAGCCTGTGGTGCTTTGTTATGGCAGCCCACATGGATGAAGATGCCAGGCCTGGGGATTTGCAAACACCACTTTAACACAGTAACCTCCAGAACGCCCCTGCCCTTCTCTTTAACCACACCGGTCATCAGAGTCGCAATGACATTTATTAAAAGATGCCTAAAGTTAGACACAACTCTGGTTGGAGGGAGAAGAACTTGGAGGAGATTGGGGGAAACCTCCCGCTCTCCAAAACATTTCTGTGGGATCCCTGGTTCCCAAAGTCAGACAGTGCTGAGGCTCTGGGTGGGTGGTCTCTTACACTGGGTTCATAACCCTCGCCAGGAAAAGGCTGCTCCAGGTGAAGTGGTCGAAGATCATGATGATGAAGGGCTGGTTGAAACGCAAGATGATAGGCTTGGACGTCAGGTTTAGGGTGACCCCAGTGGAGCCAGCTGTGTCCACACCCTCCTCATTGAGTTGCAGCACAGCTTTATGGACCACCTGTTAGGTACAGAATGAAGATGGGTAGTGAGACCTGCTGTGCGTTCTCGCTTTCCTGACTCATTGCTGGGACCCTTCACATCCTTGGTTTTAGGAAGGTAAATCCAGGGTCAGAGAAGGTCACTTGCTGGATTCTTATCCAAGTGGCAGCCCCAGGATTACACAGCCCAAGTCTGTCCACCTCCAGAACCTGGGCCGCACCTACACTTCCTATTCAAAGGGCAGATTGGGCCCATCACATGGAGATTAGAAGTCTCATGGCTTGAACTGGGCTTCACTGTCCATGTTGGGCGCTTCTTACCATCCTGGGGTAGCGGAGGGAGATCTTGCTCCCTTTCCACTCTGCTGGGTAAATGCTAGGGTTCAAGTTATGCAAAGTGCCTATGTCTGTTCTGTTTGGGAAAGCTGAGGCAGAATCTAAAAATGTAAATCTTTGACTGTTGATATGTCCTTGTTGTGATCAAAATTAGGAGGAGTTCTGAAGTCAGCAAAACGTCTGCCTAGCTTGTATCAAAAGACTCTGGTAACTCATAACCTGGCTAAATAAGTAACAGGTGATATTGGTGAGCTCACAACACCCTAAGGGGTGGGAACTTCCAGCGACTCTTTCCAGCAAGCACACTCAGGCTCTGGTGGCTCTGTGAGTGGCACCCATGGCTAGGAAGAAGCTGAGCTGGGATTGGAACCCCTGCAGTGTGTCTTGAGCAGATGAGGTTTTGAGTCAACAGGCCTGAGATCAAACATCAAACTGTTATTTACTAGCTCTGTGACTGTGGGGAAGCTGCATACCCTCCCTGAGCAGGAGATTCCTCATCTGAGAAATTGGGATAATACCTGCCTTCTGAGAAGGCAGCTGTGTTGACTCAATCCACTCACACAGCACGCATTTTACTGAGCACATATTACGTGCCAGGTACCACGGAGGCCACAAAGTCCTGTGTCTTGAGGTCAGGGGCCACACATCTGAGTAACGGGGGCATACACAGGGCCTACACAGTTTGGGATATATAGTAGGTGTTCAGTAAACATTTTCTGAATGCATGAATAACAGAACATAAAGCTGAAGGATTTATGTAATTGAATGGATGTAATTGGGTAGAAGGCTCAATATGATCCCAATTAGACATTTACCACTTTTCCTGTTTCTTTTTGCCAGGGGCCACTCACAGCTCTGCCATGACAACTTGGTTTTCACAGTTCCCCTCTGTGTGGTCTGGTGGGATGGGTAGGTGCCTGGCCTGTGGCCCTCCTGTGTCGACAGCTTCCTGTGTGATCTTGGGGATGTCATGTTTTCTTGCTGAGCCTCCATTTACCTCATGGTGAGACAAGGGGCTTTGACTCAACCTGGGGTTCTCAGCCAGGGACCTAGAGGCTCATTCATGAACGAACTCAGTGCCACTTCCTAGTATTATATTTATATTGTGAATTTTGGAGGGGGAAGAAAAGGTGGGTTCCCATGACATTTACCTTTGATGACTTCAGCTGGGCGTCCTGGGTGATGCGTGAGAAATTTGCCTGGTTGGTGAACAAGTCTGCAATGCCCATTTCCTCCAGCACATCTCCGAGGTCATAGACTCCAGAGATGGTGACCTTTGGAATGTACAGGTCCACCTGGCTGCTCGGGGTAAGCAGACAGAGTTAGACATTCCAGGGCTGGGCCTGGCAGAGGGGAGAGCAGCACCTCTTCTCCTGGCCAGACTCTTATTTCCTCATGCGCTCCCTCCAGCTCCTGCCCTCCAGCCTGACTTGCTCTTTGTGGGTAGGAGAAGGGACAGAGCAGGAGGCAGGATCTGTCTCTGCCTCCATGACACAGGCAGCTTTCCCACGGGGCCTCTGAATTGCACATTCTTTTCTTCTCTGCAATTCCTTCGAGCTGATTCCACCTGGGATGCAGCTGGACCATGGAGCATTTAAGACAATAGTCCATAATGAAGCCTTTTTAGTCCCAGGAGAACCCCTGCTAGAAGCAGAGGACTGGAGGGAGTGCCCAGCTGGGAGCAGTGGTCCCTGGCTCCAGCTGTGCCACTAATGCTGTGTGGCCTTTGCCAAGTCCAGCCCCTCTCTGTGCTAATGTCCTCACCTGCACACAAAGGTGGTTGAACACAGGCTCTCCCAGGGCAGGTGGGTGCGAAATCTCTGTGATTCTGCAAGAATCTGATTCAGCTGGCAGTTTCTACCAGATGAAGCAGGTGGGGTTTCTAGAAAGGTAAGTGGGGTCACACTAGGGGCAGCACGGGCATCTACGCTTTTTAACATGTCAAGGCCTTAGTGTTATTTTTAAATTCTTCTTGTGCCTTCTCCCCAGAGGGAGAGCAGATGTCTAAAACACTGAAACTGAGGGGTGTCAGTGAACTCGCACCGGCTCTCTTGGCAGATGGGAGGGAAGGCACGAGACCCTCTCCTCACTGAGCAAAAGCAGCCCTGAGTGAGGCCCGGAGGCTGGCAACCATCCTGCGTGAAGTGGAAGCCGCCCTTTTCTAAAGGAGAGGGAGAAGAACCAGAGGCGAGTCGGTGTGTACCTTCTCCAGGTGCGGAAATAGTAACAGAAAGAAAGGAAGGGAGACCAATTTATCCCAAACACCTGGTCTATGTTCTTTACTTTTTTTTTCTCCTCTCTCTGTCTCTCTCACACATGCATGTGCACACACACACATACGCACCTATGAAGTCGGAATCAACATCTTTAATTTCCAGGTTGAGAGACCAACACTTAAGAGAGGTTGAGGAATTCCCCCAAAGTCACACAACTGGGAGGCAACAGAACTGAAAAGGCCAGGACTAGTTTTGCCATCTGCCGCCTGCTGCGTTGTTGACAGCTCTCTGAGAGCAAGGTGATGGGGCTTTAAGTTATGTATTATTGATTAATGTTGCTCACATTGAAGTATTTTCATGAAAAGATTATTTTTGGTGTAAAGAAAGATAGATAGTCCTTCCCGTCATTTTCAGTGGAGTATGAGCTGGAATGCATTGTTTGCATCATGGTGCGTTATCACCCCCTTGTGGTATTACACCTAAATTACAGGTTTTCTTTGGTGGGTAGAAAGGAGGAAGAGATGGCAAATGGATCCCTAGCATCGCCCAGACACAGGTTCACACCCACGCATATATATGTGTACACACTCAAGCGTAGTTATGGATGGTTTAAGAACTGTGTCCTCCACATAGCTATAGGGGATTGCTCAGAAACACAGGGCTGACTACATGACTTCCCTACAGGAGAGAAGTCAAATTCCCAGACACTTCCATGTGCATTCACAGAACTGGATGAACTTCTCTAGAAGCACCCAGCATCAAATAGATCTCTGAAGGTATCATTCAAAATGAAAACAATCTGAAACCATAAACCACAAAACCTACATGTTAATAAAGTAGAGGAGCTTCCTCCTAGATTATCTACTGCAAAATTTTTAGACCACAACATTTGTCCAAGCCAAATTTGTCTTCATTACTGCTGGCCCTGCATTGTTGGCACTCTGGGCATGGTCCCCTGACTTCATGTCGGGTCTGGAGGCCACTTCCCCCTGGCTGAACTTCCATTCACACTCAAAGCAGTTTCAAGGGAAAACAACCTGCTCTGCAGCCCTTCCCCATTCCCGGGCAGAGTCAGGCATTCCCACCTCCCAACCAGTGGCATGTTACATATCTCTGTCTGTCTCTCTCAGAACTCACATTGTCGTACCACTATTAATTCCACCAGAATCTGTTTTCTGCTCTAGAGTGCATGTCTTTAAGGGCTCTGTTTTGTCCTATTCACCACTCCATCCCCTGTGCTTAGCTAGGGCATGGTACATAGCAAGTGCTTCCGTTTATGTGCATTGAATGAATGAGCGAATGAAATGCACATTGAATGAATGAATGAGTGAGTGAGTGAATGAAATGCTGCCTGATCCACCAGCCTTCCTGAGCTACTCCAGATCTACATTCCCACTCTCTCCTCAGCATCCCCCCTGCTTCTGAGTCTGCATCAGCCCCCCTGCCACCAGGTTTCATGCTGGTTGGCATTTTCTGACCCTTCTGCACAGATGGAACTTGAATCTCCCTGAGAGTGAGGACCATGTTCTAAGAACACCTCCTTCCTCCTTTAAGGTGAGGAGCAGGGCTGCGCACTTGCATGACAATAATTTCAATTACTGTCTAGCTCAGGGGTGCTTAGGGGGAAAATCTCATTTGTTTGTGCATCTGTCCATCCATCCAACCATCCACCCATCCATCCGCTCACTCATGCATCCATTTACTTATTCATTCATCCATTCATTTACTCATTCTCCATTCACTCACTCACCCATCCATTCACTCACTCACCATTCTATGCACTCACTCACCATTCTATGCACTCACTCACTTATTCATCCATTAATTCACTCACTCATTCATTCTTCCATCCATTCACTCACCCATCCATTCATTCAGGCATTCATTCATTCATTGCTGACTCACATCCTCAGCTGACCTTGCCTGAGTGTCAACCCTGCACCAGCCCCTTGCTTGGGCCTGAGGTCAGAGATAGAGGGAATCCATTGGCCGCTTCTCCTCCTGGCTACTGCCTCTTCAGGATATGCAGCCCTTGCTTTCTTTCTACTTACTCGCTTATTACCTACTTTAGCCTTGCTTTCTTAGTTGTTTACTGATGATTGATTGATTGAAGAGTTAGATGCCCTGAGTAACTTAAGAACCATTCATAGATTTTGCATTGGCTCCATGATGTATACATTTCATTATCATTTTCATTATATTTCTATGGGGTCTTCCAAGAATCTTTAGCAGGGCGTGGTTTCAGGTAAGCAAGATAACAAAACAGATAAGTGTGTAGCTGGGTGGTTGGTGAACTTACTTTAAGAAAATGCTACAAAAATATGACAATGCAGAGGGTATGTATGAACCTCACAGGGAAAGGGAACCTCACTCTGTGAAATGCCCCAAAGTATTTCAGTGTTGATGGACAGATCAATAAATAAGCGTGAGCTCTAGATTAGGGAAACTTACAGCCTTTGGGGGCCCAGCAGACAGGAAAACTGAGCCCTGGAGGGTGAGTCCAGGGAAGGAAGGATGCCCCAGCATACTCCCTTTCCACGTGCCCCACTTTCTGGGGACACGTGCATTGCAGAAATCAACATGATGGCTGGAGGACTTACCTGCTGGTCAGGCCTGCGGACCACCTGTTAATCGTGTCCCGGCTCAGTGCAGCGATGACTGTGTTCATCTTCCCCTTGTCCGGAAGGATGAAGAAGACAGTCCCATTGCCCACGTAGTTCATCTGCACCAGCTGGCAGGGGAGCTCCGAGTCATGAAGGTAACTGATGGTGCTCGACTGCAACATCATGGGCACCTTCACCACAGTTGTCTCGTCCACATAGAAGTTCTCCTCCCTGGTGCTTGCCAGGTCAAAGGGCTGTGTCCATGTGCCTAGGAAGAGGAGGAGACAGGTCTGTAGGGCAGAGAGGAAAACACAGTTCCAGGTGATCTCACGGGCCTACTATCCAAGTGACACAGTGGCCTTCTGCATGCTTGGAATGTCCCCATTCAAGCCTCAAGGGTTTTTAGGTAAGATATAAAAATTCCCAGAAATTTAAATCCTGTTTCATCCTCTACTTCTTGGAATGGGTTGAGGATGAGCTCTGTTTCTGAGACTGGCTTCTAAACAAGGAAGTAGGGAGAGACCAAGAGGGTACTGGTCCTTGGATTTGGGGGTAGGTCAGACTGTGCCTTGGCTCCCCATGCCTAGAGTGGGTCCCAGTTCTGAGGGCTCTGGAAGTGGTGCTAGACCTCAAGTCTCAAACTCAGAGTCCCTGGTGGGAAGCGAGGGGGCCATCTCCACCCCTGCCAGCCTGGCCGGCCCAGCTGAGGCTCCTGACCCTGCTGAATGGTCCTTCCTTCTAGGCCACGTTGTCCTAATGAAGAGTCAGGGTGAGAAGACTCCTTCAGGGTCACAGACTCCCACCCCCAGCAGGCCCTCAAGTCCCATCTACCATGTTCCAGGGTGCCACCATCCAGCTTGTTTTTTTGCCTTGAGATGGAGAGCTCACTACCTTCACAGATGGGACTTGGCGGTACTCGTCAGCTCTGATGGGAAGAAAATTGCTCCTCAGACTGAGCCAAAGCCTGCCTGATTGTCCGCCACCAGCAGGACCTCTTCTGTTCTTCTGAACTTATTCCAGACAACTGAGTCCACCTGCAGGAAACTTACCTGGGCTGAGTGTCACAGGGTCTCTCTGCTCTAGGTGACGTCTCCCCAGTCTTAAAGTGATGACTGAGGCCCTTGAGTCCAGCAGATCCCAGGTGTCCTGGCTGCCATTGACCACAAGCCCTGAAGCCCTTGCCAGGCCACCATTTCCCAGCCCAGGCTCCCTAAAGGTGGCCAGAACATCACTCCAGGTAGCCCTTTCTCCATCCTACTGTCTGTGGGATCTATGGATTGCTCAGCCAAAATTCTTGGTTCTAAGCCAGCCACAAACCTTTTGTAATAGCTACTTATGGAGACAACAGGGAGAGGCTGATGGATGTAGAGAAATCAGCCATGGCTGCGGAGTCTAGAGACACCAGAGCTATGCTGGTCCCTTCTTAATGACCTCACTAACCTTGATGTCTGCAGACACTGGCCAATGGTAGTAAACTCACCGTCCGTCTGTCTCACGGCAAATGAGATTATTTGAGGGTTCTCAAATCATCCTCCAAAGGAGGTCTAAAATCCTCAGAACCAGAGGGCAGTTGTATTTTGTGGCTAACTTACAGCAAAAAAACAAAGTGGGTAAAATATTTTTCATTGTTAGGTTTTTTTCGTCCTTAACATTTTGCTGCTTGCTTTTTATGGAGTATTTCTTTTCTAGGAGTAAGCATAATGTATATAGTTTGACACAAAACAAAATACAAAATGGGGTTCAGCCTCTACTTTAAGGGATCTATTCTCAAAAAGTTCTAGGAGAATTGGTGGTAGAGAAAGAATTTATTGGGGACGATCTGAGAGAGCAAGGATGGCTCCTCTGGAAAATCTTTTAACAATATTTTTAATGTTATTAAAAAAAAACTGTCAAGAAAGTCCGATAAATAACACATCAGGTGCTGGGTGCGGTGGCTCACACCTGTAATCCCAGCACTTTGGGAGGCCGAGGCGGGTGGATCATGAGGTCAGGAGATCGAGACCGTCCTGGCTAACGTGGTGAAACCCTGTCTGTACTAAAAATACAAAAAAATAAAAAAATTAGCCGGGTGTCATGGCAGGTGCCTGTAGTCCCAGCTACTCAGGAGGCTGAGGCAGGAGAATGGCATGAACCCGGGAGGCGGAGCTTGCAGTGAGCCAAGATTCTGCCACTGCACTCCAGCCTGGGCAACTGAGCAAGACTCCGTCTCAAAAAAAATAAAAATAAATAAATAAATAAATAACACATCAGGGCCATTTTACATATTCTACATTTAGTGATAATACCTACACTAATCTTGATTTCTGTTTATTATCCTGGCTTGCTAGAAATATTTCAGAGTATTTTGCCAAAAGTTTTAACCAAACACTCACGGATTCGTTTTGTTGTATTATAGAAAATCTGTGTACAATGAGGCATTTCATCTCCATCAATGTCTGGTCCTGCATTCAGGTGTTCCAAGTTTCTCTGATTTTGTAACCTAAAGCTGTGATCTCCTATCCACTTAGCCCCACTGTGGTCCTGAGGACACTGTGAAACCTCGTACAGAATGACACCAGGCCAGCACCCGTTCCACCAACACCCATTCCACCACATGTGCTCAGGCATCTCTCAGGCTCAGGAGGGCCCTCCCTGCACCTGGGTTTACTGTGCCTTTTCCCCAGGTTGTGTTGCCTGAACCTCTGTGCAACCACTGCTGAGCTTGTTCCATGCACCAAGCATTAAACAAGGGCACTGGAATCTCCCAAAGAGACAAAGATACCCTGCACAAGAGTGCACAGTCTCGTGGGGGAGATGGTCTATGGAATTTGTGGGAGCACACAGAAGAGTTTCTGGGCAAATGTTCCCAGCCTCCCTGGCCCTCCCATAGTCAGGTGTTAGGAAGGCTGCCTTTGCCTGGTCAGCCTCTCAGCCTCACCATCCTGCGAAGAGGGCGGCCTCTCCTGGGAGTTCCCAGCCTTGTGCTGGAGAGCAGGAAAGACCCAGAGGCAGGTAGAGAAGAAGGACTCGTAGAGATGCTAAGGCAGTCCAGGCAGTAAGGAGGTGCGGGATGGGAGGGGAGGTGGGCACAGTCTGATGGGAGGTCCTGAGAGAGAGCTGGGGAGGAGGGGAAGGGGGCATGAGGGGTCCTGGCTGGGGATCACATCTCCTCTGATCTGATGATCTTGTCGAGAGACACATGTTCAGTAGAGATACTGGCTTAGTTTGCTTATTTTGGCTGTTTTACCTGCATTCCTTTGAATATGATTGCTTAACTGAAACTCAACCACCTGGGTGCTAAACAACATGTTATGGCAAGATGATTGCCCAAACAAGGCATGGGCAAACTGTTGAGCATGCATATGAGGGCAAAGTCTTTCCTGGGTGACTCTGGGGAGGCTTCACAGAGGAGGTGACTTTTGAGCTAAGATTTGAAGTGAGGGAAGATGTTTTAGGCAGTCAGATAAGTTGCAAGAGGGCTCATGAGACAGAAGAGGCCTGGGCTTTGTGGCAGGCAGAATAACAGCCCTCCAAAATGTCCACATTCTAATCCCCAGAACTTGAGAATATGTTAGCTTTCATGTCCAGGGGGAATTAAAGTTGTAGAGGGAATCATAATTGCTAATCGGCTGGCCTTGAGATGGGCAGCCTATTCTGGATCACCCAGGTGGGCCATTATCCAGTGTAATCCTGAGGGTTCTTGTAAGTCAAAGAGGAAGGCAGGAAAGTCAGAATCAGAGAGATGTGATGAGGGAAGCAGAGGTGGGAATTTGCAATTACTGGCTTTGAAAATAAGAGAGGCCCACAGGCCATGTGGCTTCTAGAAGCTGGAAAAAGCCTGGAAGTGCATTCCCCCCTAGAGCTTCCAGGTTTTTATGAACAGGAAGATTGAAAAACTGAAGCAGGACCTGGTCAGAGCAGTGTGTGCAGGATGGCTTTGGGGGCATCTGGGAGTTCCCAAGGGGCTGGGTGGGGTTCTGTCTAGTTCTAGGCCATTTTTCCAGTCCCTGGCCCAGTGCTTGACAGTCAGCATTTGTGGAGCATGAAGCAGCCAGACTGTTCATGGTTACAGGTGTGGGCCTCAAACCAACCTGCCAGAATGTAGGCACATTGTTCAACCCTTCTGGGTGTCATTTTGATCTTTTGTAAAATAATATAATTCCACCTACCCAGCAGGATTGTGGTGAAGATGGAGATTCCCAGATGTGTATGTGCTTTACAGAATCAAAGACTTTGCCCAAGAGTGTGCCCTGGATTTTAGCGGCTGTTATTCCTGGCCATAGTGGATGGGCCTTCAGATGGGGATGGGTGGGAATACCTTTGAAGAAGATATAGTTGACCAGGACGAGGATGGCTGGGCTATCCAGCCCTGAAAACAAGTCGACAATTTTCCCCTGTGTCTTATTCTTGACATAGCTGTTGATCTGTCTGCTGGCTGTTGCCCAGTCCTGGAAATTCATAGCCAAGACCTCTGACTCATAGTAGTGCTTGATGTCTGCTGAGAATGACTCCAGCAACTCCAGGCTGCCATCAAGAAACAAGGCATTGCCCATGGTCATTTCTAAGCTGGTGTCTGACTTTGCAAAGAGTTGGTGCAGGTGCTGGAAACCCTGGTGGATCTCAGTCTCAGACCTCTCAGTGAGGTTGAAACCCAGGCCCTGGAGAAGCTGGGCCCGTGTGTGGCCACAGGTGCCCAGGGACAGCATAGCTAAGGCCATGGAGATGCTCACAGGGGAGATGAAAATGTTCTTTTTGGGACTCAAGGCCACTAGGTGCTTATACAGGCTGAAGGCAAAGTCAACGTTGGCTGAAGCCAGGCCCCGGTGATGGTTACTCATGTTCACATAAGCAGCGTTAGGATCCATGGCCTGGACGGTCCAGAGGCCGCTGGTGGGCAGCCAGAGAAGACAGGTGTACAGGAGGAGTGGCATTGTCCAGTATAGCCAGGCCCTGCCAAATCAGAAAAGCTTGTTAGATGCTGTGGCAGTCTCTGAGTCAATGGGGCGTAGTGCAAGAGGAGGCAGGCAAAAGACCCCATTCAAGCCCCAGTTCCTTCCTCCACACTGGCTGTGTGACCTGGAGCACATCACAGAGGGCGCTGGACTTCAGTTTCCTCATCTGGAGATATGAATAACAGCCGTTATGATTTATCCAGTGCCTGACAGGTACCCAACACTGATCTAGGTAGTCTGGCTATATTCAGTCATCTAACCATTACCAAAACACTCCTAAAGCAAGTATTATTAACATGATTTTAGGCAGGCAGAAATAGGTGCTCAGAAAGGTTAAAACCCACCCAAAGGATATGTTCAAAATGCTGGAAGAAAAGCAAAACACAATTAAAGCATTCCCAGAAAAACAAAAGCTGAGTAAGCTTTTTTCCACAATACCTACCCTGCAAGAAATGAGAGGCATTTTATTTCGGATTGAAATGAAAGGACACTGGACAGTAACTTTAAGCTGAATGAAGAAATAAAAGACCTCTGGTAAAGGTAGATGCGTGGGCAATTATAAGTTATGTTTTTGGGCACATGATGTGTAGATATAATTTGTTACATCAGTAACTGGAAACAGGAACAGAGCTATAAGGAAGCAGAGCTTTTGTATGCTATTGAAGTAAAGCTGGTTATATCAAATATACTATGGACTAAATGTATTATGAGCATACATATTACATTTTGGTTTAATTTATTTTCTCTATTGTTTTTCTATTCTTGATTTTATTTATCTCTGCTCTAATCTTTATTATTTCCTTCCTTCTGCTATTTTTCAGTTTAGTTTGCTCTTTTTCTAGTCTCTAAATTATAAACAAAGACTAAAAATTATTTTTACACATTAGCCTTCTAAAATATGATCCAAATATATGCTGTCTACAAGAGACTCATTTTAGATCCAAAAATGTAAATAGACTGACTGAAAGTGAAAGGATGGAAAAGTTACCCCATGCAAATAGTAATCAAAAGAGAGCAGGGGTGACTACACTAATATTAGACAAAATAGATTTTGAATTAAAAAAGTTCCAAAAGACAGGGCAATGACATATTAATAAAGTTTTCAGTACAGCAAGAAGATATAACATTTTTGGTTCTTCATTTCCTATATTACTGTCCTTTTTTGTATTTAGTTTTTGTACTGAAATGCTTTTTTGTATTGAAACACTTTAATAATTCTATTCTCATCCCTTTGTGGTTATTATGGGGATTACATTAGCATCCTAAAGTTAACACCTGAATTTGAATATATGCCATTGTTTATTTGAGATCTTCTTGTTTTTAATGTGTTTACAGCTTTACATTTCTATCATCACACTGCTTTCACTCATTCCATAAGTTTTGGTATGTTGTGTTTCCATTTTCGTTTGTCTTTAAGTATTTTCTAATTCCCCTGGTGGTATCTTTTTTGATCCTCTGGTTGATAAAGAGTGTGTTGTTTTTTCCACAATTTGTAAAATTTCCAGTTTTCCTTCTGTTATTGATTTCTAACTGCATCTCATTGTGATTGAAGAAGATACTTAGTATGATATCTGTCTTTTAAAATCTATTGACTCTTGATCTGTGGCCTAACATAGGGTCTATCTTGGAGAATGTCCTATTTGCACTTGAGAAGAATGTGTATTCTGTTGTTGTAGGGTGTTCTGTATAGGTCTGATACATCTAGCTTTTAGTGTGATATTCAAGTTCTCTATTTTCTTACTTATTTTATGTCTGGTTGTTCTATCCATTATTGAGAATGAGATATTGAAGTGTCTAAATTGCTGTAGAACGATTTCACCCTTCAATTATGTCCATTTTTGCTCAATTTATTTTGTCCCAGACACACTCAAAAATAATGTTTTACCAGCTGCTAAGGTTTGAATGTTTGTGTCCCCACAAATTCATATGTGGAAACCTATTCATGGGGGCTCTACCCTCATAAAAGGAATTAGTGCCTACATAAAAGAGGCCTGTGGCAGTATTTCTGGAAGAAATTGGCATATGAATCAGTGGATTGAGTTAAAGACAGCCACCTTTACCAATATGGGTGGGCATTTTTAATCTATTAAAGGCTGAATGGAACAAAGAGGTAGGAGAAGGGCAAATTCTCTCTTCTGTCCCTGAGCTGGACATCTGTGTTTACCAGCCCTGAACACTGGGCCTCCTGCTTCTTGGACCTTTAAACTCTGGGACTTAAACCAGCAGCCTTATTAGGCCCTTTTCCTATTGTGGAGCTGCACCATTGGCTCCTCCGGTTGTCAGGCCTTCAGACTCAGACTGAATTACATGGCTGGCTTTCCTGGGTCTCCAGCTTGCAGATGGCAGATTGTGGGACTTCTCAGCTTCTGTAATTACATAAGGCAATTCCCATAATGCCTCCTCTTATATATATTTCTATATATCCTATAGATTCTGTTTCTCTGGAGAACCCTGACTAATATAATGGATTAAATTAATTTTGAGAGCCTACTAATAGGATTATATGCCATACCCAATTTGGATTTATTTCTGTAATGCAAGGATGTTTCAACATACAAAAATTGATCAGTGTAATACATCATATTAACAAAATAAAAGAAAAAATCACATGATCATCTTAATTGGTGCAGAAAAAAGTATTTGACATAATTCAACACACCCTCGCATGATAAAAACACACAGCAGATTGAGACAGTCAAGTGTAAAGAGGTGCCTGGAGAACATTCAGTTGGCCTGCACACTGGGAGAATGGGGTGGAGCTGTGGGAAGTTTGTGCCCTTTGCAGCGGGGAGGAGCTTGGCCTCTCTCTCCTGATCCGATGTGGTAATCTGGGGATTCAGTCAGTCAGATGAGGGCCTGTTAACAGGACTCTCTCTTGCTTTGCTGAGTTGTTTTCCTTTTCACCCAATAAATTCCATTTTATTCACACCTCAAAGTGTCTGTGAGCCTAATCTTTCATGGCCATGTGACAAGGACCCCGTGTTTAGCTGGACTAAGTAGAAAGTCCTACAACAAAATTAGTAATAGAAGAAAACTACCTCAACATAATCAAGACTACGTATTTATAAAACCTTTTATACTCAATAGTGAAAGACTGAAAGCTTTTCCCCGAAGATCAGGAACAAAACAAGGATGCTTGTTCTCACTACTTTTACCTAATATAGCACTGGAATTTCTAGCCAGAGCAATTGGGCAAGGAAAGAAAAGGTATCCATATTTGAAAAGAAGAAGTAAAATTGTCTGTGTTCACAGATGACATGATCTTATATGTTCAAAACCCTAAAAATTCTATAGAACTCATAAACACATTTAGCAAAGTTGCAAGATATAAAATCAAAACACTAACATCAATTGCATTTCCCACCACTAACAAAGAAAACAATTTGAAAAGGAAATTGAGAAAACAATTCCATTTACAATAGTATGATAAAGAATAAAATAGGGATTAATCAGGGAGGTAAGAGACATACACTGAAAAGTACAAAACAGTGCTGAAGGCAATTAAAGAGGACATAAATAAATGGAAAGACATCCTGCATTCATGGATTGGAAGAAATTGCTAAGATGATAATACTATCCAATGCAGTCTATAGATTCAATGCAATTCCTATCAAAATTCCAGTTCTGTATTTCACAGAAATAGAAAAATTTATCCTAAAATTTATATAAAAATCTCAAGGGACCTGGATAGCCAAAACAATACTGAAGAAGAACAAAGTTGAAAGTCTTGCACTTTCTGATTTCAAAATTTACTACAAAACTATAATAATCAAAACAGTGTGGTACTGGCATAAAGACATACATAGAGACCAATGGAATAGAATACAGAACCCAGAAATAAGCCTTTCATATGTAGTAAAATGATTTTGACAAGGATGCCAGACCATTCAATGGGGAAAAGACAGCCTTTTCAACAAGTGGTGCTGAAAATTTGGATATTTACATGCAAAATAATGAAATTGGACCTTTAACACCATATACAAAAATTAATTCAAAATAGATCAATGACCTAAAGATGAGTTAAAATTATAAAAATCTTAGAAAAAAACATGGGGGAAAAACTTCATGATGTTGGCTTTGGCAATGATTTCTTGAATATCACACCAAAGCCATGGGCAACAAAATAAAAAATAAACAAATTGGACTTCATCAAAATTGAAAACTTTGTTCATCAAAGGATACTATCAATAAAGTAAAAATGCAACTCACAGAATGGGAAAACATTTGCAAATTTCATATCTGATAAGGAATTGATATCCAGGATATATAAAGAACTCCTAAAACCCAAGAACAACAACAAAACAAATAAACCCAGTTAGAAATGGGCAAAGGACTTGAGTGGACATCTTTTCAGAGACAACATACAAATGGCCAGTAAGCACATGAAAAGATGCTCAGCATCACTAATCATTAGGAATATCAAAACCGCAATGAGATACCACTTTGTATCCACAGGGATGGCTACTAACAGACAAACAAAACAGAAAACAATAAGTTGGCACACCAGGCATGATGGCCCGTGCCTGTAATCCCAGCTACTCTGAAAGCTGAGGCAGGAGGAATGCTTGAGGCCAGGAGTTTGAGACCAGCCTAGGTAACATAGCAAGATTTCCTTTAAAAAAATTTTTTTTTTAATTTAAATGTTAGCATTGCATGTGGGGAAATTGGAACCCTTATGCATTGCTGGTAGGAATATAAAGTGCTACAATGTGTGGAAAACAATATGACAGTTCTTTAAAAATTAAACAAATTGTCATTTGACCCAACAATTTTGCTTCGAGTATATACACCAAAGAACTGCAAGCAGCTAGTCAAGGAACTTGAAAAGATAATTGTAGACCAAAGTCACAGCAGCATTATTCACCATAGCCAAAAGATGAAAACAACCCAAATGTCTATCAATGGATGAATGAATAAACAAAGTCTGGTATAAACATACAATGGAATACTATTCAACTTTAAAAAGGAATGAAATTCTGACATTTCCTACAACATGGATGAACCTGGAAGACATTATGTTATGTGAAATAAGCCAGACACAAAAGGACAAATAGAGTCTAATTCTACACCTAGAGTAGCCGAATACCTAGGGACAGAAGTAAAATTGTGGTTACCAGGGGCCGGGGCAACGGGAGATTGGGGAGTTATTGTTGAGTGGGTATAGAGTTTCAGTCTGGGATGATGAAAAAGTTCCGGACATGGAAGGTGGTGATGGTGGCACAACAATGTGAATGTACTTTTATGAACTGTATGCTTGTAGTTAAAACGTTAGGTATTATATTTTCCCACAATACAAATTTAAGGAAAAAATTAAATATAAATGATTTAAAAAGAGTTCCATAAGAGCAATTAAAAAAAATCCACCCAAGGTTGGAATCAGTCGGTGGACACTGCCTGCCTGCAAGGTTAGTGGTTTCAGGCCCTGTGCTGTGTGGAGCTACCTGTATCACAATAAATACAGGATGCTTACAGGAGAAGCAGGTCTTACTGCACCACCCACTGTTGAACCAGCCATTCTGGGTGAGGGGCTGGGAACCCTCATTTAAACCAGTGCTCCAGGAGGTTGTGTTGTGTTAAATTAAATTAAAGATGGGCTAAAGCTGCCTCCTCATGTAGCAAACTGTAACCTAGCTTAATATGTAAACAAACTGCACCTAACTTGAGAGTATATGTTTGTAACAAGTAACCAAGTCTCAGCCAATCATAGCAGCTGAACTTTCAGTCAATCACAGCCTGCCAACTGCTCAGACATGTTCAAACAAGGCAAACACAGAGCTGTAACCTATCAGCCTATGTGTGTATGTCACTTCCTTCTTCTGCCTGTAAATACTGCCTACGTTGCTGGGTGGCACTCTCTGAACCTTTACTGGTTTAGGGTGCTGTGTGATTCATGAATTGTTTCTTTGCTCAAATAAACTCTGCTACGTTTAATTTGTCTAAAGTTTTCTTTTAACAGGTGCGCTCCGAGCGTGGGAACCACTGTTCTGCTCTGGAATTCCCTAGAGGCCCCTTCCCTGGTGTGTTCCAAAAGCAGAATCTCAAGAATGACAGGTGGGAACTCCCCCGCAAAACCCTTAGTTCTCCTGAGTCTCCCAAAACCCTCCTTGCGTGTCTCCCTTATCTCACCAGGGTGGAAAACAACCCCTGTTGGCTGCTCTAGCCCCTAGTTCTCTGCTTTAGATAATAGAGGCAGGTGTGACCTGCTCCCCACTCCCCGCACCCAAATGATGGGCTTTATTGAATTCTCCATCGGGTTTCTGACTTGGATTTCTGGGTCCTCGCGACAATTCTTTTGTCGCGAAACCCAGAAAAGATCCTGGGTTTCGTGGCAGATCAAGCTGGATTGGGGCCCTAGCACTGCCATGTATGAATTAGGTGATGTGGGACAGGCTACTTAAACTCTGCCTCAGTTTCCACAGTATAAAATAGAGCTGATAATAACACCTCTAGCCTTACCCATTTTTCTGGTGTTTGTCTATTCTCCAGTGCCTCTGCACAGCCTCCTCATCTCTCTCAGGACTCAGCAGTAGCCCCTACCTCGTCTCCCTGCCTCCTGTTCAACTCCCTCCAGCCCTTTTACCCATCTGCAGCTGCATCTTTTTAAATTCTCAAAAATTCAAGCTGATCGGTTCTGCTTTGAAGTTTTCAGGGACTCCCCATTGCCCACCACAGGGCTGATTCTCACTAATGTAGCCCAGGGGGTCTTTGTGACCCAGTCCCTGGTGACAGTTCTGCCTCCAGCCTCAAATCTGGCCCTTTGGGGTCTCAGCCACAGCAACACTGGGTGCCAGGGGTTCTTCCAGCACACATCAGCCTTTTCTCCCACTGTGGGGCAGGGCAGGGCATGTCACATCACTATAGGGCAGGTTACAGCAAGACAGGTCACTGCAGTTCCCCAGGGCAGGTCATTTTGATTTTTCCATGTTTGCTGAGCCCAGCTCTGGACTGGGAGCAGGGAACAAAGATGGATCTGCCTCAGTCCTGCCTATGTGGCTCCAGTCTGTAGGTCCCTCATCTCCCTGCCTCATCTGGCTCACTCCATCTTGTCCTTTGAGACTCAGGTCCCAGGTCACCGCCTCCAGGAAGCCTTGTATCTGTGCTTCTCTATGGCCTTGCCCCATGACAGGCAGTGAAATCTTTGCTTAGCTTTGGTCACTGCCATACCTATCTGGGATCTCCTCTCAGGCACAGGCCCTGTGCGGTATGATGCCAATGGTAGGATGGGCTCCCCTGCCAGCTCTGGGGAGATTGCATGTCTCACCTTCTCCTGCGTTAATTCTCTAAGATGAGGGTGAAAACTCCATCCACCCCACAATATTGTTGTGAATACCAGACGTGGCTGTTATCAGTGCTTGGCTTATGTGACCTCACTTAATGGGTCATCCTGGGGCCCATTTTACAGATGAGAAAACTGAGATCCAGGGAGACAGAGTAACTCCCCCTGAGCTGGAATTCTAAGCCTAGATGTCTGACATCGGAGCTTGTGCCATGCCATTCTGCCTATCTCTACAGAGAGCAAAATGATGAGTAAAGCAGCTCTTAAGAGTACCCAGCCATGGTCAGGTGTGGTGGCTCATGCCTGTAATCCCAGCACTTTTGGAAGCTGAGGTGGGCAGATCATCTGAGGTCAGGAGTTCGAGACTAGCCTTGCTAACATGGCGAAACCCATTTCTACTAAAAATACAAAAACATTAGCTGGGTGTGATGGTGTGTGCCTGTAATTCCAGCTACTCGGGAGGCTGAGGCTGGAGAATAGCTTGAACCCAGGAGGCAGAGGTTGCAGTGAGCCGAGATCGCACCATTGCACTCCAGCTTGGGCAACAAGAGTGAAATTCCATCTTAAAAAACAAACAAACAAACAAACAAAAAAGTACCCAGCCATATAAAAATGCAGAGTATCAATATTATTCATGCATTTCATGTCAAGTATGCCCTCTTTGTTCCTCATCTCTGAAGAGACTCACTTAGTAAATATTCACTGTGTTCTCTGTTTTCACAAATGCCCTATGAGCCAGGCACAGTTCTTGACCTTCTGTAGTGAAACCTCATGACATGTGGTACAGTGCAGACAGTTCTGTTCTCTGTGCATTATCTCTGCCCCAGGTCACTGAGTGAGGAGCCATGGTGGAGACAGGTCTGCGTGACTCAGAAGAATACCCCTGCACTGGGCCAGCTGAGCCCTCCCAGGCCCTGACCCGCGGCCAGCATCCTTCATCGGTGGTGCCGACTGGAGCAGATGCATTGTAGCTTGCAGGCTGCGACTCTGTGGCTGTTGTGGCTGTTGTGGCTATCTGGCTGGGCTTAGGAGCATCAATCATGGCAGTGGACGAGAATGGTTCTTAGCTACAGCCCTCTGTGTCAGCCCCCTGCATGGCAGGAACCCAGGGGACATCGGAACCCCTGTGGATGACTCACAGACTCCGGGGTCTGGAAAATCCTAACCAGATTGCCTCATAACACTGCTGGCTGCCCTAATGTTCAATGTGCCCTTTAAAAAAACAAAGCATCTCAACAAACCAAACAAGCGAGCTGCAGCCATGGCTTTGCTCTGGAGGCTGGGCAGGGGGAGGGACAGAGGGTTCTCAGGTGTTACTCACAGTCTGCGGTGGGCTCAGGCTGTTTCTGCTGGCTTGGTCCTGCTGTCCTGGACCCTAGCATGTGTACAGTAAGCCTGCGGTGGATGCTGCCTGTTAAATTTTGTTTGCCAGCTTCCTGGGTGGTTAATGGTTAGAGGGGCCAGTGGCCTTCACCGCTTGGTAGTCCTCTCCCCCGAGTCATTAACCAATGGGAGGCTTTGTCAGGATAGCTGAGTAAACACAGAAATGCTGCAAATTAACTTTGCTCTGCGTTCAATTCTATGAAGTCTTTTTTTAATACCAAAATGTGGCTGGAGTTGCATCAATGTGGTTGCCCTGTGTCAGTTGGCAGAGATGTCTTAGGTGCCCTTAATTAGCACCAAGGTGCAGATACTTGTAAAAAGAAAAATAGGTGTTTAGCTCCAATTGGGGATGACTTGGGCAAGGTCCTGCCTTCCAGTGGTCTTAGTCTGGTGGGAGAGACAGACATGGAATAATATCTGCCAAGCGCTTCCTCTGGATTATCTCACGAAATCTTCACAATGACTCTGTGAAGTGGGTACCATTGTCACTCCTCTTTAGATAGGAAACTGAGCTGCATGGAAGTTAAGTTAAACGCCCTTGAGATTCAAATCCAAGGCCATTCAATTCTAAAGTCTAGCACCTTCCCCTTTCCCCACATTTTATTTTTCATCAGTTTTCTTTGGATTACAGGTGACAGACATCAAATTTGAACTGCTTTAAAGCAAAAAGGAATGAATGAGAGGTCCAAGGGTGGAAAGGACTTCAGGCATGGATCTACGGAGTTCTAAATCAGGCATCAGATCTCTCCTTCTCTCTCTCTCTCTGTCTTTTTTTTTTTTTTATTCCTTCCTAGCTCTGCTTTCTTCTACTTTATTCTGTCTGCATTGGGGACAAATGTGGCCACAGTAGCTCTGGGTTATTTAGTTCTAACTGGTTAGTTGATATCAGAAGGAGAGAAATTCTCATTTTTCTCAATGTTCATAACAGTTCCCCCCAAAAGTCTATGGCGTGGTTGCCCCCCTTAGGACTGATTGATCACAGTGTGGAGAAGGATGAGGCATTGTGAATGCCTCGCTAGGGTTCTTTGCTCTCTGTTGGGTTGACAGCATCATTGCTTCCATCCAGAGATGAGGGAATCTCTTCCCAGGGGAAAAGAGGAGAGTAGAGCCTACAAATGGGTCTGCAGTTTTGGAGACACCTTAGTTTTGTAGATGTTTATTGGTCTTTTCAAGTTTCCTATCCTATAAGGCAAGTTTGAACTTTATATCTAGGAATTTATCTATTTCATCTAGATTTTCAAATTAAATACTACAGTTATTCATTAGGCCTCTCCATTATTATTTTTACATTATTATTTTATATCAGTAATTCTTTTTTCTTTTTTTGTTCTGTATTTTGTTTATGTCTTTTCTCCCTTTGATAAGTCCTGTTACAGAGATCTATATAGCTAATTAATCTTTCCAAAGATCCACCTTTTAGTTTTGTTACTGGTTTTTTAAAAAATTGATATTTCATTGATTTCTGTTTATATCTTTATTTTTTAATCACCCCTTTAAATTCTCTGGGTTTTGGTCTGTTGTGCTTTTTTCTATTTTCTTGAGATAAATGCTTAGCTTTCTTACATTTTAATATTTCCAGTCTCCACATAAATGTATTTAAGGTTACAAGTTTTCATCTAAATACTGAGTGAGCTATGTCCCACGCATTTTTGATAATTACTATTTTCATTGTAATTTTTTTCTAAGTATTTTAAAATTTCTTTTCTGGTTTCCTTTAAAACCAGAGTGTAGTTTAGTAATATGTCACTGAGTTTATTTAGAATTTTAGGCTATTCTCTTGTTATTCACTTCCAATTTTATTTCACTATGGTCAAAGAATATTGTCCATTATGATATTGAACATTTGGAATGTTTTGAGGTTTGTAATAGCCATATATGGTCTTTTTTTTTTTTTTTTTTTCGAGACGGAGTCTTCCTTTGTCATCCAGTCTGGAGTACGGTGGCGTGATCTCGGCTCACTGCAACCTCCGTCTCCTGGGTTCAAGGGATTCTCCTGCCTCAGCCTCCCGAGTAGTTGGGACTGCAGGCGTGAGCCACCATGCCCAGCTAATATTTTTTATTTTTAGTAGAGACAGGGCTTCACCGTGTTAGCCAGGATGGTCTCAATCTCCTGACCTCATGATCCGCCCGCCTCGGCCTCCCAAAGTGCTGGGATTACAGGCGTGAGCCACCGTGCCCAGCTCATATATGGCCTATTTTAATAAACATTTCATGTTTTCTTTAAAAAATAATGGATATCTGTTTGATATGTATATATACACATTCATATATGTATATATGTAATAACTTGAGCTTATTTTATTTAAATCTTCATATTTATGTTGATTATTTATTTAAGCTTTCAGTTTCTCATTGGGGAATGTTAAAATCACCAATAGCAATTGTTCACTTACTTCTCTTGGTCAGTTGTTGCTTGACTTACTTCAAGACTGTATATTAAAGCACATATACTTTCGATAATTATGTCCTCTTGTATTTGTTTTTCTTGTATCTTTTTTTTTGTATAGCATACTTTTGTCCTAAATTTAATTTTATACAGTGTTATGATTGCTTTCCTTTCTTTTGGTTCACTCTTACCTGATATTTTTCATCCTTTTATTTCCAAAGTCTCTGTGCCTTCTTTTTTTTTTTTTTTTTTTTTTGAGATAGAGTCTCATTCTGTCGCCCAGGCTGGAGTGCAGTGGCACGTGCTCAGCTCACTGCAGGCTCCACCTCCTGGGTTCACGCCATTCTCCTGCCTCAGCCCCCCGAGTAGCTGGGACTACAGGTGCCCACCACCATGCCTGGCTAATTTTTTGTATTTTTAGTAGAGATGGGGTTTCACCTTGTCAGCCAGCATGGTCTCAATCTCCTGACCTAATGATCCACCTGCCTCGGCCTCCTGAAGTGCTGGGATTACAGGCGTGAGCTACCGCGCCCGGCCTGTGCCTTCTTTTTTTAAGAGCGTCTCATGTACAAAACATCTTTTTAGATTTAGCTTTTTATCCCCAAAGGAGGGTCTTTGTCTGTTAATTGGCAAAATTAACCTTTTTACATTTATTTTAATTGTCTTAGGATTGACATATTATCTTATTTTATATTTCCCATTTGCTATATCTTATTTTTGTTTTTTTTTTTGTGAATTTTACTGACTTACATTGAAAAGATTGAGTTTTATTCCATTGAGTTAAAATATATTCATTATATTTTTGATCTTATGATGGTTTCTCTTTACTAAAAACACTAAAACCAAGTTTAGTTTAGTTTGATAAACTAATACTTTGCTAAAAACACTAAACCCAAGTTCCTAGCCATCATCAAATAGAGACAAGCCATCCCCACTGTATCTTTTCTGAATTCCTGTCCCAAGAACCCAAAAGCATAAAAAATGATTGTCTCAAGCTGGTAAATTTTTGGATAATTTATGAGGCAGCCATAGTACCTAGAACACATTTTGGCACCTGGAAGTGGAAAGCTGCATATGAAAGCCAAACATGTGGCAATGACTTTGGGATCAAATCAGAGTCGGAAAGTCCTTATAAAGATTGTGAGTGGAAACGTGATGACCCACAAGGAGGCCGTTGATTAGGGCTTAAAGGAAAGTGAGAAACAGGCTATAGCTAGAGGAAAGAGAATCCTTGACATGTAGTGGTAGAAAGTTTAGCAACATTGTCACCTGTGATAACATGAAAATTGAATATATAGCAAATGAAGTGGTGGTATAGCTGGTGATATTTCTCTGAAGCTAAGAAGGTCTCTGAAGTTATTGTCTGACTTCTCGATACTTATAGTAAAATGTGAGAGGATATAGATAAGCTTAACATTTTTGTTAAATATAAAAGAGCCAGCGCTTATTGGGTTAAAAATAATATAATTTCTCCTTCTTAGTCTTTCCAGGATTACCCAATTAAGAAAGAATTTCAAAACAAACATATATCTAGGGTGTAACTGTAAAAGCCTTTATAAATACCTCAGAAAGTTCTAAGGTGTTGCCTTAGCAGACCATTGGATCAGATATAAGGCCCTCTAACGCTATTTTACGGTCAATGTTCCATACGAGGTTTGTAGATAGCCAAAGATATAGAAAAGCTTATCTTGAAAAGATTGGTGGTTGTGGCCTTTATTATAGTGGAGTGGATTATAAATTAATTCATATAAAATTCACAATTAAGAAATTAGCTTTGTCTGAAAGGGGCAAGACAGTGCAAAATGATGAAAGGCCTTTGAACTTTCAACCTTCTACAGGCAGGAAACAGGATACAGAGGCTGAGCCTCAAACATGAGGTATTTTTATGGAAAAGGAAGCGTGACCCAGGCAGAATCAAGATCTCAAAAGACACAGCAAGGGGCCATGGTGAATTATCCCCAGGAGCAGATTGAGAGTGCCAATTGTTTTAAATTATGTGTGTCTCACAATTTTATGTTGTGTGTGGAGAAGTGGGAGGAGAGAACTTGTCTCTTCCCTTCGCATCTTCTTCTCTCAATCTTCTCTCTTCTCTCTTCAATCTTCAATCTTCTCTCAATCTTCTTCAGATTGAGAGAAACTACACACTTCAGGAAGGACGTTTAAGGACGCTCCTCTGTACCGTGACTGATTTAAGTGAGGGTATCTGGATTTCAAGGAGGTGTTGCAGTTGGATGAGACTTTGGGAGTCATAGGGGAGGTGGGTGTATTTTTCATGTGTGAGGGAAAATGAATTGTTGAGGCCATAGGGTAGACTGCAGTGTTTTTTCTCCGACATGGCTGCCGTCCTTCCTTCTTTCCCTCTGTGAGTATGCTGCACCATCATCAAGAGATAGAGTCTATTTCTCCCTTCTTGTGAATCTTGGCTTGTTTTACTGGCTTTCTTGACTAATAGAACGTAGAAGTGATGTGCTGGAATTTTCAAGGCTAGTTCATAAGTAATCTCCCAGCTTCTGTCTTGGGCTCTTGGAGCCCTGAGTCACCTTGTACGATGTACAAGCACTCTGCTAGAGAGACTATGTGGAAAAACCCTGAGACAGTATGTGGAGAGATAAAGAACCAGCTAAGTCCTGCCTCCTAGCTATCCCCACCATTGTGCCACACATGAGTGCAGCTGTCTTGGATCAGTCCAGCCCAGCCCAGCCACCTAGTGAATACTTCTGAGTGATCCCAGTTGATGCTGTGTGGAGCAGAAAAAATCACTCAGGCATGCCCTGCCTGAATTCCTAACCTGAAAACTGTGAGTAATAATGGAATTGTTGTTCTTTTCTTTGCTTTTCTTTGTGGAGATGGCGTCTCACTATGTTGCCCAGGCAGGTCTTGAACTACTGGCCTCAAGTGATCCTCACGTGTTGGCCTCCCAAAGTGCTGAGATTTATAGGTGTGCGCCACCTTGCCCAGCCAAGATTGTTCTTTTAATCCATTAAATTTTGGAAGAGTTATTACATAGCAGCAGATAATTAAAAAGAAATTGCTGGGTCATATATTTAGCTTTAGTAGAGACTGTCAGACAATTTTCCAAAGTAATTGAACCAATTTGTATTTCCAAACAATGGTGTATGAGAGGCACAATTGCTCCACATCCTTGCAAATCGTTGGTGTTGTCCATCTTTTTCATTTTATCCATTCTGGTGGGTGTGTAATGGTTTCACATAATAGTTTTATACCTCATTTCTCTGATGACTAATGAAACTGATTACCTTTTAAGTTTTTTACCATTTGGATATCATCTGTTGAGAAGTAACTGTTTAAGTTAGATTGAAGAGAAGTGCCTGTTTCTGTCATATTGTCTTTTTCTTGTCAATTGGTAAGTTCAACAATCATTTGCCAGATCAATAAATTGCAATATAAGTTTGTGACTTATCTTTTCACTCTCTTAATGGAATCTTTTGATAAACATGGTTCATTATTTTAATGAGGTCCAAATCATCTGTTTATTCTTTTACAGTTAATGCTGCTTATGTTCTGTTTGATAAATCTTTGCTGACCCAAATGTGATGAAACTTTCTCTTATGTTTTCTTTGAAAAGCTTTATTGCTTTATTTTTCACTTTTAGGTTCGTTATACATCTGGATTTGATTTTTGTGTATGGTGTGAGGTAGAGGTCAAATTTATCTTATTTCATATATATGACACCATTTAGTGATGGTGAGGATTGTGTTGCTTAAAAATGACATGTAATAAAAGACAAAATGTGTTACCTCTCAGAGGATACTAAAGAGACATGAGATCAGTAATGGTGTGATTTCAGAAAAGGAGGTGGTCACTCTTGGACAGCATTGGCAAGAAGCTCCTCCCAGGAAATGGGTGATCTTCTGAAAGTTCTCGATGACTTACTAAATGCAGAGCTTGGATCCTTAATCAGAGAAAACATGTGCTATGTATTAAGGACCTTATTGGGACAATTGAAGTTGGAATATAGATGGTATGTTAGATAAAGGTATCAGTGCTAAATTTCCTCAGGTTGATAGGTTTACTGAAAAGTAATATCTCAAAATCTTAGAAAATATACACTGAAGTATTTAGGGGTACAGAGGTATTATGTATACAATTTATTCTCAAAATATTCTGAAAAAAATTGTACATGCACATACATGCATGCATACATATGCGTGTGTGTATGTCTCGGGGAGAGAAATTATGTGTGTGTTTTTTGTATTATTTTTATTCTTGCAGCTTTTCTGTAGGTTAGGAATTACTTCCAAATACAAAGTTGGAAAAAGAGAAAAAGCTAGGCTCTGGCTCATGCTCCACCACTGTCAGCAGGTGGCCTTGTGACCTTCCTCTCTGGGGCATGCTCTCACCTCTGGTGGAGCTACAGATATTCCGTGCTTCATGGGGTTGTTGTGAGGATTGGGTGATGCTTGAGCCTAGCACAGTTGCAAGCACATGTTAAGGCATGAGAATCACTGCTAAGATTGTTATTTTATCTCTTCAGTGACTGGTGCCCACCAAGTACTGGATTCTGCTTGGGAAACGCCAGCCAAGACCTTTTCTTTCATCATCAACCTCTTAGCCCTTTAATAAAGAAGAATCATTTTTTAAAATAAAAGAACACTTTTTATAAGCAACTTTGAGCTGTTTCTCACATGTTCCCTGAACCACTGGTCTGTGCCCACCAGGCCCTGGCTAGTGACTTCAGGTGAGTGAGACCTGCTTCCTGCTGACCAGGAGGCTGGGTTGTTCTCTTAAAGGCAGGGCTGCACCTGCCCCAGACATCCTTGCCTGGTTCCCAGGTCAAATGCTGCTGCATCTGGGTCTCATTTGAGAATGACTTGCTGGTCTCTCAGGGGTCACCCCCAGTACTGGAGGGAGCATCTTGCTGAAGCCCTCCATGAAGGGCCACCCCTCTGCAATCGCACCATCTGTAAATGGTCACCCCTCTGAAATCACACCATCCATGAACGGCCATGCCTCTGAACTCAAACCATCCAGGAATGGCTGCTCCTCTGAAATCACACCATCTGTGAATGGCCACCCCTCTGAAATCACACAACCCGTGAATGGCCACCCCTCTGAAATCACACTGACCATGAATGGCTACCTCTCCAAAATTACAGCTGTGCTGCTCTGGGTTCAACTTGCCCAATTCTGCTGAGCACAGAAGCTGAGCCAGGAGGGTTGCTCAGGGCATCTTGCCCAATTCTGCTGAGCACAGAAGCTGAGCCAGGAGGGTTGCTCAGGACATCTGAACTTCCCAAGCCCTCTCTAGGATCGTGTCTGTAGGAGGGAAGGGCCCAGGCCTTGCTTGGCAAGGGACAGGCCATGTGAAGCCAGAGACTACGGTGACCACAACCTCTAGAATGAGTCTTGGCTGGACTTTCCAAGCCCCACCTGGCTGTTTATCTGAGGAATCATGAGCTGTATTGGCAAACAGGGATGCCACCCAGTACTAGTGGCCAGTGTGGGGGTGGCAGGGTAGGCTGTGGGTGCTCCAAGGGCCTCTGAGTCCTCTCCCAAATCATGGACTTCTGAGCTGGACCTGGCTGTCGCTGGACCTGGAGCCTGGCTTTTGGTTGTGGTGGCCCAAGGGAACTGCCTGGATCCCTCTCCTGCCAATCTGCACTTCAGGGGCCACCTGTACTATCCACAGCCTTTGAGCCATTCGTGGACCAAGCAGGACCCCAAACCCCTCTTGGCCTCATCCTCTCAGACAGGCAGGAACATAGCCTAGATGTGCCATTCATTTGGCCTTAGTTCCTTTGGGCTACATGTTCACTGATGAGTTGCCTACATTGTCTGGATCCCCATTCTGCTCCTCTTCTCCTCCCCACCTGCCAGCCCCTGCCCTACTCTGGTCTCCCCGCAGCATGTAAGCACTGAGCCCAGTGCCCGGAGTCTGGTGCAGGGAGTAGCTGGCATTTTATTGAACCCTCACTGGGTGCCAGCTCTTGGAGTGTGGTGTAGACTGATCTACTCGATCCTCAAAGGAACCCTGTGGGTTACGATTGGGATCACCCAGGGTAGTTTAGCTAGCGAGAACATGGGCTCTGGGTTAAAATCCAGACATCTAAGCATAGGCTCTGGTTCAAATCCAGGTGTCTCAGTTAACTGTGACATGGCTCAGCTGCATCATCTGAGGGGTGCAAATTCTGGCGCCCAGGTCTCTTCAGGCTGTTGTGCAGATTTGGTGGGGTCATATGTGGCAAGAGCTCAGAGCTGCGCCTGCCATATAGTAGGTGCTATATGCATGCTAGAGATTATTGCTGTTTCCACGTGGCAGGTGGGGAAACTGTGGCAGAAAGGGGTAGAAGACTGGCCTAAGTCACACTGCCAAGTACAGGAGTCAGAATCTGAACCCAGGCATCCTAGCTAAAGTCCGTGCTCTTACCATGGAGCTCTTCTGCCTCTGTCTTTGTTCAGCCCTTCCCTGCCTAGTCCCACATCTGGCCAGTGGTTACGGCATTCCAGGGTTGATCCTGAGGAATTCTTTAGGGCAGACGCTGGGGCCCAGGGGCTAGATCAGGGTGTTGAGTTGGGGTGTGGAGTGGTGATGTGAATGCTCCTCATTGGTCCAGGTGTGGCCCACGAGTTTAGTAGCCTTAAAAAGCCCCAGAAACGTGGGGTAGGGCGGGCAAGCTCTGCAGACACCATCTCCCTCAGGAGAAGCTGGGCCAAGTCCCCACTCTGCCTGCCTGCCGCTCTCTCACCAACTTGCTCTGTGACCTTGGACAAGTTGCTTGACTTCTCTGAGGCTCAGCTTCTTTTTTTAAAAAAATTATTTTTAATTGACAAATTATAATTGTGTATTTTGGTGGGGTGCTATGTGATGTTATGGTGCATGTACACAGTGTGGAATGAATAAATCAAGTGAATTAACATATCCTTCACTTCACATGCTTATTTTTTGTGGAGAGAACATTTGAAATTTGCTCTTTTAGCAATTTTGAAATATACAGTACATTATTAACTATAGTCACCTTGTTGTGCAGTAGATCTGAAAAACTTATTCCTCCTGTCTAACTGATACTTTGTACCCTTTGACAAACACCTCCCCATCTCCTCCACTTGCCTGCCTCTTGTAGCTATCATTCTACTCTCTTTTTCCATGAGTTCAATTGTTATAGAGTCCACATGTAAGTGAGATCCTGAAGTATTTGTCTTTCTGACTGAGTCTGGCTTATTTCACTTAGCATAATGTTCATCCATGTTGTCCCAAATAATAGAATTTTCTTTCTTTTAAAGGCTGAATATTATTCCATTGTGTTTGTTTGTGTATGTGTATAGAAATGCTACTGATTTTTGTATGTTGATTTAATATTCTGCAATTTTACCAAATTTGTTTATTACTTCTTATAGTTTTTTGGTGGAGTCTAGGCTTTTTTACATATAAGATCATGCCATCAGCAAACAGAGAGAACACACACACACACACACACACCAGATTTTCTTTATTCATTTGTTAATGGATGATTAGATTGATTCTGTATCTTGGCTATTGTGAACAATGCTGCAATGAACATGAAAGGGAAGGTATCTCTTTGACATATTGATTTCATTTCCTTTGGATAGATACCCAGAAGTGGGATTGCTGGATCATATGGTTGTTCTGTTTTTATTTTTTTGAGGAAACTCCACACTGTTTTCTATAGTGGCTGTACTAATTTACAATCCTACCAACAGTGTACAAAGATTTCCTTTTCCCACATCCTCACCAATGCTTATCTTTTGGCTTTTTGATGATAGCCATTTTGACAGGTGGGAGGTGATATCTTATTGTGATTTTAATTAGCATTTCACTAATCATTAGTAATGTTGAACATTTATTCACATATCTGTTGGCCATTTTTATGTCTTGTGAGAAATGCCTATTCAGATCCTTTGTCCATTTTTAAAAATCAAAGTTTTTTTTTTGCTATTAAGTTACTTATATAATGTGGATATTAACCCCTTATCAGATGCATGGCTTCTAAATATTTTCTTCCAATCTGTAGTCTGTCTCTTCGCTCTGTTAATTGTTTCCTTTGCTGTACAGAAGATTTTTAATTTGATGCAATCTCATTAGTCTATTTTTGCTTTTGTAGCTTGCGCTTTCAGGGTCAAATCCAAAAATTTGTTGCCCAGACCAATGTCATGTAGTTTTCACTTAATTTTTTTCTAGTAGTTTTGCAGTCTCAGGTCTTATATTTAAGTCTTGAATCTATTTTGAATTTTTTTTTGTATGGTGTGAAATAAAGGTCCAATTTCATTCTTCTGCACGTGGATATTCAGTTTCCCCAGCACTATTTGTTGAAGAAACTGTTCTTTGCCTGGTGTGTGCTCTTGATACTTTTGTTGAAATCAATTGACCATAATCACATGGGTTAGTTACTGGCCTCTATGCTTTTCCATTGGTTTATGAGTCTGTTTCTATTAGCCAATACTGCTGTTTTGATTACTATAGCTTTGTAATATATTTTCAATCAAGAGGATAATACCTCCAGCTTTGTTCTTTTTGCTCAATTGCCTTGGCTATTCAAGATCTTTTGTGGTTCCATATGAATTTTAGGGTTGTTTTTTCTATTTCTGTGAAAAATGCTGGAACTTTGATAGGGATCGCATTGACTCTGTAGATTGCTTTGAGTAGTGTGGCCATTTTAACAATATTATTTCTTTCAATCCATGAACACAGGTTACCTTTCCGTTTATTTGTCCCCTCTTCAATTTCTTTCATTAATGTTTTATAGTTTTCAACGTACAGGTCTTTCACCTCCTTGGTTAAATGTATTCCTGAGCATTTTATTTTTTTGTAACTATTGTCAATGCCATTGTTTTCTTGATTTCTTTTTTTGATAATTTGTTGTTAGTGTATAAAAATGCTACTGATTTTTGTATGTTGATTTTATATTCTGCAATTTTCTCAAATTTGTTCATTAGTTCTAACAGCTTTTTGGTGGAGTCCAGGCTTTTCTATATGTAAGAGCATGCTGTCAGCAAACAGAGACGATTTAGCTTCTTCCTTTTTCTATATGAGACTCAGCTTCTTGTCTTCCTAGCTTCCCTGAGGAGGAAGGTTAGATTGAAAAACTAAAGAGAAAACCTATGCAGACCTTTGTAGTCGGTCACATCTGCTTTCTATACTACTATAATGAATTACTAATTATGTGACTTTGTCCAATTTCATATGCTCCCCCAACCCCAATTTTCTGATACATTAAATGAAGCAAAGAATATTACCCATCTAAGAGTGTCACGGTGATGAGTGTAAACAGTTGATGTAGTGTTTTCAGTACACACAGTGGTCAGTAATTTTCCTTTTTCCCTGTGCTCTTGCCAGCTCCGGTTGTCAATGTCATGCTGACCTCATTAAACAAGTTGAGGCGTGTTATTCTAAGGCCTGGAAAAATGTGTAAGCTTAACGTCAGTTTTTCCTTAGATGTGTGGTAGAATTTGCCAGAGAAACCATCTGGGCTTAGAATTTTCTTTGAGAGATATTTTTATTTATGGATTTAATTTCTTTCATAGTTAGAGAACTATTCAGATTTTCTATTTCTTTAATTTTTTTTTGAAATTTGCCCATTTAATCTAATTTCTAAAGCTTACTTATACAAAGTTTTCATACTATCTTCTAATTACCTCTTTAGCATGTTTCAGATCTACAGTAAATGGTCCATTTTTCATTCCTGGCCTAGCTTATTTGTGCTTCATTTTTTTTTTAAATCAATCGTTAAAATTATGGCATATTCAAAGAACCGACTTTTGGAGTTCTTGATTTGTCTAATTTTATGTTTGCTTTCTATTTCATTAATTTTTGTTCTGCTTATTTCCTTTTTTCTACGTTGTTTTGTATCATTTGTGCTTCTTTTTCTAATTTCTTGAGATGATTACCTCGTGGATATTTTTTCCTTTATAGGAAAATATATGTCTTAGAAGCAGTAAAATTTCCTCCTAAACATAGTGCTAGATGTGTCTCCAAAGATTTTTAACAGCTTTATTGTGATATAATTTATATACCATAAAACTCACTCATTGTCAGTGTCTAATCCAATGATTTTTACTTAAGTCATAGACTTGTGCCATTTTCACCAGAATCCAGGTTTAGAACCTATCTGTCACCACAAAGATCTGCAGGAACCCTTTTGCTGTCAATTGACCCTCTCAAATGTGTAGAGCCAGAAAGTGGACCAGCTATAACCCTAGGCCACCACTGATCCACTTTCTGGCTCTACACATTTGCCTCTTCTGGATAATTTACATAAGTGGACTCATAGGTAGCATTATGGGTCTAGCTTTTTTCACTTAGCACGACATTTTCAAGATGCAACCACATTCTACACGTGGCCCTTGAACAACATGGGGGTTAGGGGAACCAATCCTCCATGCAGTTGAAGATTCACAAATAACTTTTGACTCCCCAAAACTTAAGTACTAATAGCCTACTGTTGACCGGAAGCCTTACTTATAACGTAAATAGTCAATTAATATGCATTTTGTTGTTATAGCATTATATAGCATATGCTTACAATAAGGTAAGCTAGAGAAAAGAACATGTTATTTAAAAAATCATAAGGAAGAGAAAATATATTTTCTGTTTATTAAGTGGAAATAGATAATCATAAATGTTTTCACCCTCCTTGTGTTCATGTTGAGTAGGCTGAGGAGGAGGAGAAAGAGGAGGGGTTGGTCTTGCCATCTCAGGATTGACAGAGGAGGGAGAAAGTCAAACGTGCTTTATTCAAGGGTTAACTATAGTAAGATCATTAGCTCATTCCTTTTTATTGCTGAATAGTATTCCATTGTGTAAAATTTTATTAATCAATTCACCAGTTGATAAATATTTAGATTGTTTCCAGTTTGAGGCTATTATTCATATGTGAATTGATATTATTCATATAGTATTGTATTCATATATTTATTTATCCATTTAGGAATTCATTTTGTTCATATAGACTTGTGTTCATGTGCAAGTCTCTTTTTGTATAGACTTATGTTTTCATTTCTCTTTGTAGAATTGTTGAGTCATATGTTCACATTTGACATTTTATGAAAGTGCCAAATTATTTTACAAAGTGACAGCACCATTTTATAATCTCACCAGCAATGTGTGAGAGTTCTAAGTTCACCATCTTAATAAACACTTGATATTTTCTGTTTTTTTGTTTTAGACATACTAGTGGTTGTGTGGTTGTAGCTCATTATAGTTTTAATTTGCATTTTCCTACTGACCAAATAGAGTGCCTTTTCATGTGTTTATTAGCCATCCATATGTCTTCTTTGGTGAATGTCTATTCAAGTCATTTGTCATTTTTAAATTGGGTTAAGTCATTTGTTTTATTATTGAGTTATAAGAGTTCTTTATATATTTTGGATACAAGTTCTTTATCAGTGATATGATTTGCTAACATTTTTTTTCCTATCTGTAGCTTGCCTTAAATTTTTTTTATTTTAGAAGTTTTAGATTGACAGAAAAATTGCAAAGATATTATAGAGAGGTCCTATATACCCCATACCCAGTTTTCCATATTATTGACAACTTATATTTACATATGTTCATTGTAATTAATAAACCAATATTGATACATTATCATTATCTAAAGTCTATACTTTATTAATATTTCAATGTGAATCTTTCTTACCAAATGTCCTTTTTTATTCTGGGATCACATCCAGGATACCACGGAACACGTAGTCATCATGTTTCCTTAGGCTTCTCTTGGCTGTGACAGTTTCTTTCCGTGGTTTTGATGACCTCGCCAGTTTTGAGGCCTACTGGTCAAATATTTTGTAAACTGCCCTCTAGTGAAACTTGTCTGATGTTTTTCATGACTATATTGGGGTTATGGGTTTTTCAGAGGAAGACCACAGATATAAAGTGCCATTTTGATCACATCACATCAAGAGTACATACTATCAACATGACTTATCACTGTCGATGTTGACCTTGATCACCTGTTTGTCGTGTTTATCCAATTTCTTCACCATAAAGTTACTCTTTTATACACTGCCCTTCTTGGAAGGAGTCACTATGTGTAGCCCACACTTAAGGTGAAAGGAATTAAGCTCTACCTCCTTGAGGCTATTTACATAGTGTATTTGAAATTATTCTGCATTGCAGATTTATCTCTTCTTTCCAATTTATTAATTTATTCAATAATTTATTTATAATAGTATGGACTCATAAATATTTATTTTATACTCTTGAGTTGTAGCCTATTATATATGCACACTGTTATAATCTATAATACTACTTCACTTATTTTTTGTTAAAATTGACCCAACTTGGATCATTGGGAGCTCTTTCAGTTGACTCCTGTGTTCCACTGACATACTCCCAGCACTGTGATGGTTTTTAAAACACTTCCTTATTTCCTGGCAATACAAGATGCTCCAGCATCATTTTGTGTATTTCTTGCCCCAGTCCTAGACTCAGTCATTTCTTCAAGGAGGCCTGGTTACTTCTACTGAAGAATGGTGTTAGAAACCAAGATCCTGTTGCTCTGTGTGCTCACTGCTGCTGAAGTATCATTGCTTCTAGACCCTCTCAGCTGACAGAGTGTATTATTCCATTCTCACATGGCTATGAATAAATACCCGAGTCTGGGTAATTTATAAAGAAAAGAGATTTAATTGACTCACAGTTCCGCATGGCTGGGGAGGCCTCAGGAAACTTACAATCATGTTGGAAAGCACCTCTTCACAGGGAGGCAGGAGAGAGAATGAGTGCCAGCAGGGGAAATGCCAAAGACTAATAAAACCATCAGATCTCGTGAGACTCACTCACTATCATGAGAACAGCATGGGGGAAATTGCCCTGATGATCCAATTACCTCCACCTTGACATGTGGGGATTACAATTTAAGATGAGATTTTAGGTGGGGACACAGCCAAACCATATCACAGAGTAAGGGAATATATGTATATACACAAACCAGTGCCTATACACATATCTTAGCATTTATACGTATAACCATCTATCTCTAGATTAAATAGCAAATCACGAGTTTATACTAATATCTCCAACTCTAAGTCATAGACCATCTCAGTTTCCTCTTACTTATCTGTCACCACCCGCCCCAACCTGGCTCCCACCACCCACCTTCCATTTACTTCATTTGGCTAATTGTTTAATTCCTGTATACATGCATATTGGTATCAGAATTGTTAACTTGTACCCCTGTGGGAAACAACTTTTCTAACTAGAGCACCATGCTTACATGCAATTTATTTTTCCTTTACTCTTTCTCCAGTCATTTCTAAAGTTACTCACGTCAGCAACACCTATCCTGTCAGTGAAGTTGTTTCATGTATTTCTAATACAATTAGATTGTTTGGTCATATTCTACTTTTTATCCTGAGATCCTCCAACTCTTTGATGAGTATTCCCTAATTTGCAGGTTCATATTTTGTGTTGTAAAGTTCTATGGGCTTTGACAAATGTGTAGTGTCATGTGTGTGCCATTATAGCACTGTACAAAATAGTTTCATCACCCTAAAAAATAGCCTGTGTTTCAACTATTTTACCCTTCACTCCTTCCCCTGAACTCCTGGCAACTACTGGTCTTTTTACTGTTGCTACAGTTTTGCCTTTTCCAGAATATCTTATAATTGAAGTCATATAATATGTAGCCTGACTTCTTTCAGTATGCAGATTGACTTATTTCACTTAGAAATATGCACTTAAGGTCTCTCCATGTCTCTTTAAGATTTGACAGCTCATTTATTTTTGACAGCTCCTTTATTTTTATTACTTTATCTCTTTATCTTTATCATGAAATTTTATTGTTTGCATATACCAAACTTTATTAATCTATTGAAGGACATCTTGGTTGCTCACAGTTTTTTATTTATTTATTTTGAGACAGAGCCTCACTCTGTTCCCAGGCTGGAGTGCAGTAGTGCAATCTTGGCTCACTCCAATCTCCACCTCCCAGGTTCTAGCAATTCTCCTGCCTCAGCCTCCCTAGTAGCTGGGATTACAGGCATGTGCCACCATGCCTGGCTAATTATTATTTTTTGTATTTTTAGTAGAGAAGGGGTGTCACCATGTTGACCAGGCTCGTCTCGAACTCCTGACCTCAAGTGATCCGCCCACCTCAGCCTCCCAAAGTGCTGTGATTACAGATGTGAGCCAACTGTGCCTGGCTTGCTCACAGTTTTTAACGATTATGAACTATAAACCCTTGGGTACAGGTTCTTGTGTGGAGAAAGCTTTCTAATTGGTTGAGTAAATATCTGAGATAATGATTGCTGCATCTTGTGATAAGACTGTGTTTCAGTTTGTAAGAAACTTGTGGCTGGACTTTTAATTTTCCTAGTAGCATCTTTTGAAGTATAAACATTTGCTTTAGTAAAGGCCAATTTACCATCTTTTTTCTTTTATTGATCATGCTTTTGGTGTCATATATAGGAATGCCTTACCTAACCTGAGGTCATAAAATGTTTCTCCTATGGTTTATTGTAGAACTTTTATTGTTTTAGCTTTTACATCTAAGTCTGGTTCATTTTAAGTTAATTTTTGTGTACAGTATAAGAAAGTGGGGCATATGTTCTTTCTTTTTGTTGCATATAGATATCCAATTGTCCTAGGCCAATACGTTGAAAAGACCATGCTGTTGCATTTTCTTGGGATCTTTTTTGAAAAATTATTGAGCATTATTAATATATGAGTTTCTTCCTTATAATTATATACGCTACATTTAATCATCCTCTAGTTCTTTAGATAGCATTATTGGGTCAGTATATTCCCATATTTTCTGTCTCTCCTTTCACCTCTACATTTAGGGAGTTAGTTTAGGCCACTGTCGCAATAGTTGAGGAGAAACTTAATAGTAGCTTGGACAAGAGGGTAGCAGTGGACATGGTGAGAAGTAGTTGGATTTTAGATATATTTTAGAGGTAGGGCTGATGGTATTTGCTGACAGTGTTTGCTGACAGATGCAATGTGTGGTGTAAGAAAAAAATGACAGGTCAAGGATGACTCCAAAGGTATGAACCCAAGCAATTGGAAGGATGACATTACTGTTACCTATTAACTAAAATGAGAAGACTGAAAGTGGAGCCAGTTTGGCTGTAGGGATCAGGAGCTCAGTTGTAAATATGTTATGTTTGAGATGGCTATCAGATGGCCAGTATGCAGTTGGATGTATGAGTCTGGAGTTCAGAGGTGACATTTGTGCTAGAGATACAAATTTAGGAGCATCAGGTTTTAGATGGCTTTTAAGATCCATGAGACCAGATGAGATCACCTAGGGACTGAGTGTAGATGGAAAAGAAAAATGGCTCAAGGACTGAGTCCTGGGACATTCAAAAGTTAAAGAGTTGGGGAGGTGAGGCAGAGCCAGGATAGGACGCTGAGAAGCAGCAGCCAGCTGGGCACAGGAGAGCACAAGATGACCAGGAGAGTGTGTGTGTCCTGGAAGCCAAGCGATGAGAATATTTCTAGAGCCACAGTGATAAATTCTGTCCACTGATGCTAAACAATCAGGAAAAATGCAGACTAACAACTGTTGGAGGAATTAGCAATTGATCATGGGTGACTAGCCAAGAGTAGTTGGGTGCAATGGTGGTGGGATTGGTGGGGATGGAGAAGGAGCTTGAGTGGAGCATCTTTGAGAGAAGGAAAGGAGATGATTTTGTGGGATGACCACCTCGTCCTGGTTTGTCTGGGAACTTTCCTGGTTTTAGCATGAAAGTTTGCATCCTATGACTTCTGGTTTGAAAACTGAAAGATCCCATGTCCTGGAACCCTTTCATTTCCAGGCAAACTGGAGTGGCTAGTCACCTCAATTTGAAGACAGGGGAATAAATATGTTTTTCAAGAAATGGTGTGTTAACTGGAGGAGCAAATGATATCTATCTATCATCTACCTACCTACCTACTATCTATCTATCTATTTGAATATGGAGGCAAAAACGCGTGTTTGCATCCTGATAGAAAAAGCCCAGTAGATAGGGAAGATTTATGAGTTAGGAGTAAGAGGGAAGGGTAGCTGGTGCAATGTCTTCATTATTGTATTTTATTTGAGTGAGATAAAATACAATGGCAGCATCAGTGGATGGGTGGCCCTAGCGAGGAGCATGGCCAGTCATCCATTGTGGCAGGAGGGATGGCAGAGGCATGGCTAGAGCGGCAGGTGAGTGGGCAGATGATTGCCTAAATTTTGCCAGTGAAAAAGGAAGTGATGTCATCAGCTCAGAGTAATTTGGGGATGAGGGTGTGGGAGGTGAGGGTATGAGAATGAAGGCATAAAGTATTTATTTAGGGCAGTGGGAATATGGAATGGTTCAGGGAGTAGAGAATGCTTGCTCTCCAGGATCCAAGCTCTCTTGAGGTTAGTGATCATGGATTTAAAACGGGGCTAGCCTGCATAGTGTGGTTTTCTCTGGCTACATTCAACAGCTCGAGTGTTGGCACGGAACAGGAAGAGAGTTGGAGGACTTGTCAAGCAGCCCTGATAAAGCAAGAGGAGGACAAAGGAGCAGAGGCTGTGACTGATTATGACATTGAAGCTGGGCAAGAAGGAAGTGAGGACCCAAGAGAAGAGAGAGAAATGAAAACCAGTAGAATCAATGGATTTGCATCCCAGTGGGACTAGAGGATTGTTGGAGTTGGGTGCCAAAAGGAATGAGCTAGAAAGAAAGGAGGTGGTGGTTGGTCTGAGAGTAGAATACTTGAGATGGTGGGGGTTAACTGTTGTAACAACAGTGTCTATGGAATGACTGTAAGAGCAGTCAAAGTCCTGTCAACTTGCAGCTGTTTTCTGGCACCAGCTCAAAGTGAGGCTACACCCTTCTCCCTCTTGCACATGAGTCAGACTCTGTCACTACTGGGCTGCTTGCCCACTCAGCTTAAAACCGTCTGGCACACCTCCCAGCAAGAACATGGATTCTATTTGAAGAACAGGAAAATATGTCACACTGATGAACATTTGCCCACACACCCAGGGTGGCTGCATGATGGCAGCATGTTGTATACACCTGTGTGATGAGTTCTTGTAGGGTGGACACATCACCTCCATCTCTATGTCCTTTCAGCCCTAGAACTGTGCCTGGCACACAGTTGCTACTCAATGGATGCTTACTCAAATGACTTATATAGGATTGACTGCTAAATGGAGACTGTTATGAAGATGTCAGTCTCTGCTCTGCAGTCTCCTCTGATGCAGGCGATTCCCTCATGGAGAGAATTTTACAGGTGGAGTTCAGGGAGCCTTTGTTCTTGCTTCCCTGAATCCTTTGCAGGAACACAGCTGAGGCATGTAAATGGCCTTCAAATGCAGCATAATACCAAGTGGCTCTCTTTTCAAAGAGACTCAGAGACAATCCCTGCATGCTTTCCTTCTCAGACACTTGTGGAGGAGACCTAAAACCCCATTCGACCCATCGGATACCAGCGGGCAGCAATGACAGGATGGTCCTGCCCCCTCCATGTCACAAACATGTTCCCAGGACACTCTCCACAGAGTCCCCAAGTCCTGCCAGGGGGACAGCCAGTCCATCATCACCAGAACACCCACCCCTGCCACACACACACAGTTCATTTGCTGCTTTATGAAGCCGATCTTTCAAAGGAGAACAGTTCTGCTACAATCCAGGTGGCAAGGGTCTGAGAAAACTGGAAGCCAGGGAAAAGTCCAGAAGCCAGCAGAGGATAGGAAGCTGGTGAAAGTCCATGAGAGTGACTTAGGTCTAAGATCCTCATTGCATGAAGGCAGTGAATGAGTTTGGCTGGTGATCTGTGTAACCGTGGACCTTGGTTTGCGGATCTGTGAAATGGGAAAATCACTCACAGGTGCTTTGTGCAGACCAGAGGATGGAGCCATAAGTTGCGAGCTGTGTTGATGAGCTCCAGCCATGGTTTTCCTTTTTCTTCAGGAGGCCCGAGCATTGCCCAGCACTGGGAGGGTTAGGGGTGGGGGCAAGGAGGCATGAGCTTTTGTCACCTAATGGTGACTTTGCTTTGGGATTCATTACTTTCCCCAAGAAGGGGAGGTTGCAGCTGCCTTCCTCAAAAATTAATAGTAGGAAGGGCCTGTTGAAATGGAGGTTGGGGAGAAAGTGGTGGGGGGAAGGACTGGAGGTCGGTGACATCTTCCTCTTCTACTCCTTCCTCTTCCTTGGTCAGTTCCACCCTGTGCTCTGCCTTTGAGGGACCACGGTTCACAGTGTTGATCCCAGCAGAAGTTGTCCCTTCCTCCAGGAGGTGCCACACTGAACCTCAGTCTGAGCTTAGCCCAGGAGGTCCAGATTCGAGTCCTGGTTCTGTCCTGACTAGAGGCATGACCTAGTGCATCCTGTTCCCTGGTGGAGTCTCAGTTTCTTCATCTGCTCCTTCCCTCCCCACCAGGAGTGGGGGTGCTTGCCTTAGCACCCAGCTTGGGAAACCCTTCCCCCATGTCACAGGCCCAGCTCGCTCCTCAGATCAGCTGTCCTCAGGACACCAGTGGGTGTTGTAATTTGACATTTCCACCTTTGGCTTCCCCCAGCAGTGGAGCGGCTTCACAGTAACTCCACTGGTGCACGGTGAATGTGTGAGAAAATGTATGCACTTTTAGAAATGACCGGACACTGGTGGGTTTTAACTTTTACCTTGAAGGCCTTCATGGGTGTGGTTTGCAGAGAAATTCTCAAGGCCTGCATGGTAACTGAATATAGCTGAGATGCCCATTTTGGGCAAGAGCTGGTCCAATTGAATATTGCCAGGTAGGGAGAATTTTGGAAAATATGGCCTCCTCCTTCTGTTCAGGGGAGTGAGAGGAGAAAACAGAGCTGAAATAATGTCATCTACTAAACTGCCCCAGTTAGCAATCTCACTGCAGAATAACAGAATAAAATTAACGTCAGCTGTGTTTCCCGAATGTGCCTGCAATACACGGGTCTGTGCCAGGTTCTTTACAAGGAAATTTTGATTCATCCTCACTGTAATCCCAGGGACTGAGTGCCCCAAATACCCACTTTACAAATGAGAAAATGGAGGGTTGAAGAAGTTGAGAGATTTGCCCAGCAGTTAGGAACATGGTTTGTAAAAAGCTCAGAGTGAACCCAATGCTGAAGCCTCTTCTCCAGCTGCATTGCTGCTTCTCCAACTGGATGTGGCCTGCTCCTGAGTGCAGTGGAATAGGAGCATCTCTCTGTCTGTCTGCTTACCTTTGTTCCAACACATAGCCTCGCCCTGTTTTCTTCCCTCTCTAAGCCCAGCCTCGAGGGCCTCAAAGGTCCCAGGGGAGGATTGAGAGCTCCCTTTTCTTGTGTTTACCTTTTTAAGTCTTACATCAATGGCACATGATGGGTGCATGCTCTCTTAGAAGTGGAATCTAAAAAGTCCAACTGTTAGAAGCAGGAGCAGGAAGGGGTGGCCAGGGGCTGGGGAGAGGGAAGATGGCAGAAGTTGATCAAGGGGAAAAAGTTCAGATGAACACATTCCGGATTTCTACTGTGCACCACGTGCCTAGAAGTATGTATACAGCGCTGTGTGCTTGAAATGTATTAAGAGGCTAGATCTTAAGTATTCTCACCATACAAACAAAAATGGTACTCGTGTGAGGTGATGGATCTGTGAATTAGTTTGATTGTGGGAATCATGTTCAATGTATACACGCATTGAAACAGCACGTTGGACACCTTAAACATACACAGCTTTTATTTGTGAATTCTACTTCGAGAAAGCTGGAAACAGATAAAAATGAAAAGCACAAATTAGAAAACAAAGACAAACCATCTGTGGGCACAATTTCTGTATGGCAGCCTGATTGTGACTTGTGTCCACAGCCTGGGGGATGACTCACCATTGAGAATTTATCTTCCCAGCTTTAGTTTCCCAACTGCCTTGGCCATAAGAAAGCGTGCCTTCTTCCCTCTTCCCACCATGACTCACCTAGTAGCTTCCTGGTGGCAGGATGCTGGAGCCTCCTAGCAGCTCCAGCGTGGATAAACCAAGCAAAGTGGGGTGTGGAGGGGAAAGCTGGAGACTGTCAGCCCTCTCCATGGGAAGGGTGCTTGAGGAGTGTGAGAAAGTCCCATCAGGATGAGCTCAACCCTCAGATCAAGGCAGCCCATTGCATGTCCGTCAGGCCTTCAGTGGGGAATGAAAACTCAGGACTGAGCAAAGTGCACAGTCCCCACCTTCTAGAATCCCACAGTCCACACACAGTCTAGAATAGGAGTGACTCTGCCCCCCAGGGAACATCTGGCGATGACTGGGGACATTTTTGGTCATCACTACTGTGGGGGTGTGTGTGCTGCTGGCATCCAATAGGGAGAACATCCAGGGGTGCCGCTAAACATCCTACAATGCACGGGAAAGCCCCTGCACCACGCAGGACCGTCCAGCCCGTGATGTGCCTGCAGTGCACGGGAAAGCCCCTGCACCACGCAGGACCGTCCAGCCCGTGATGTGCCTGCAGTGCACGGGAAAGCCCCTGCACCACGCAGGACCGTCCAGCCCGTGATGTGCCTGCAGTGCACGGGAAAGCCCCTGCACCACACAGGACTTTCCAGCCCGTGATGTGCCTGCAGTGCACCGGAAAGCCCCTGAACCACACAGGACTTTCCAGCCCGTGATGTGCCTGCAGTGCACGGGAAAGCCCCTGCACCACACAGGACTGTCCAGCCCGTGATGTGCCTGCAGTGCACGGGAAAGCCCCTGCACCACACAGGACTGTCCAGCCCGTGATGTGCCTGCAGTGCACGGGAAAGCCCCTGCACCACACAGGACTGTCCAGCCCGTGATGTGCCTGCAGTGCACGGGAAAGGCCCTGCACCACACAGGAATTTCCAGCCCGTGATGTGCCTGCAGTGCACGGGAAAGCCCCTGAACCACACAGGACTTTCCAGCCCGTGATGTGCCTACAGTGCACGGGAAAGCCCCTGAACCACACAGGACTTTCCAGCCCGTGATGTGATGAGGCTGAGAAACCCTGAGCTGGAAGAAAGGGCTGGGCCTAGGGACAGAAGGATGGGTGGAGAGAAGGCACTCAGGGCACAGCACGTGGGTCACCACTTGGTGATTCGTAATGACAGGGCATCTGGAGGATCTATCAGGAAGCAATGTGATTTAGGTCAGAGCTCCCCAGTCCTTAATATGCTCATGAATCTCCTGGGATCTTATGAAAATGAAGATTCTGGTTCAGTAGGTGTGCGGTGGGGTCTGAGAGCCTCTGATTCTTACAACTCCCGATGAAGCCAGTGATGTTGGTCACAGACTGCACATTGAGTAGCAAAGACCTCAAATACTTGAGAAAAGCAAGGAACTTGATCACAGAGTGTGGCCAAGAGGAGAGATGTGCAGATGGCTGGAAAGTGGCTTTTGTGTAAAGCCTCCTTGACAAGTGACCAATAAAGAAGCCCGGTCCCGGCTCCCTCTGAGTTAATCACCAATCATGTTGACTGCATCAGTATATGAGCTGGAAAGACAGCTCCTTGGCCACTACCGAACTACAGTCCATGGAACCGTAGCTTGTTGAAAGGTCTTTTGTTAAAATGCCTGCCATGTTCACATGCTGTTTGGGAAATGCTGAGTAAAGCTAAGTCAGACATTGTTCCATTCTGTACAACTTCTCAGTGCTTTGAAGTGCTAAGGTGAATTGCAAATCTCTCAGAGGAAGATGCAATGTGACAACATGGTGGTCGTGGTGATGATGATGAGAATGATTTTATTGTGCCAGCACAATTGTTTCCATCTCTTGGAGGAGTCAATGGCTGAATCCTGTTTGATAATTAGTGCGTGACCTAGTCCCACCCCCTCATGTCATGGTCCAGAAGACCAGAGGGATTTCATCCTCCAGCTGCAGAGACTGCAGAGGTGGATGTCGAAAGGGTTCCACAGCATGCAGGGGGCAGGGGTAGCTGAGGTTTTACCTTACTGGGAAGGGCTGAGTCCATGTATCAAAATTCTCCTTCATCAGTGCCCCTTCTATCTTTCTGACTTTCCCCATGTCAGAAGGAATGAGTACTGCAGTGCCATTGCAGCTGGAGGGCAGCTGGAGGGCGTAACCGTGCAGGTGATAGAAACACAGGGGCAGGAACCTACCCAGCCGCTGCATTGTGGGCACCAGGATCATGAGACTCTTGCTCATCGAGAAGGGCCTGGTCTCAGTGAGCTTTGGGTCAAGCAGGGGAGCAGTGCTATTTACCTTTATTTATTTATTTATTTGAGATGAAGTCTTGCTCTGTCGTCCAGGCTGGAGTGCAGTGGCATGACCTCGGCTTGCTGCAACCTCTGCCTCCTGGGTTGAGGCGATTCTCCTGCCTCAGCCTCCTGAGTAGCTGGGATTATAGGCACACGCCACCACGCCCGGCTAATTTTTTTTTTTTTTTGTATTTTTAGTAGAGGCGGGGTTTCACCATGCTGGCCAGGCTGGTTTTGAACTCCTGACCTCAAGTGATCTGCCTGCCTCGGCCTCTCAAAGTGCTAGGATTACAGGTGTGAGCCACCGCATCCGGCCGCTATTTGCCATTATTTGGGTGGGAGAAACTTATCTAGAGAGAGGGGGCTGGAGAAGGGTTAGGCAGATGCTCCATGAGAGATGGAGAGAGGACCCCTGGGTTCTTCAAGGTATTCCTGGTCTAACCCTGAGGCTTAAGGCTCCCTGCTATCCGTTAGGGCTGGCAGGCCATCCTTCCACTGTCCTCTGCTGTGGTCATCATTCTTCCCATCTCTGAAACCCCTGTGCACAGTGCACCAGGATTTGGCAAAAACCTTCATTCAAAGCAAGTCATCAAGGAAAACCTGAAGGTGGGAATGGGGGTGGGGGTGTCACAAATCCCCTATTTCTTAAAAATGTCCAAAATCTGGATTCACCTTCTGGCTTAGTGGGGAATTTCATTCAGCCAATAATACAAGTTATAGTGTAGTGAGTGCCTCTGTGCTCAGGGCTTAGCTCTTTAAGGAGTTGAGAAAGAGAAATAGTGTGTGTGCTCGTGGTACACAGTAGGTGCTCAGCAAAAGCTGGCTATTACTGATACTAGCGGCGACGCCTTTTCTGCAGGCTGTTCTCTGTTTGCCAGTTCCTGCCCACCCCTGCGCCCCACCAGATCCTTTCTCTGCCCTGTTTTGTGCCCTGAGAGGCTGACCCCTTTGGACTGAGCTGCTGGGCTTTCCTGCCAGCTGGCTTCCTCTTGGGTTTGGTAGTGGGAGCCCTGGGCAGGAGAAGAGAGAGGCTAGGGTGTTCCTTCCCATTCCCTCCCTGCTTCTGCTCCACATCTTTGGGAGTAGCTGAATCCCCTGGTCACTGCAGATCACCCCCTCCAAGCACCCCTCTTCTCCATGGCTCCAGCTCCCACCCTTTCCTCCCCTGGCTCCTTCAGCTTTGAGCAGGTAACAGCTCCCTGCTTTTGCTAACCTCTGGGAGCCTCACCTTTGCATTTTTTTCCCTTAACTCTTTCCACACCACTCCACATAGTCTCTTCATTAAAGCCTCCTCCTTTGAACCCTTGAAGGGACTCTGAGTATCACTTTATTTAATACTTATGGCCAACCCCTGCAAAATACTGAGTCCCAGGGAGGTAAAGTGGCTTACTTGAGGTCAACAGCTTGCCAATGGCTAAGCCAGGATTCCAGGCCAGTTCTGCTGACTCTAAAGGTGGGTTCGTTATTTGATCCTTCACTGGCTGCCTATTTCAGAATAAGGTGACCCGCAACAAGTTCCCTCTGCATGTGAGCCCTGCCTGAGGGCTGAGCCTCTGAGCTCTTCTCTCCTCTTATTGCTGACAGCCATGCAAAGAGCTGTTTCCTCAGGTGCAAACTGGGAGCCATGGGGACGCCCCGTGAAGCAAGGGGACAGGTAATTTTTACTTACAGGTTATGTACTAGGAGTCTGGTGCATCCACAGCGCCCTCAAGTCTCACCCTGGGCTGAGGAGTTGAGGGTAGCACACGTCATTTGCCGATTCTGGTGGTGGACATAGAGTTACATGAAAAGGTCAGCTTGTACCTTTCTTGGGCAAATGTTCCAGCCCTCAGCTCACTGCACTTATGTCTTTTGGATGCTACAGTGTGCGGTGCTCATGGTGCCTGGGGAACCTGGAGGAACAGAACCTGCCGGGCTGGCCTAGCTTGGAAGGTGGTCACATCTCATTGACAGAGAAGCTGAGAAGGGAAGGATGAAGGTCACCTTCTGCAGGGGAAGCGATTTCCTTATTCCCCCCCTCCCTCCCTTCCTCCCTTTTTCCTTCCTTCCTTTCCCCTTTGCATCCATCCATGCACCCATCCACTTCAGAAGCACTTGCTGTATGTCTAACCATGGGTAGGCATTAAGAGGGATTTAGGGAAGAGTAAACCTTATCACTGCCCTCAAGAGGCATGTCTCACTTGATGCCCTGTGTATTAGTCAGGGTTCTTCAGAAGGATAGAACTAGTAGGATAGACATATATATGAAAGGGGGTTTATTAAGGAGAATTGGCTCACATGATCACAATCCCACAGTAAGCTGTCTGCAAGCTGAGGAGCAGGGAAGCCAATCCAAGTCCCAAAACTTCAAAAGTAGGGAAGCTGACAGTGCAGCCTTCAGTCTGTGGCCAGGAGCCCCTGGCAAACCACTGGCTTAAGTCCAAGAGTTTAAAAGCTGAAGAACTTGGTGTCTGATGTTCAAGGGCAGGAAGCATCCAGCATGGGAGAAAGCTGAAGGCCAGAAGACTTAGCAAGTAAAGTCCTTCTATGCTCTTCTTCCTGCTTTATTCTAGCCGTGCTGTCAGCTGATTAGATGGTGTCCATCAGATTGAGGATGGATTGAGGATGGGTCTGCCTCTCCCAGTCCACTGACTCAGACGTTAATCTCCTTTGTCAACATCCTCACAGACACATCCAGGAACAAAACTTTCATCCTTCAATCCAATCAAGTTACACTCAGTATTAACCATCACACCCTGGATGCATATTGTCTCCACGTTCAAATCCCACTGTCTCTGGGATGGGAGGTGTAGGTGTAGAAAAAACTCTGAACTTGGGAAACACTGAATTGACTGAAAGAACTCTGAGCTGACAAAGTTTATGCTGAACTAACAGAACTCAACTAGAACTGAACAAGATCAAGTCTCCTCCACCAGGCAGGGTTGAAGTCTGAGGACTCAGTGGTGGTTCCTGTAAGCATGTGGCCTTGAGCTGGGTCCTGAAGGATGGGCAGGATTTCAGCAGCCAGAAAATAGGGGAGAGAAAACACTGGCTAAACAACCTCTGAGCAGTGCCCCAAATGGACTCAGAGCCTCTTGTGGTCATGCTGTGTTCCTCCAGTTTGTTCATCTGCCTTTGCTCCTTTTTGTACTTCTCCGGGCATGAACAGTATCTTATTTCTGTATGCAAAAACCCAAGAATGTGGCTCAAAGACTGAAAGATGAATATAGAAATAGTACTAATAATGATAATAATGCCTGCAAGGATAGCAGCCATTCTTTTTATTTGTTAAATGTCTTTTAAGTGGGAGAATATCTGCTATGTGCTAAAATGACCCTATGAGGAGGCATTAGTCCTATTTTTCAGATGATCCCAAGAAAGGCTGAGGCGGTTGTTCAAAAGCAAACAGCTTATAGAGGCTGAGGCAGGCTTGGCATGTTGAGCTACATGACACCCAGTTCTGCATTCTTTCTATCCTAAGATGACTTCTTGGGAATAAGCATATTCTTAGGTTGCTGCTAAGGTAAGAAGAGAACCAGAGGGTGGCTTGAAGGCTTGGTTAGGCTCTTGAGTATTGAAAAGAAAGAAATTCATATAGCACTGGTTTGAAGCTGTTATCTATAACACACACACACACATACACACACACCCCACACCCATGAACAAACACCTGTTTTTTTCTTGGTTTAATAATTTGATCTAGAGATTTTTTTGACACACTTTCTTGGGATGAAATGGCCATTGTTTTTATCTGATACATCAATTTCAAGCATTTGGTAGGGCGTGCATCGGAGACTGGGTTAAGAAGTGTTTGAGACGCCATCTCTTTGTGAGATTATGCCTTAATCTGTTAACTATGTAATCATGACTATCTCGGGTATGGAGAGAGGAAGTGGTAAAATAGATATTTTAGTATGAATTAATCATGCTCTGGAATACCTAGGAGTTTCGAAAAGTGAAGGTGGGGGAAGTGGGGTAGGGGAGGAGAGAGAGAGGTGTAGGTTACTAGGAGCCAGGTTACCTAAATTAATGAAGTTGATAAAATCTAGGACTCTGGTCCTGGGGAGGATGTTGGATATCTGGTCTCATCTGGTCTGGGAGAAGAAGGTATGGAACAGTAGAACAATTCATGATGTAGGACCCCAGACAATGAAAGGTCCTAAATACTACATAAAAGTCTTGGAAGACGCAAAATAAAGGCATTTCTGGTCAAGAAAGGGATCAGACTCAGAAAACCTAGGAGCCAGAAGACATTTTAAATATCACCTAGGACAGGGCAGTAGTAAATTTTTTCCATCTAAGCTGCCATCTTGGGTTTCTTGTTGTGGTTCCTGGAGTATTATCTTGAGAAGGATTCTGAAGCTGTGTCTGAACAAAGATGGAAATAAGGGCCATGGTTGTTAGCGATGTTGTCATGGGTGTGAGAGCAGAAAGGGTAGTGTATTAGTTTTTTTTTTCATGCTGCAAATAAAGGCATACCCGAGACTGGGTAATTTATAAAGAAAGAGGTTTAATGGACTCGTAGTTCCACATGGCTGGGGAGGCCTCACAATCATGGAGAAAGGTGAAGGAGGAGCAAAGGCATGTCTTACATGGTGGCAGGCAAGAGAGCATGTGCAGGGGAACTGCCCTTTATAAAACCATCAGATCTCATGAGACTTATTCACAATCATGAGAATGGCATAGGAAATACTTGCCCTCATGATTCAATTACCTCCCACTGGGTCCCTCCCATGACATGTAGGGATTATGGGAGCTACAATTCAAAATGGGATTTGAGTGAGGACACAGCCAAACCATATCAGGGCGGCACACAGGCCATGTACTTGGCATTGTGAGTCTAGTCAAGGGCCCTTAATTTATAGATGAGGAAGCAGAGGCTGAAAGAAATGATAGGGATGTGCCAAGAGTTACAGAGCTGGGGGCTAAGTGAGCATTAGAATCCGCCTCTTGCCTTCTGAGCAAGTGTGTTTCTACTCCACCATGCATGCTCTTGGGACTGGCAAAAAAATCAGCCAATTCTCAGAGGGTCTAATGGGGATAAACACCTGATATCAAGTGAGTATTGATTGTGACCGCCACAGTCCTGATGATCTTCACCTGCAGGCACTTCTTTATTGAACAAATAAGATTTTTAGCCTGTTTTCTAGTTCCCTTGATCCTGTCTCTGGATTTTTGCCCCCATTTCTTGAGCACCTACTATGTGCTTGGAACTTTACATGAAACACCTTATTTAATCCTCACAACAACCCTACAAAGAAGCTGTGATTATCCACGTCTTTGTGAATGAGAAAGTGACATTCAACGGACTTACTGGAGATGATGGAATTTGTGAGTAGTCAGTGCCAGGAATGGAACCCAAGCTCCTACTATACTTTTGTCATGTCAAATTGCTTGGGCTCTTGTAGGTTTCCAAACAACCTTGTCTGGTGTCTTTATTTGTGGAACAGCATTGGGTGTCAAAATTCAACTGTGGTAAAAGTTCTATGCTTAGAGCCCCATCATTTGACATTAGCTGGCTTTTAGATTTCAGTGGGCGATGACTTCTCTTCAGTGTCAATCACTTCTTCCTAATGCAAACAGTAGCACATAATCAGTTCCCAGCTCATCACACCCTACAAGAACTTCCTCTACTAAAATGCTGCCTAAAGTCCTCCTGACATTTGTACTCATCCTGAGAGTTCAAGAAGGTGATCAGGCCACTGCTACACCTCAGGACACCTCCCTTTGTACAGATTAGAAAAAAAAAAATCTATATTAGTTTGCTAGGACTTCCATAACTGAGTACCACAAACTGGATGGCTGAAACAACTGAAATATATTGTCTCACAGTTCTAGAAGCTAGAAGTCCAAAATCAAACTGTTGGCAAGCTTGGTTCCTTCTGAGAGCTGTGAGGGAATGATCTGTTCCAGGCCTCTTTCCTGGGCTTACAGATGGCCATCTTCATGTTCATACAATGTTCTGTCTGTATCTTCACATTGTGTTCCCTCTATGTGCATGTCTTTACATTCAGGTTCCTCCTTATAAGGACACTAGATGGGTTAGGGCCCTAATAATCTCGTTTAACTTGATTACCTCTGTAAAGTCCCAATCTCCAAAATATGCTCACAATCTGAGATATTGGGGATTAGAACTTCAACATAAGAATTTTTGGGGAAATATGATTCAACCCATTACAGCATCTCTCTGCCCATGCATAACTTGACAAGTAATAGTATGCCATTCAACGTTTTATTATGAAAATTTTCAAATATAGCAAAGTTGAAAGATTTTTACAGTGGACACCTTAAACCTATTACTAGATTCTACCACTGACATTTTACTATGCATGTTTTATCACATATTCTCTGGGGTAATGACATCTTTGTGCAAAGAAAAAAAAAAACCTCTTCAACCAGATGGATGCCACCATACAGCAGATACATCACTTGGCAAGTAGCACCTGGGTTGGGATTCAGGCCTCATGCTCCCTCTGCTAGGCACCCATGTGCAGTGCACAATCTGTACTACTGGCCACATTGACCCAAAAGACAATCCTCTGAAGAAGCAGAGCAACAGAGTATCTACAAAGCCCTTGCTTCTTTTTACAAAGAAGTTTATGATTCAACGCTGTTCACTGAGGCTGGGTGCGGTGACTCACGCCTGTAATCCCAGCACTTTGGGACGCCGAGGTGGGTGGATCGCCTGAGGTCAGGAGTTCAAGACCAGCCTGGCCAACATGGCGAAACCCTGTCTCTACTAAAAATACAAAAAATTACCTGGGTGTGGGGGCGGGCACCTGTAATCCCAGCTACTTGGGAGGCTAAGGCAGGGAGAATCACTTGAACCTGGGAGGCAGAGGTTGCGGTGAGCTGAGATCGCACCATTACACTCCAGCCTGGGCAACAGAGTGAGACTCTGTCTCAAAAAAACAAAAAAACAAAGAAACAACTTCATCTCAAAACAAAAACAAAAAGTGTTCACTGAACTTACATGGAAGTCACACATAGCATGATGTGTAGCCAGCCCAGGACTGGCATGTGGTGGCACAGAGTATAGGATAAATAAGTGAATGAATGATTCATGCAGCATGAGATGGTTGAATGAATGAATAATTGATGGACTGAATCTACTTCTTCATAAGCCTAGTTTATGTGAACAATGACTAGCAATCAAAAAAGTGTCCAGACACCAAGCACAGGGAATGCCCACTAGGAAGATATATACTCTTCTTAGAAGCAGCTTTGATGGCACAATTACTGAAATGATTCAGATGACAGTTATTCTGAAACCCTTGCGCTGACAATTCATGTTGCTCTTGTTAGATTTCTGCTCCCATTCAGTCCCCCACCAGATTCTGGGAGGAACTTTCCCAGCATGTAATGATAGAGGTTAAAGGTGTATATGTATGTGACTCTCAGTGGGATCACCATCCAAGGCCAAGGGAGAAGCCTTGAAGATCCAGCCAACAAAATGAGCAAAATCATGTTTATCAGGTCAGTGACTCTTGGAGTTGCTGGTGCTTCCCCAGGCTGGAGATTGAGTTAATATTAACAGGCCCAAGGCGATGTGGGCTTGTGCAATCATAGGCCCGGCCACCTCCCCCGCAGTGGACAGTCCTGTACATTCACCCCACCTCCTGCACCCCAGTTATAATGCTCAGGAAGGAGAGAGGTGGGCTGGGACTCTGAACAGCAGCATATGTTTTCTCTCTGAACCAAGAATGTCGAACTCCAGGGGGCCGCATCAGCATCCTTTTAGTGGATGCCACCGAGTCCTGGGGGCGTCTGAAGGCACCACGTCACTGTCTCTGGGCGCAAGGGCATGTTGTTGCAGAGAGGGCAACAGATGTGCATGACAGGAAAGTAAGCTCCGGGATCTCCTTACAACTGATCTTGTCTCCCAACAGATTCCCTTCGCCGCCGCCAGAGTGAGCCACCGAAATGCAAATCTGCCCTTGCCACTACCCCATTTAAGAGCCTCTTCACCCCAGCAGCATTTTGCAGCGTGTCCCATGGAACAGTAGAGATGATTTGTGAATAAATAGGCTCCATGGTCTAATAAGTTTGGGAAACCGCATCCTCTTTCTCCCACGTGCAGAAATATTTTCATATCCTAAATTGTAATATTTTAAAGGATCTGGGAAGTCCTGCAGTAAAGATTTATCCAGTTCTTCAAACCCATTTGACCAAGAAAACTTTACTCCCCTAACGCAAACTAACCCCAGAGAGAAATGTCTCGGGGGACCGTCTTCCTTTAGGACAGCTCCCTGCCTTCTCTGTCCAGGACGGAACCTCCCTGAGCTCCCACTCGCCCACCCACCCTCCCCTGTCTCCCAGTACCCACTTCTATTAAGTTGGTGCAAAAGTAATTGTGATTTTTGCCATGACTAATATTTGATTCTTAAATTAATATTTGGTACTTTTAAAAAACAGAAAACTGTAAAGAAGAAAATAAAATGGTCCATGATTCCACTACCCAGAAAGACTCCACTTATTATTAAAAATAAATAATATGTGTCTTTATGAGATTCTGTCCAAAAAAATAATTTTGTGCCTCTACTGGATATCCTCTTTAGGGTCTAGGTACTCCTAAGATTACTTAGAGAAAAAGTCAAAGTCTTTATAGGTGCACAACTGAAGAGCCCCCGTCCACAGCAGGCACTGCTGTCATTTCCCCGGCCTCTTCTTTAGCTTCTCTCTCTCTCTCATACTTTCCACTGCTCAAATCACATGGTCTCCCTGCTTCCCTTGATCATACCAGACACATTCCTACCCCAGGGCCTTTGCACTTCCTGTTTCCTTAGCCTGGCTGATCTTTTCCCTAGATACTCATATGGCTTGCTTTCTCACCCGCCTTGGGTCTCCAATGCCACCTTCTCATTGAGGTCTTCCTTGGCCATTCTATCTGAGTGTGCCCCACACCCCAGCACCCCCATTCCTCTCCCTGCATTATTTTTTCACTGTAAGACTCATCAACTTCCTCTATTCTATGCACAATATTTACTTACCTGGTTTATTTTCTGCATCCCTCGCTGAGCTCCTATGGGCAGGTATTTTGTCTGTTTGTTCACACCTGCACAGCCAGTGCTTGGCACATACTACACGCTCAGTAAATAATTCTTGAATGAATGTGTGTGTTCATGGAAGAAATCAGGCTGTGTACACTGTTCTGTGTTTTGCTTCTTACCATAGTTTTTGCTTTTAGAGATCTCTCCCTGTGAGCCTCTACAGAGCTAGCCTCATGATTTTTAAAGACTGCACCTCTAGTATAGAGGCACATCTGAATTTATATCATCAATTTCCTATTGATAGATTTTTTTTTTTGCTCAGCAAACAATCCTGCAATTAAAAAGAAGAATTTTTTTACATTTGTTTTGTTTATTAATATTGTCATGGGGTAATTCCCATTAATAGACTTTCTGAGTCAAGTAGTAGGGTTTTGTGTTCTTTTAACTTTAATATATGCTACCAGCTTGTCTTCAGAAATAGCACAAATTTACATGCCCTCATATGACAAATGACAATGTCTGTTTCTTTACATGCTCATAGCTCTGCATATTACCAACCTCGTACATTTTTGCTAATCAGATAGCTGGAAAATGCCACTCTGTTAAGTTGATTTGCATTTAAAAAATTGAGAATGGGGTTTAGAATTCTTGCATATTTCCATTGTTAATTTGTATTTTTTTGTAGACTACCTACTTAAATCCTTTGTCCATTTTTCTTCTGGATTGCTTACTGTTTCCCTATGGATTTAAAAGAGTTCTTTAAAACTAAAATGTTTATCTTAGTCATATCTGTTATACAATTTTTTAGTTTATCCTTTAGCTTTTTTATGGTATTTTAAAAATATGCAGTTGAGTATCTATTTTTCTAAAAATTGATGTAAAAATACCATTAAAACCATAAGGATTCTGAGTAATAGTAATATGTTAGAGATTTGACTGGTTTATTATGAAAATATTGGCTGCACAATTATTATTATGTTTGTTATTTAAAGATAATTTGTATTTAATTTTTTTAAATTGTAGTAAAGTACACTTAGTATAAAATCTATCATTTTGACTATTTTTAAGTATATAGTTTAATTGTGTTAAGTACATTCTTTGTTGTGCAATCAATCCCCAGAACTATTTTCATCTTGCAAAACTCAAAATCCATACCCATTGAACAATTACTCATTCTCCCCTGCACCCAGTACTTGGCAATCACCATTCTACTTTCTATCTTTATGAATTTGACTATTCTAGGTACCTCATATAAGTTGAATCATATAGTATTTGCCTTTTTTTGACTGACTTATTTCACATAGCATAATGTCCTTAAGGTTCATCTGTCTTGTAGCATATGTCAGAATTTCCTTCCTTTTCGATGCTGAATGCTATTCCATTGTATGTATATACTATATTTTGTTTATTCATTCACCTGTTGATGAATTTGGGTTGTTCTACTTTTTACCCATTGTGAATAGTGTTTCTGTGAACCTGGGTGTACAAATACTTCATCAAGATCCTGCTTTCACAGTTTGGAGATTTCTCAAAGAACTTAAAACATAACTACCATTCAACCTAGTAATACCATTACTGAGTATATACCCAAAGGAAAATAAATTGTTCTACCAAAAAGACACATGCACATGTATGTTCATTGCAACACTATTCACAATAGCACAGACGGACTCAATCTATGTGCCCGTCAATGGTGGATTGGATAAAGAAAATATGTTACATATATACCTTGGAAGATTCTCCTTCTGCCATAATTTTAAGTTTCCTGAGGCCTCCCCAGAAGCTGAGTAGATGCCAGCATCATGCTTCTTGTACAGCCTGTGGAACCATGAGCTGATTAAACTTATTTTCTTTCTTGTGTGGAAACACGGCTGATTTTTGTGTGTTGATTTTGTATCCTGCAACTTTGCTGAATTTGTTTGCAGTTTAACAGTTTGTGTGGTGAATCTTTAGCATTTTCTACATATAAGATTATGTTGTCAGTGAACAGAGATAAATTTATTTCTTCCTTTCCGATGCGGATTCCATTTTATTCTTTTTCTTGTCCAAGGGCCCTGGTTCGAAACTCCAGTTCTAAATAGAAATGGTTAAAGCAATCATCCTTAGTGACATTATTATATTAGGATTGTACTTCTGCAGAAATTTGACAACTAACAGGTATAAAGTGCAAAAAGGAAAATACAAAATAAAATAAATAGTAACATGGCAACCCCAGTTTGCATAATGGTCTTGAGCTATGAACATAGGCTTAAAGGCAACTAATTGAATAAATGAAATGACCATGGGAAATTAGGTGAGACTTGTTGTCACCATGTGAACTGTTTTTCTTCATTTTCTGTATATGGGTCTTAACTTCCCAGAAGAGTTTACTCAGGTACAGCATATAGTATTAGCAATAGCACAGACATTTCCTCATTTAGCCAGTAGATACTAAAGGATCTACATCATCCAATTTTGTCTACATCATCCAATTTTCAGTGAACAGTTGTTCCTAGTATTCTCTTATAATCTTTTTTTTTTTTTTTTGAGAGAGAGTCTCTCTCTGTCGCCCAGGCTGGGGTGCAGTGGCATGATCTCGGCTCACTGCAACCTCTGCCTCCCGGGTTCAAGCAATTCCCTACCTCAGCCTCCCAAGTAGCTAGGATTACAGGTATGCTAATTTTTGTATTTTTAGTAGAGATGGGGTTTCACTATCTTGGCCAGGCTTGTCTTGAACTCCTGACCTCGTGATCCACCCACCTCAGCCTCCCAAAGTGCTGGGATTACAGGTGTGAGCCACCATGCCCAGGCTATAATTCTTTTTATTCCTGCAAAAAAGTCTCGTAACATCCACTTTTTCATTTCTGAGTTTAGTTATTTTGGTCTTCATTTTTCTCTTAGTCAATCTAACGAAAGAATTGTCAATGTTGTTGCCCTTTTCAAAGAACCAACTCTTCATTTTGTTGATTTTCTCTGTTATTTTTCTATTGTTGATGTTCTCCCTTATTTTTGTATTATCTGTTTTGTAGGTTTTGCTCTAATCTTTAGTTTCCTTCTTTCTGCTAGCTTTAGGTTTAGTCTGTTCTCTTTTCTCTCTAGTTCCTAAAGGTGTAGTTAGGTGCTGGTTTGAGATCATTATTTTTTAACATAAATATTTTCAGCTACAAATTTCTCTCTTAGCACTGCATTTTTGCACACGAAATTTTGGTATGTTGTGTTTTCATTTTCATTTGTCTCAAGATAGTTTCTAATTTTCCTTGTGATATCGTTAACAATTGATTAAGAGTATGTTGTTTAATTTCCTTGTATTTGTGGATTTTCCAGTTTTACTTCTGTTATTAATTCCTAGTTTCATTTCATTTTAATCAGAAAAAGATACTTTGTATGATTTAAATCTTCTAAAACATGCAAAGACTTGTTTTGTGGCCTAATATATGGTGTATCCTGCAGAATGTTCCATGTGCACTTCAGAAAAATGTGTCTTCTGCTGTTTTGGGGTAGAGTGTTCTGTATGTTTATTAGGTCCAGTTGGTCTGTAGTGTTGTTCAAGTTTTATGTTTTCTTATGATCTTCTGTCTGGTTGTTCTATTGGTAATTGAAAGCAGGAAATTCTCCTACTATTATTGTGTTGCTGTCTATTTCTTCCTTCTACTGGGTCAATGTTTCTTCATATACTTCAGAGTGCTGATGTTGGGTGAATGTATATTTATAATTGTTATATTTTCTGAGTGAATTGAATGGCATTTTTGGCATACAGTTTGCATTTTTAAAGGTAAATATATCAGTCCTTGCTTTGTGACTTTTGGGTTTTCTACCTTCTTTAGAAAGGACATATCCACTTAAAAAATTAAGAAAATAAATTACTTCTTACTTTCTTCCAGAACATTGATGTTTCTGATGTTTTAATATTTGATATACCCAGAGGTCTCAACACTATTATTTACCTTGGACTTTATCCTTTAACCCCCGAGCTCATTGTGGTCCACAAGAATACAGATCCCATAGCTTTCTCCCTACTGTGTGGCCTCCCCAATTTACCCTTTTGTTACCCATGTCCTCTTTATTTATCTCTCCTAAAAAACTCTTAACACTCAATTAAGTGTTCTGATCCACCTCCAGAGACATCTCTCTTTTGTTATTGCTGGCTCTCTCTATCCCTTAAATTTCCTCCTAGGAAATAACTACCTTTTATATCAGATGAGCTGCAGAATTAGAGATACAGGCTGGAGAAACAGTGAGGGCCCCAGTAGGTAAAGGATGGGGCCATGAACCCAGATAAGAAAGAGGAAGAAGGTGATGGAAAAGATCGCCAGGTCACCTGAGGAGTTAATGAATACATATCTCCTTTTCAGGCCAGGATTCTAAACAAGAGATCAAAGGTAGAGTCCACTTGGGACGGAAGGGTGGTATCCAGAGAGCAGTGGGGATAAGACACAGTGTCCTCTGGAATCTGGGTAACAAGCTCTGAGGGGCCAGAGCTAAAAGGACACTCTTTCCTCCTCTTTGACTCTTAGGGTGGGGGGCATCCCTAAGGCTGAGTCTTTCCTGCCTCTACAGGTGGAGACACAAGTGAACACCAGGAGACCACAAGGGAGTCCCACCCTGGGGAGGGCAGGAGAAGGGGAAAATCACACCTGACCGAGCCCCGCCCCCCAGCTTTTACCGTCTGTAGGGGCCCACCCTGTGCTGGGCACTTTGTGAGAGATGCAATTCCATCCCCCAACTCACTCTGCCCCGCAGGATCACCAAGGTTCAGACGCCTGGGTTCAGATCCTGGCTCTGGCCAAGAGGAGCTAAAACTCTGCGTGCCTCAGTTTCCTCCTGTGTGAAGCGCAGATAAGAATTCAGGCAGGGAGGCTCACGGCGCTCTCCCCCAGCGTCAGCTCCAGAGGAGGCTGAGGGAGAACTCCTCACCCAGCAGAGCCTGTGGGTTGTGCAGAGAGGCTCGCTGTGCTGCCTTGCACACAGGCCACCCCCACGCACTCTCAGGGCTTCTCGTGCTCATGGGCCAGTCTAGGGGGCTGTGGGGATGCTCAGTGCCTGTGTCCAGGAACCCCCTATCCTGGAAATCAGCCTGGGGCACCTCCAGCTCCTGCCATGCTGTTTGTCTCCAGTGAGCCCGATCTCACCTGAGGGTCTCGCTGTTCTTCCCTGGATGGGCTCAGTCCAGCAGAACCAGCCTGTGCTGTGCAGTCATGTGGGGATGTGGGTGGAAGGGAGCCCCATGGCCATCCAAGATCCAGGTTCCTCTCTCCTTGACACACCCTCAGAGAGGTGACGAGAGGAGCCAAGGAATTCATACACGCTAGGGGCCTGGAACCGTGGCTGACCCTTGGTAGATGCCCAGTAATTGCCAGCTGCCTGAAGTCACCAGGCTTGTGTCTACCAAGACCCTGGCCCAAGAATCTCTCATCAGGAGCTGAAATTCATGTAGCTTGGGCTTCCTAGCCCATTTGTGTGGGTACTTAGGGTGGTGACACCACCTGACAAGTGCCATCCAAGGGCTCCAGGGTGTGACTGGGAAGGACTCATTCTCTCCACTCCAGTGAGGGGTCCTTGTTTCAGAATAAAGAGAATTAAGACCCCTTCATTCTCACTACATCTGCTTCTGTTTCATGTAACACATGCAGTCACAGACAAACACCAACTCAGAGACACACAATCACAGAAACACACACACACAGACACATAGCCACAGACACATCCTCAGTCTAGATAGAAACACCTAGACACACAGACACATATAGACTCAGACAAACAGAGAAACATCACACACACAGCCTCACCCACAACCACATGCAAACACACAGAAACACCTAGGTACCCTAACACACATAGACTCAGACACACAGACTCTCAGACTCACATTGACTCAGGGACACACAAACACAGAAGCACACACATACACAGACACACACAGACATATCCACAGCCATATGCAGACACAAAGACAGAACTACTTAGACACACAGACATATCCACAGCCATATGCAGACACAAAGACAGAACTACCTAGACACACAGACACACATGCACAGACACACACACAGACACACACGCACACACACACACAGACACACATGGTCACACACAAACACACAGAGACACATGCACGCGGACACACACAGACATACCCACACAGAGACACACACACACAGACATACCCACGCAGCCACACACACACACGCAGACACACAGATGCACACACAGAGACACACACATATACAGACACACACAAACACACACACAGAGACACACACACACATAGTCACAAACAGACATACCCACACAGAGACACACACACGCAGAGACACACCCACGCAGCCACACACACACACAGACACACACAAACACACGTGGTGGAGTCCCTCTCACTCTGGGCCACACAGACGCCACCAAAGGCTGCACATCTGACTTCCCCAACCTCCGGGTTGGGGCCTGGCAGGGAGGCAAGGTGTGGCAGTGTCCCCGCCGTCGCCTCTGACGGGCTGCTTTGCACTCACAGGTGGGGGCATTCTCTCCTCATGCTGCCACTGAGAACGGGAGGCTCAGCAAAGTGGCTTTTCTGGGTCACACAGTGCCACAGCGTTCTAGCACTCAGGCCCTGGCCTGGCTCTCTCTGGGTGACCCGCACTTGGCGGCCGCTCCTGGTAGCCCCTTGCTCTTCCATAAGCTCCCAGGTCCAGGCCCTTAAACTGAGGATTCAGCCCCCTCCATCCTGGCCTAGCACATGCCTGCCCAGTCAGGTGCTCCATGAACACAGTTCAGGAGGCCCGGAGACAGCACTGTGACCTGGAGTCCACACACAGCCTCAGTGCACAAAGGGAGACTCAGAAACAACAGGGGAGGGGTTTGCAGTCACACGCAGGCAGAGGGCAATTCAGCCTTTCTTTAATGTCATCCAGGGAGGGGGCCAGGGGTGGAGGGGAGGGGCTGAGGAGTGACAGCCAGTTATTTTTGGGTGGGATTCACCACTTTTCCAATGAAGAGCGGAAAGTTGGTGATGTCATCCTTGATGATGACCAGGAAGGGCCGGTTGAACATGACTGTCTGATACTTAGACCAGGCCTTCTCCTCCAGATGGGGGGCTCCGGTGGCTTCGGTCCCTTTCTCATCAATGGTGAGCACAGCCACATGCACAGCCTGAAGGGGAGAGAAGCAGAGATACGTTCCGAGGCTGAGCCATGCCCCAGCCCAGGCCTGGAGCGAGGCCCATGTGGACAGCCTCATCCTAGGAGGTGAGGAACTCACTCCAGCCTTTCTCCACTCGGGTGGCACTGACCCTGCACGTCCTCTCCCTCCCTGTCACACAGGCCTTGCTCCCCCTCAAGGCTTTGGCTGATGGGGCTGGCTCCCCTCCGTCTGCCTTCCCTATAAGAGCCTCTCCCCTGCTCAGGGTGCACCCACAATTCAGAAAGTGGAGGGGCATCCCCGCTGCACGTCTGCCTCCAGGGCTCTCTCCTTTCTTGTACACAGCTTGAAGCTCCTTGGGGACATGGACTCTGACAGTGTCCTTCATGGTGCCCAGACCCCAAGAGAACGCAGCCATTCACAGAACTGCCAAAGTTGTCCTTTGGCCACCTTTAGTTTTCCTAAATTAGCGTCATCTTTAGCTCAAATCATTCATTGATTCGGGCTTGGTGATGCACCAGAAACTCAAAACCTCACAGATGAAAGGGGCCAGAAAGTCTTTTGAAATGAGCCTAAGCTTTCTTGTATCAATACGGATAAATTAAGGCCCCAAACTGGAAGGTTCTGGGCAAAGGGTCAATGACACAACAGCGGGGGAGGCCCTGAAAGTGCCAGCTGCACAGGAGGCGCCTCCCCAGCTCCGCCGTCTGACCATGGCCCATCTCAGTGAATCTCAGGCATCCTCAGGAGCTCGGCCTGGGTCTTCATTTGTGTCTCTTAGCCCCTTCTTCAGCCTCAGGACAGAACTGCAACCTCCACACAATCTGCCAGCCGACACCAGGGGACAACACGGTCTTCTGGGTGACCTCACCTTGGAGAGCTTCAGGGGTGCCTCCTGACTGACTCCAGAGAGGTCGGCCTCGTTGCTGAAGATCTTGGTGATGCCCAGATTCCTAAGGACTCTCTTGAGTTTGTAGGTTCCAGAAATGGACAGTTTGGGAAAATGTAGATTGATAGACCTGCCATGCAGGAAAGAGAATCAAGGCATGGAGCAGCATTTCTCCTGTTCTTCTGGAACCCACCACAGTGCCAGTGCTTTCTCTTCTGATTGCGTCTCCCACTTAGTGCCATGTCCTCACCCATATCAAGATCAGAAGTCAGAGGGAGAGGATCAGAGAAAATAACTATTGGGTACTACGCTTAGTACCTGGGTGACAAAATAATCTATACAACAAAACCCCAGGGTTTACCTATATAACAAACCTGCACACGGACCCCTGAACCTAAAAGAAAAGTTAAAAAAAAAAATAAAACAATCAGAAGTTGACCTTGGTTTGTTCTCCTTTGAGCTCCTCTATACCCAGAATCAAAGAATGTTAGTATCAGACTAACCATCTTGTTAAGGCAGCTTGAAATGCCACCTCCTTTGAGAAGCCCTTCAGGCAGATTCTAGGTGTCCTGGAAGCGTGTCTCATCCTGCTGTGTAGTGTTGGGTCACCGGGCCCCCAGCCTGGAACATCCCCAGGGCCCTACACCCAGGGGAACGTGGGGCAGCAGTGCGCAGTGACACCCGTTCAGGGGATGAGAGAAGAGTGATCACACCAGGCCGAATGCTCCCCTCTGGTTTTCCGTGGGAAGACAGAGCCGCCCCAAGCACGGTCTGGTGTGAGCGGGCAGCCTGGCTCTGGGCTCTCTGATCAGTTATTCTCTCAGCCTCCTTGTTCTTTCTCAACCCCTGGAGCAGGTACCTCAGGAGGCGTTTGCATGGGACAGAGAAATTCCAGCCTCGATTCCTATTATGAACCTGAGACTTTCGTATTTTCATCTTGGTTTTACGGTGTAAAAATAAAAATAAACTAGATCAGCAGGGCATGGGCATAATCACGAATGCACACACATACACTAATGTATGGCTTATGCTCAAGTATCATTTACTACAGGACACCCAATCTAACAGCATCGATAAAGCGACAGAGAAACGCAAGCCTTCTGCTAACATGGCCTGGCTGTTCCAATTCCGAACTTTGTTTTTCTGGGCCTTGCCACACAGGCTCTTCCCCCGTCCCCTGAAGGACATGCTACCCTTGAACTCCACACTCCACTGTTGCCTTTGCCAGGAAGCCCATCTGTTCCTTCTTGGTTCTGCCAGAATGTGTGGTGGTGCTGCTGTCCCTGCCCTGGGCACTGGATATTGGGAAGGGACAGTGTCCACACTGGAGTGGGAAGTCCCCAGGGACGAGATCTTTACCTCCTCACCCCTGGGTACTGTCCTCCTCATGGAGCATGGATGGTCCTGCCTGAACTCAGTGGTGGCCTCTGCAGTAGCTGTGACCCAGGGATGTGAGGTCCACCCTCCCCAGCCCTCTGGCCAGTCCTGTTGGGCCTCAGTCCTGACATGGCTCAAAGGTCTGGGCAGCTTCTGACTCAGCCCCTGAACTGGAAATCACCTTATGTCAAAGGCTCTCTGGATATTTTCAAGGTGGCTGTAGGTCAATTTTTCTTCCAACTGCCACATCTTCTTTGGATCGGGCAGGATGAAGAAGGCAGTGGCGTTCCCCACATAGTGCTGTGCCAGCACCCAGCTGGATAACTCCCTGTCCCGGTGGATGTCAAATCTACCCAGGTGGTTTATCATAGGCACTCTGATGATGGTCTTATCATCCACATGGAAGCCCTCTACCATAATGTGCTCAGCCTTGAATTTATCTTTCCACTTGCCTGGAAGAAAAGGAAGGTGGGCATCAGCCAGGTGTGGGATAAAAGGGTGGAAGTGTGTGAATGAAAGGAGCCCTGAGCCCCTTTGGCAGGACACTTCCCTCTGCTTCAGCTTTATCATCTGTAAAATGGGATTCAAATGGAACTATCTGGCTGCTGGAGAGCTTTTGTGAGAATCACCTGAAGATAAAGAAGAATCCAGAGTTTCTATATACTTGAACTAATTGGCAAAATCCTGGTGCCACAGAAGAAGCATTTATATTTGGCTCTGTTTATTCGATAGCGGCTTGGGGATGGTTAATGAAAGTTAATGAGTAAAATCGGAACTCCTTATGCCTTGCCACCTTTGGCTGGAGGCTTCTGATCTCATGCAGAGGGCTGGTTCTGTTGAGATACGAGGACAGCATTGTGCTTACTTCTCCTGAGGCCTTTCCCTGGATCAGCAGGGGAGATGCAGATGCCTAGGCAGACTCCCCTCTGCCGTACCAAGAAAGCTTCACCATCGAGGCATGCCAAGTGGGCAGGTGCCTCAGGGACCCTTGAGCTCAGCTTTCTCATTGGACAGAAGGAGGAGACGGGGGCTGGAGAGGGGCCTGGGCCTGCCCTAAGGCCACAGCAGAGCCCGGACCTCAGCTGTGCTGACTGCAGCCTGGCTGCTCTCCACTGCCCTCCTTTGCCTCAAGAGCAAGGGAGCCTCAGAGTGGAGGAAGCAGCCCCTGGCCTTGCCTCCACCTCCCCTCCCCTATGCTGTTTTCCTGGGACAATAGGAGCTGGCTTAGAATGCCCTGGGGCCCCCAGCACCCTGGCATTTTAACCCCTCAGGGGCAGGAAGGCAGCCTGAGATACAGAAGAGTCCATCACCTGCTGTATGCCACACACCATCCCCATGGTCTCTGTCACTTGTTTAATCCTTAAAACAACCTGACAGCAAGGATGCTATTTTGTCCATGCTAAGACGGGAAATTAGCACCTCAGAGAGGTAGAATGCATTGTCCTTTATCAAAAGCTAGTAAGTGGTAGAGGCAGGATTTGAACCCCAATATTTTAGACGGCAAAGCTGACACTGCTTCTGGGACACTAGGGTCGTCTAAAGTATGTTCCATGAAACTATTCCTTTATGCATGTGCCACAAAATATTTTTCTGGCTTTAGCATGTGGGAAGCATTTCATATTCTGCCCCCTCCCTATTAGGGATTTCCAATGAGTATTAGGACAATAAAGGCTCTGACAAGGTCTGTAGAGAAGATGATGGTTTGGCTGTCTTAAACTCATCATTCTTCAATCTTGTTTGATCATGGAAAGTATTTTATTGTTTGTGTTTGGAAAATTGCAGAATCCATGTTAAATGCCCTGCCATATCTCATAGTACATTGTCTAGGAAAGCTTAAGAACTAGTAATTTGAGAATATGTTTGGATTATTTCAGTGGAACGGGCTTGGACAGGTAGTGCTACCTTACCGTGAAAGGAAATGTAATCCACCAGGGCAAGACTTGTGTCTTTTTTCAGGTGTTTGACCAAATCCACTACTTTTCTTCCAGTTCTTTTCTCCACATAATTGTTGATCTGCTCTTTGGCCTCCTCGGTGTCCCTGAAGTTGATGGAAGAGGCTTCTGAGTGGTACAGCTTCTTGGTATCCTCCAAAAACGTGTCCACTAGCTTCATACTCTTGTTAACAAACAGGCTACTGCCGGTGGTCAGCTGGAGCCGGGTGTCTGGCCTGCTGAGGGCTTGGAGAACTTGCTGGAAGCATTCGTGGATCTTGGCCTCAGGCGTCTCTGTGAGGTTGACATTCAGGCCTTCCAGGATCTCTGTGCGAGTGTCAGCCTTGGTCCCCAGGGAGAGCATTGCAAAGGCCATAGCCACGCTTGTTGGGGTGACTAAGACATTGCTGGTTTGTGATAGATCAGCCAGCTCTTTGTACAAATCAAAGGCGAGGTCGGTGACGTTATAGGAGATCTTCTGGCAAGCAAGGTCCTCCCAGTCCCCTTGATCATGGTGGGATGTATCCGTCTTTTGGGCAGCATCTTCCTGGGGATCCTCAACCAGGGAGCTGGGGACCAGGCAGCACAGGCCTGCCAGCAGGAGGATGCCCCATGAGACAGAGAATGGCATTGTCCTGCAAGACAGAGGCAGAGGGCCAGGCCCCAAGTCAGGGCACATGATGACTCCCAGTGACCAGGGACTGACATTGTGTGATTGCAACCATGAATTATTAAACATCCACCATGTGCCCAGCCCATTGCAAACACTTTCCTACACCATCATCATTGAAAGAATAAGAAAGATAGCAAGCACGTGTAAGGTACTTAGCTTATGCCAAGAACTGTTCTAAGCACACGTGTGTTAACTCATTGCTTTCTTGTAACAATCCTGTGAGGTGGTAATGCTACTATCTTCCTTTTACACATGAGGAAACCAAAGCCCAGAGAGGTGAGACTCAAGCCCAAGGTCAGCAAACAGGAAAAGCAAGCATCCCTCAGCCTGGCCGGCTGGGTCTTGAGTCCTTGCTCTCTGCAGCTCCACTTACCTCTGTAATGACCTTGAGGTGCAAATGCCACAGCCCCATTTTGTTTTATTTTATATTTTTGGAGACAGAGTCTGGCTCTACCGCCCAGGGTGGAATGCAGTGGTGTGATCTCGGCTCACTGCAACCTCCGCCTCCTGGGTTCAAGCGTTTCTCCTGCCTCAGTCTCCCAAGTAGCGGGGATTATAGGCGTGCACACCACGCCAGGCTAATTTTTTGTATTTTAGTGAAGACAGGGTTTTGTCATGTTGCCCTGGCTGGTCTTGACCTCCTGACCTCAAGGGATCCTCCCTACTTGGCCTCCCAAAATGCTGTGATTAGAGGCATGAGCCACAGCATCTGGCTCCCATTTTAGAAAAGAGGAAACTGGGGCACGGGAAGCATAAGGGACTTGCCCAGGGTTACTAAGGAAGTGGGTTAAGTCAGGATCAGCAATGACTTCCACACACCACAACAGTCCTTGGAGATCTCCACTGACCTCCCTTATTTAATGGACAGAGAAGCTCTGTCCCCAGAGGGACGGGATACTGTACCGTGACACACAGCCAGGGCTCAGAGGCGCTGTGTAAACCCAGCCTACCTGAATTCTGCCTAGGCTCTCCCCAGATTCCACACACTTCATGCATCTCCCTCTCCTCCCAACTGTGATAGCCTTCACTTTATAGGACCCTGGAGCCTGGTTTGATTATTGTCTGAGCCCTGTGACATTCCTGGCCTGGGGAATGCTGCTGATTAAAGCACATGACAGCCCTGTTTCTAGGGGCAATCGCAGACATTGCCTTTCGTCTAAAGATATGTCTTGTAATTTCCATTTTCATAGGATGGGAAAGGTGAACTCAGAGTGGTTCAGTAACTTGTTCAAGGCCACATAGCTGGTCAGGCAGAACCGGGAGCCGACAAGCCACTAGCTGCTGGCCAAGTGCTTTGCGTAGAGCTGTAGTACTGCCTCCTCAGAGGCTGGGGCCTTGGATGCTGCTCTTGGCCAGGCCCGGAGGACGTCAGGGCTCCTGATCCTGGCCGTTTGGACATATTGGGCTGGGCAGTGCTATGCTGTGGGGGACTCTGTGGTGCATCCTAGGATGTTTGACAACATTCTCAAGAAAACCACAGTCATGTAGTGACCCTCAGCTCACAGGGATGGTGATAAACCATCCCCTGGCCTTGCTGATTGCCCCTGTGGAGCACCCCTGGGGTGGGGGCTCAGATCACCCTGGCTGTCTTGAAGGTCTCCTCTTGCCTAATTGGACAGAAGCTTCTCTCCTTCAGACTGGACTTAAGTCAAGTGAGGCCCATGTGAATCTGCCTGGGCCCAGGCCGTGTGGGATGTCCATTCCTCTGGGATGGGGGCCCTGTTTAGGGTCCCCAGGATTGCACTGCGTCTGCTGTCCCAGGTCTCAGGAACCTATAGCCGATCTCCTCACTGACATGATGGAGCTCTCACATCCATAAGGTTCCTCCCTGACCTAGGGCTTAATGCCAGCCCCCAGGGAGACTCAGGGGCTGTGCCCACAGAGGAGCCTGTGCCCCAGCCCCTGGAGCCTGTCCTGGAGTTGCCCCGCTATGAGTCGGAGGTCCCTGCCACACACGTGGGCTGAGGCGCCTGCTGTCAGCTCAGGGGAGACTCAGGTATTGCTGGTTCCAGCCCTGGGCCTAACAGCAATAAGGGACCCGGGGAGGTTGAGCTCTCCAGAAAAACATGAGTGTGTGGGAGAGGAAGTGATGACAACAGGCCTGGCTTCTCTTCCAGGCTCTGTCGCTCACCAACGATGTGATCTCAGAAAAGTATTTCCACCTCTCCATCTTCCTTTTGAAGTGGGAATATGGGGAGAATGAGGTGAAATCAATGTAAATGTGAAGCTGGACAACGGGAAGGGGCCTCAGAAGCAGCGCTTTGCGGGGAGGAGAGGGCTGGGTTTCGAACCCACAAAGCCTTCAGGACCTGTGAGGGCCCCAGCAGGTAGAGGAGCGGACCATGAACCAGGTAGGAGAGAGGGAAGAGGGGACTGAAAAGGTCGTCAGGCCATCAGAGAAGTTAATGAATTCACCTCACCCTTTCAAGCCAGGAGTTCTAACCAAGAGATCAAGGGCAGAGGCCCCTGGGGGCAGGAAGGTGGGGACCGGAGAGCAGTGAGGAGATGACACAGTGTCCTCTGGAATCTGGGTAACAAGCTCTGAAGGGCCAGAGCTAAAAGGGCATCCCTCCTCCTCTGAGACTCTTAGGGAGTGGCCATGGGGTCCAACAGGGTCTTGGACTCTGGCTCAGGCTGGAGGTTTGAATGAGCAGGGTAAGAAAAAGAGAGCCTGGCTGCGCGCATTGGCTCACGCCTGTGATCCCAGCACTCTGGGAGGCTGGGGTGGGTGGATCAGCTGAGGTCAGGAGTTCAAGACCAGCCTGACCAACATGGTGAAACCCGGTCTCTATTAAATACAAAAAAAAATTAGCCGGGCATGGTAGCGCATGCCTGTGATGCCAGCTACCTGGGAGGCTGAGGCAGGAGAATCGCTTGAGCCCGGGAGGTAGAGGTTACAGTGAGCCAAGATTGCACCATTGCACTCCAGCCTGGGCAACAGAGGGAAACTCCATCTGAAAGAAAAAAAAAAAAAGAAAAAAGAAAAAAAGAGCCTGAGGCGGAGGGGCCTGTTGGAGAGCAAGGGGGCATCCCTAAGGCTGAATCCTTCCTGCCTCTACAGGTGGAGACACAGGTGAATACCAGGACACCAGAGGGGAGTCCCACCCTGGGGAAGGCAGGAGAAGGGGAAAATCACACCCGACCGAGCCCCGCCCCCCAGCTCTTACCCTCTGTAGGGGCCCACCCTGTGCTGGGCACTTTGTGAGAAATGGAATTCCATCCCCCAACTCACTCTGCCCCGCAGGATCACCAAGGTTCGGACGCCTGGGTTCAAATCCTGGCTCTGGCCAAGAGGAGCTAAAACTCTACGTGCCTCAGTTTCCTCCTGTGTGAAGCGCAGATAAGAATTCAGGCAGGGAGACTCACGGCGCTCTCCCCCAGCGTCAGCTCCAGAGGAGGCTGAGGGAGAACTCCTCACCCAGCAGAGCCTGTGGGTTGTGCAGAGAGGCTCGCTGCGCTGCCTTGCACACAGGCCATCCCCACGCACTCTCAGGGCTTCTCGTGCTCATGGGCCAGTCTAGGGGGCTGTGGGGATGCTCAGTCCCTGTGTTCAGGAAACTCCTGTCCCGGAAATCAGCCTGGGGCGCCTCCAGCTCCTGCCATGCTTTTTGTCTCCAGTGAGCCCGATCTCACCCGAGGGTCTCGCTGTTCTTCCCCGGATGGGCTCAGTCCAACAGAACCAGCCTGTGCTGTGCAGCCATGTGGAGATGTGGGTGGAAGGGAGCCCCGTGGCCATCCAAGATCCAGGTTCCTCTCTCCTTGACACACCCTCAGAGAGGTGACGAGAGGAGCCAAGGAATTCATACACGCTAGGGGCCTGGAACCGTGGCTGACCCTTGGTAGATGCCCAGTAATTGCCAGCTGCCTGAAGTCACCAGGCTTGTGTCTACCAAGACCCTGGCCTGGGAATCTCTCACCAGGAGCTGGAATCCTTGTTGCTCTGCCTCCGTAGCCCATTTGTGTGGGTACTTAGGGTGGTGACACCAGCTGCCAAGTGCCACCCGAGGGCTCCTGGGTGTGACTGGGAAGGACTCGTTCTCTCCACTCTAGTGAGGGGTCCTTGTGTGAGGATAAAGGGAGTTAGACCCTCTCATTCTCACTACATCTGCTTCTGTTTCATGTAACACACACAGTTACAGACACACACCGACTCAGAGACACACAATCACAGAAACACACAGACACACCCTCAGTTTAGATACAAACACCTAGAGACAGAGACACATGTGCACTCAGGCACACACACTCACAGACACACACACAAACAAGGAAAGACATTACAGTTACATGCCAACACACAGAGACACACACACACACACACACACACACACAAAGACACATTGACATATAGCATCACACAGAGACACGGATACTCAGATGCACACACACAATCACACACACACACACACACACACACACGGTGCAGCCCCTCTCTTCCTGGACCACACAGACACCACAAAAGGCCATACACCTGACTCCCTGCAACTCGGGGCCCAGGCCTGGCAGGGGGGAAGCTGTTGCCGTGACCCCGGCAGTCACCTGCAGACAACCTGTCCTTCAGGCCGAGGGTGGTGATTCTCTGTTAGTGAGAATGGGAGGCTCAGGATGGTGACTTGTCCATGTCACTCAGTGTCACAGCGTTCTGCCTGCACTCAGGCTGGGGTGGGCCCTCCTGCGGTGACTGATGCCAGGCTACATCTAGCAGCTGTATGAGCTCCCCAAATCACTGATTTCTCTGACCCTCTGTTGACCACCTGTAAGCGAACCTGATAATACCTGCCCTACCTCCCCTCATGGGGATATAGCTTCTAGGACAGTACTTTGTGAGTTATAAGAAACTGCAAAAATTCTTAGCCACCTTGATGGAGAAGATAATGAGAACTAGACCCCGCCCCTTGGGAGGGCTCCCAATAAGCCCAGGTCAGCCATGTTCACTTCAATATAAGGCAGTTTGTTTTATTCCTTTCCTTGGGCTAAGAGAGAAATTGTAGCTGCCCCCTGAGGGAAGGAATAGAATGAAATGTTGGTGGTGGGAGTGGTCGGGAGAAGGTGCCTGCTGTACAGAGAGAGAGACTCCAGGCTCAGTGAGGGACCTGCCCTCCTGCTGTCCCTCCTCAGGAGGCCAAGGCCTGCCTCTGTCTGGAACAGGGGACATGGGACCTAGACACCATTGCAGGGTAGGTTTACAAGGGCCACCTCTATCCCGTTCCTGAGGCTACACACAGTTCACCTCTGAAGTCATTTTTGCTGCAGAATCTGCCTGATAGTCGGGGTTTTGCGCTCATCTCCATTTCGCTCTCACCTGGAGGGGCTCCCTGTTGGAGGGGCTGTGAGTCTGCACCCCCCAGGGGGGCACAGCCACCTCCAGATCTGGCTCTGGCTCTGCTGTGCCACTCCCTGAGAGAACGACCCCACCATTTCTCTCCATCCCCTGGCGGGGGAGTTTCACCCTGGCTCCGAGCCTTGGTGCTGCTGGCCCTCCACCTCCAACCCTCTTCCTTCTCCTTCTGTACCTTGGCCCTTCCCGACATCCCAGGTGCGGTCTTTGGGTTGGGCTTCCACAGCTCTCCTTGGTGGCGCTTCCTTCACACTCCTTTCATTCCTTCCCTCTTCCAGCCCCATCATCCCCTCACTGGTAAAGTAGGGCGTTCTACAGGCTCAACAGCGCCCCCCAGAGATATGTTACCAACTATGGAAGAAATGTCCTTGCAGATGTCGTTAAGGGTCTTGGTAGGAGAAGACAATCCAGGTGGTCCCTAAATGCTATCGCAAGTATCCTCCTGAGGGGGAGGGGGAGGGAGACCTGACACAGATGGAGAAAGAGGGGGCAGTGTGACAACAGAGGCCGTGACTGGAGGGGCAACAAGTCAAGGAATGCCAGCAGCCACCAGAAATTGGAAGAGGAAGAAGTGGCACATCCCCTAGAGCCTCCAAGGACACTCGGCTTTCCTGACACCCTGACCTTGTCCCAGTGATACTGTTCTGGACTTCTGGCCTCCAGAACTGTAAAAGAATGCATTCTATTGGAAACCACGGAGCTCATGGTAATCAGCTAAATCAGCTACGGCAGCCACAGGGGACTCACACGGGGTCCTCACCTCTGCTGCTTCTGCCGCAGTCTCCATGCGTCGGTCTCAATGTGAGATGTGATTTTTAAGAGCAGCCTGGGCCCTTTCCCTGTGCCTCCTCTGCCCCAGATCAGCAGTGGGCACAGGGCACACAGGTGAAAGACTGACGTGGGGCCGGCCTGAAGCCCTCAGAGCTCTATGGAATGTCAGGACTCCAGGGACCTCAATGCTCACATTCTCTGGTGAGGAAACTGGGGCTCAGGGAGAGGAGAGGATGTCCGCAGTGTTAGGTGGCACATTAGTGGTAGACCTGGGAAAAGATCCCAGGCTGATTCCTAGCTCAGGGTCATTGGTAACAAACTTGTGAATATCTGTAATTTATTCCTCTGTTAGTTCCCTGACAGAGCACGGGGCACTGGGGGAAGGTAGCCACACCACTCACATTAACTAATATTTTTGGAATCCACAGTATTCATTAATGTTTGGTGGTCATTTAAGTAGCAGCACTTTTTTAGGGTGATGCTTTGCATATTATTCATGAAAGTAACCTAGGAGTTTTATTTTACCTGTCTTGCAGGTGAGGGCGCCGAGGCACAGAGAGCTGTAACAGCCCACTCAGGATTGTATGCTAAGGAGAAGGTGGAGTTGGGATTCCTGTGTTCTTTCCACTTTGCTAAGAAGCCCTTAGCAATTTCATCCTAATATTTTAATGCTGAAAGACACTTACTTGATCAATCTCAGAACATATTTTGAGGGTATTAACTGCCAATTAAAAGGAAAAAAAGTTTTTTACTTAAGACACACTGCTGACTTTGTTTGCTCCCCGTGCCCTCTGTCAAGGAAGCCCAGCAGAGTTTAAACACAATTCTATTAGCTCTGATTGTTCATTCCTTTTTGTTGGTGTTGTTCCTAAATCATCCCAAACAGTGAGCACTTCAATTGTGGAAAATCAGCTTTGACTTCTGAGAGCAAATGCCCCTGGAAGCTGTTGGCCAACAGTGCGTGGGGTGGAGGCCGTCCCCTTGCTGGCTTGAGCCCCTATGAGTCTCTCCTGCGTGACTCAGTGCTCACATTCCTACCGTTCCTTGCTCACCACCGGATCTGGGCGTATTTCTGCATGGCCTGTGCTGAGCATCTTGTAACTAGAACTTTCTAATGGGGTTTCCTTGTGGGAGTTCCTTTAGCCTTCCCGGTGTTTTTCAGATCTTAGTCACCCTTCCAGGCTTGCGTAGTAGGTGAAGACTTCTTTGATGCATTTCATGAATTCTGGTTGTTTCAGTCAGGATGGGCAAGGATTGTGCTGCAGCAACCGAGAAGCTCACAGCTCAATGCTTCAACCCTTTAGAAAGGGTTGATTCCTCTCCCGCTCTACTTGTCCCATGTGGGATGAACAGAGGGGATCTACCCACCCTGGGGACACAGCAACCAGACTGAAGGAGGTTTCAGCTCCTCACTTCCCCGCTCCAGACCATCTGACTCTAGTTCCTTTCATCATTCCTGATGTCACGATTTCAACAGTAAGCGTGATACCAATGACAGTGATCAGAAAACTCCTACTGCCATTGAAGCGTCTGCTGTCAGCATCTTCCAAGCTTGGATAACCAGCCCTTCTGCCCTGCCCAAGTGCCACCCATTTGAGGAAAAGGACAAATGAATAAGACATGTTTTTGTTTGTTTGTTTCTGATAGAGCTGATATTGGAGGGTGAGGCTTATGCCTGTTGGGATTTGGGCTTCTAGAAACTGACCTCTCATGCTGGTCAGCTTCACCATCTCCAGCAATGTGCGACTTAGGCCAGGCTCCACAACTAGGCCAGAGGAAGATTTCTGGGCTACATGGGACAAGGACAAGGAACTTTAGAGAAATAAGTCATTGCATTGAAACCTCAAATTTGATTTACATTTTGCAGATGAGGAAACTACGGCACAGAGAAGTTGAGGAACTTCCCTGAGAGCACACAGCCTGCCCTCTCCCATATGATACAATAGTGACACTCCTGCTTTTCCGAGTTGCTGCCTGGGTCCCTGCTGGGGAGGGAGTTTGCCTCAGTGAGAGTGCCTTTCTCTGACTTCTCTACTCAGGGTCATTCCATTTGTCCTTTTAGAACTGACCCAGGTTCCTGCGGAAGCTGTCCCTGGTTCTGAGTCCTGTGGTGTGCCTTGTTTACTTCACTGCCTGTGAATAATCCAACCAAGAGCAACACAAAGGTCTCAGCCTTTCAAGGAGCACTTGGGGTGTTTGAGGTCATCTGTGGGTGTAGGCTGACTGTTTCTCATGCCTCTGGAAAGGTCCTGGGTTACACCCTGACCCTCTCCACCCAGATCCATGGATGTACGCCTCATTTATTCACTGCTCCCCACTGCCATAGACCAGCATTCTCCCCGGGATGGACCTGGGTTTCATTCTCTCTATCCCCCATACACAGCTCATGTTTGCTTGTTTGTTGTTTGGATAAATGCTTCCCGCTCGGATTTATGGAGAGGATCAAGTTGCTCCTGGGAAGGAGATCAGTGTGAAATCTGTATTTCCTGTTTCTGGTGTGAGAGCCTGGAAGCTCTCTGACTATTGTCCTCTTAACAAATGGGGCTCACAGGGTGCCCCCTGTCCGGCAGAGCTTGCACTTCAAACTAAGGCTTCCTTTATTTAGGCTTAAAATCTAAAATTCGTGTGTTCTCTCCCCTGCAAACTCCTAGGCGAGGTAAAAGGTCAGGACTCTAAGGTTCCTGGCTGAGCTGGAAGCTGTTTTCTGCGTTTCCCTCTCATCTGTTTCAGAGCAGGATGAGGTTCCTGCCTGCAGAGGGAAAGTGACTTGGAACACCCAGGGTGCCCCGCAGCTTGGCCTTCAGCTGATGTTAGGGCACAGCAGGTTGATGCAGTGTGGTCCTGGAGGATGGAGTTGTTTATCGTGATCCCATATGGACTGAGGAAGTATGTGCTGTTGGGGACAGCCAGGCCTAACAGTGGAGAAGACCTGCCTTCCAGGCCCACACTGGACAGAGCATTTGACCTGCTGGGCCTGAGTTTCCCCATGTGTACTTTGGGGATAATGAGTCCTAGGCTGCGTCCTGCAGAACCTGTCTGGAGGATCACGTTGGACAGTGAATACATTTTTTTAAAACTCTGGAAGATACAGTGAAGCTGAGGTCTTATGGTTGTCCCATCACGGACTTGTGACATATATTTGTCTTCCTCATAATGAGGTTGTCATGACACTCTGCCCATCCTTGACTGATCCCTGTTGATTCCCAGGGGAGCCCAGGAATTCCCTCTGGGAGGTTATGCTAGTTTGAATGGGGTCTCTCCCATCCTGACTGTCAACTCGTGTGTGACAGACAATTCTTCAAAGTAAAACGATGGTGTCTAAGGTGACCGCCCTCAGCGCTGCCACCTCCTTCCCTGCCCTGGGCTCTCCAGAAAGCCAACTTGTCTTTGACTCTGCCCCTGTTCTCCTACCAAATGCCAGTTAAATAAGAGGAGTCCTGTGGGTCGCCCAAGGCTGCGGGCTGTGTCAACATCTGGTGGATGAGCTTCTGCTCACCACCTTCAGCTCAATGCCTGCTCCACACTGGGCACAGGGTGTTTTTCTCATGAAGTGTGCTAGGCGTGAGCTGTGGGCCACCAGCAACCCTTCTGGTTTAAGGAGGAATTACCTCTGCAGAAGTTTAGCGTGACCCTCGAAGGGGAGAGTGTGGTGAGGTGGTATGGTTCAGAGGAACAAGTAGCCCATCAAGCCAGCTTTGCCACTTATGAGCTGTGTGACATTGTGGGAGACCAGTAGCCTCTCTGAGCCTCAGTTTCCTCAGATTTGGAGTTTAAGAGCACAGCAGATATACTCACACATCGCAGTGCTGCTACAGTGAGTAAATGAGAAACAGCCAGGGGAGGTACTTCATAGGGATGTCTGATTCACAGAAAGCTCATAAGTGCAAGAAATGTAGTTCTATTTATTCTCTGTTCTAATGGGTATAAACATTTTGTTATCTAACTTGAACATCATACCAACTCAAAGGCAGGTCTTACTAGCAATGACTGGGGCTCAGAGAGGTTTGGCGACTTCACGAAGGTCACACAACTGTCAGGGGGAAAAGTCAGAACTTGGATCCAGGTCTTCAGACTCTCAGGTCTGGTGTCATCCTAGGGGGCTTGGTGATGGCCATATCTTTAATGTATTTGTGGAGAGTGAAAGGCTGTCAGTGAGTAAGCTTAAGAGAACAGGAGACTTGTGTGGGAAACAGTCGGTATCCATTGATTAGACTGAATCATGTAGAATTGCTAATTTCACCATTTTGAACTATCGAAATCACTATTTGGTATGACTCAACCTCATCCTTTAAGTACACATTCATGACAGTGAGTGGTTAGACAGTGATTCCTAGATTAGTTTGGGATGGGGCAGTGCCTTCCACAGGACAAGGCCATTCCTGGTAGAGACGGAGGGAGCAGGCTGTCCTTCAGCTAGGGGCCCAGGGGACTTCCTGGCTGCTGTGTCCTTTAGCAGGGCCTTGGAGGATGGAAGGACTCTCCTGGCCCTTACCACAGGGGCTATTCAGGAACAGCCTCCTGCCGTGGCACTGGAGCTGCGGTGGCCCTCTGAAGACTGCAGGGACAGCAACAGGCACAAAGAAGTCAGGCTGCATGTGGCCCCAGTCGGGACTCAGAGGAGGAAAGGGAGGGGTTGCGGGGGTCAATGGGTGATGTGCTTCCTCTCCCATAGCTGAGGAGTCCTTGCAATGGCCTTCCTGAGCCATCAGCAGGCCTATGGCCATGTGACTAGGGAGGAGAAGGGATATAGGGTAATGGTCTTCTGGGGCCTGCTGGGCCTGGTCAAGTCTGAGGAGGAGATAGAGAAAACAAAGCAGAGACCCTCCTCTTCATCTGGGGAGAAGGGACCTGATTCTAAACGGAGATATGTGAGGCTTTCTGGGGCAGCGATGGAAGGACAAGGACAGAATAGGTGTCCTTGTTGCCCCATGGAGAATGGGCTTCAGGAAGAATCTGCCTCAGTCATTTTCCAGAAGTGCCTGAGAGGTGCAGGGCCCGAGTCTGGTTAGGTGACAGCGGGTCAAGAGGAGGACATTGTCCTCTCTCTTGTGTTGCTGCAGATGCCACAAAACTGGGCCACGGCACGATCAGGCAGTTCTGGGGTCCCCAGGAGGGCAGCCTTGGGGTGGGCACAGCCAGCCCTGGCAGGATGAGCAACTCTGGGTGGGGGGGAGTGGGGGATGAGCAGGGGGACATGAAGATGCTTGGTGGAGCCTGGGGTCATGGCTGGTATCTGGTTCCTCCCCTGTGATTCCTTCTTGGGGACTCAAAGACAGGACAAGGAAGACTGGAGCCCTCCAGAAACAGATGGGCCCAGGTCCGTAAGCTGAGGATTCAGTCCCCCCTGGATTCAAGCCCAGCATGTGCCTACCCAGCCAGATGCTCCATGAACACAGTTCAGGGGGCCCGAAGACAGCACTGTTACCTGGAGCCCACATACAGCCTCAGCAGGCAAAGGGAGACTCAGAGAAAACATGGGAGGGATTTACAGTCACATGCAGGCAGGGACCAGCTCAACCCTTCTTTAATGTCATCCAGGGAGGGGGCCAGGGATGGAGGGGAGGGGTTGAGGAGCGAGAGGCAGTTATTTTTGGGTGGGATTCACCACTTTTCCCATGAAGAGGGGAGACTTGGTATTTTGTTCAATCATTAAGAAGACAAAGGGTTTGTTGAACTTGACCTCGGGGGGGATAGACATGGGTATGGCCTCTAAAAACATGGCCCCAGCAGCTTCAGTCCCTTTCTCGTCGATGGTCAGCACAGCCTTATGCACGGCCTGGAGGGGAGAGAAGCAGAGACACGTTGTAAGGCTGATCCCAGGCCTCGAGCAAGGCTCACGTGGACACCTCCCAGGAAGCGCTCACTCCCCCTGGACGGCCCTGGCCCTGCACATCCTCTCCCTCCCTGTCACATAGGCCTTGCTCCTCCTCAAGGCTTTGGCTGATGGGGCTGGCTCCCCTCTGTCCATCTTCCTGACAAGCGCCTCTCCCCCTGCTCAGGTGCACCCACAACTCAGAACAGGGAAGAGCATCGTCACTCCACGTCTGCCTCCAGGGCTCTCTCCTTTCTAGTACACGGCTTGAAGCTCCTTGAGGACACGGACCCTGGCAGTGACCTTCACAGTGCCCAGACCCCAAGATAATGCAGCCATTCATGGAACTGCAGTTGTTCATTGGTCGCCTTTAGTTTTCCAAAATAAGTGTCATCTTTAGCTGAAATCATTCATTAATTCAGACACCAAATCTCACAGATCGAAGGAGTCAGAAATTCCTTTGAAACAACTTAGCCCAAACCTTTCTGTGTCAGTATGGATAAATCAAGGCCCAATGTCTAGAAGGTCTTGGGCAAAGTTGAAATTCAGGGTCAGTGACACAACCTCAAGGGAGGCCCCGAAAGTGCCAGCTGCACAGCAGTCCCCTGCCTGGCTTTGCTGTTTGACCACGTCCCGTGTCAGTGAATCACGGGCATCTTCAGGAGCTCAGCCTGGGTCTTCATTTGTTTCCCTCGGCCCCTTCCTCAGCCTCAGGACAGAGCTGCAGCCCCCACACATTCTTCCCTACAGATACCAGGGTGCAACAAGGTCGTCAGGGTGATCTCACCTTGGAGAGCTTCAGGGGTGCCTCCTCTGTGACCCCGGAGAGGTCAGCCCCATTGCTGAAGACCTTAGTGATGCCCAGTTGACCCAGGACGCTCTTCAGATCATAGGTTCCAGTAATGGACAGTTTGGGTAAATGTAAGCTGGCAGACCTGTCGTGCAGAAAAGAAATTCAAGGCATGGCACAGCATTCCTCTTGTTCTTCTGGGACCCACCACAGTGCAAGTGTTTTCTTTTCTGATTATTTCTGCCACTTACTCCTGTGTCCTCCACCCACACTAAGATGGGAACTCGGCTTTGGTTTGTTCTACTTTTAGCTCTTCTACATTGAGTCAAAGAATGTTAACATCGAATGAATCACAAAAGCTTGAAATGCCACCTCCTCTGATATTCTAGGTGTCCTGGAAGCCTGTCTCATCTTGCCCTGTAGTGTTGGGTCACCTGGCCCCCAGCCTGTAACATCCCCAGGGCCGTACACCCAGAGAAACACGGGGCTGGTGGCAGTGCCCAGTGACAACCGTTTAGTGGATAAGAGAAGAGTGACCACACCAGGCTGAGTGCTCCTCTCTGGTTTTCCATGGGGAGACAATGCCACCCTGAGCAGGGTCTGGTGTGAGCGGGCAGCTTGGCTCTGGGCTCTCTGATCCGTTACCCTCTCAGCCTCTTTGTTCTTTCTCAACCCCTGGAGCAGAGACCTCAGGAGGTGCTGGCATGGAACAGAGAAATTCCAGCCTCGATTCCTATTATGAACCCGACACCTTTTGTATTTTCATCTTGGTTTTACAGTGTACAAAACGAACTAGATCAGCAGGGCATGGGCATAATCACGAATGCACACACATACACTAATGTGTGGCTCATGTTTAAGTATCACTTACTACAGGACACCCAATCTAACAGCACCGATAAAGTGACAGAGAAACGCAAGCCTTCTGCGAACATGGCCTGGCTGTTCCAATTCCGAACCTTGCTTTTCTGGGCCTTGCCACACAGGCTCTTCCCCCGTCCCCCCAGGGACATTCTACCCTTGAACTCCACACTCCACTGCTGCCTTTGCCAGGAAGCCCATCTGTTCCTTTTTGGTTCTGCCAGAACGTGTGGTGGTGCTGCTGTCCCTGCCCTGGGCACTGGATATTGGGAAGGGACAGTGTCCACACTGGAGTGGGAAGTCCCCAGGGACGAGACCTTTACCTCCTCACCCCTGGGTACTGTCCTCCTCATGGAGCATGGATGGCGCTGCCTGAACTCAGTGGTGGCCTCATTCTGGAAGCCAAGTTTATACAGAGTAGCAGTGACCCAGGGATGTGGGGTTCACCCTCCTCAGCCCTCTGGCCAGTCCTGATGGGCCTCAGTCCCAACATGGCTAAGAGGTGTGGGCAGCTTCTTGGTCACCCTCAGGTTGGGGAATCACCTTCTGTCTTCATTTTCCAGGAACTTGGTGATGATATCGTGGGTGAGTTCATTTTCCAGGTGCTGTAGTTTCCCCTCGTCAGGCAGGAAGAAGATGGCGGTGGCATTGCCCAGGTATTTCATCAGCAGCACCCAGCTGGACAGCTTCTTACAGTGCTGGATGTTAAACATGCCTAAACGCTTCATCATAGGCACCTTCACGGTGGTCGCCTGGTCCACGTGGAAGTCCTCTTCCTCGGTGTCCTTGACTTCAAAGGGTCTCTCCCATTTGCCTGGAGAGAGGGGAAGGTGGGCATCACCAGGGGTGAGTGAAGGTTTGGAAGAGTGTAGCAGAATAAAGAAACCATGAGTCCCCTCCCTGAGAAGCCCTGAGCCCCCTTGACGACACACATCCCTCGAGGCTCAGCTTCATCATCTGTAAAAGGTGCTGAAACTGACCATCCAAGCTGCCGAAAAAGATTGTGTGGGGATAATTCAAAACTAGAGGAAGATGCAGAATTTCTACATCGTGGCGATGTCAGGCTAAGAGATGCCATCGTGGCTGTGCATTTTTATTGGAATCATATGTTTATTTGAGGGTGTCTTGGATATTACAAATAAAATGTTGGAGCATCAGGCATATTTGGTACCTTCTGTCTAAGGCTCCCTGCCCCTTGTTAATTGGCAGCTCAGTTATTCATCCAGGGCAAACATTCTGCTTACTATTCCTGAGAGCTTTCCTCATCCTCTAGATTGGCAGGGGAAATGCAGATGCCTGAGCAGCCTCCCCTCTGCCATACCAACAGAGCTTCACCATCGAGGCATGCAGAGTGGACAGGGGCCTCAGGGACCCCTGATCCCAGCTTTCTCATTGGACAGAAGGAGGAGACTGGGGCTGGAGAGGGACCTGGGCCCCCACTAAGGCCACAGCAGAGCCAGGACTTTAGCTGTGCTGACTGCAGCCTGGCTGCTCTCCACTGCCCTCCTTTGCCTCAAGAGCAAGGGAGCCTCAGAGTGGAGGAAGCAGCCCCTGGCCTTGCCTCCCACCTCCCCTCCCCTATGCTGTTTTCCTGGGACAGTGGGAGCTGGCTTAGAATGCCCTGGGGCCCCCAGGACCCTGGCATTTTAACCCCTCAGGGGCAGGAAGGCAGCCTGAGATACAGAAGAGTCCATCACCTGCTGTATGCCACACACCATCCCCACAGTCTTTGTCATTTGTTTAATCCTAAAAAAACCTGACAGCAAGAATGGTATTTTGTCCATGCTAAGATGAGAAATTAGCACCTCAAAGAGGTAGAATGCATTGTTTTTGTCAAAAGCTAATTGTGTTAGAGGCAGGATTTGAACCCAGGTCTTTCAGATTGCAAAACTGATACTGATTCTGGGACACTAGAGTCGTGTAAAGTATGTTCCATGAAACTATCCCTTTATGCAGTGTATTACAATTTGTTCTATAGTTCTAAGCATTATATATTCTACATATACAGTATACACAAGGACATTAAAGGCTCTGAAAAGTTCTGCAGAGCTGTCAGTAGTTTTGACAGTTTAATCTATTATTTCCTCAAATTACTCAATGATGGAAAACATTTTAGTGTTTGTGTGTAGAAAACTGAAGAATCCACGCTGAAAAGCATTGCTATGGCCCATAATGCATTGCCAAGGAGAGTTCAAGAACTGATGGTTTGAGAATATTTTTGCTTGTTTCTATGGGAACAGCTCAGGCTGGTTGAGCAACCTTACCTTTAAAGAAGATGTAATTCACCAGAGCAAAAACTGTGTCTCTGTCAAGCTCCTTGACCAAATCCACAATTTTCCCTTGAGTACCCTTCTCCACGTAATCGTTGATCTGTTTCTTGGCCTCTTCGGTGTCCCCGAAGTTGACAGTGAAGGCTTCTGAGTGGTACAACTTTTTAACATCCTCCAAAAACTTATCCACTAGCTTCAGGCCCTCGCTGAGGAACAGGCCATTGCCGGTGGTCAGCTGGAGCTGGCTGTCTGGCTGGTTGAGGGTACGGAGGAGTTCCTGGAAGCCTTCATGGATCTGAGCCTCCGGAATCTCCGTGAGGTTGAAATTCAGGCCCTCCAGGATTTCATCGTGAGTGTCAGCCTTGGTCCCCAGGGAGAGCATTGCAAAGGCTGTAGCGATGCTCACTGGGGAGAAGAAGATATTGGTGCTGTTGGACTGGTGTGCCAGCTGGCGGTATAGGCTGAAGGCGAACTCAGCCAGGTTGGGGGTGATCTTGTTGAAGGTTGGGTGATCCTGATCATGGTGGGATGTATCTGTCTTCTGGGCAGCATCTCCCTGGGGATCCTCAGCCAGGGAGACAGGGACCAGGCAGCACAGGCCTGCCAGCAGGAGGATGCCCCACGAGACAGAAGACGGCATTGTCCTGCAAGACAGAGATGGGGGGGCCAGGCCCCGAGTCAAGGCACATGATGACTCCCAGTGATCAGGGATTGACACCACGTGGAAGTGCCTAGGGATTATTAAACCAGCCTGTGCCAAGTACTTGCCGACATCAGTAACACTGAAAGAATCAGAAGAATAGCAAAATGTACGTAGTGCTTACCATATGCCAAGCACTGTTCTCCGTGCTCACATGTGTTAATTCATTGCTTTCTTGTAACAATCCCGTGAGGTGCTAATGCTAATATCCTTCTTTTACAGATGAAGAAACCAAAGCCAGAGAGATCAGGTCAGCTATTCAATGTCACTGAGGAAGTAGCAGAACCAGAATCCTACATCTAGGTCCTGCACCCAGGCTCTGGACAGCAACACTTACATCTGCAATGACCCTAAGATGCAAATGGTACAGCCATTGTTTTACAAAAGAAGAAAATGAGGCACAAGAAGAGGAATGGGCCTGCCCACGATTATCCAGGAATCGGGCCAGATCAGAATCAAGAATCATGTCAAGCTGGAAGCCCTTGGAGGGCTTCTATCTAATCCCACTATTTAGTGGCCAGGGAAACTGCTGCACAGAAGGGAAATGCATCTTGCACAATGGCAACAGCTAGAGAGCATGGAGGGGCTGTGATTAAACCTCCTGGGAGCTGTTCCCACCCAACACTCACAAGGATCCTCAGCCCTTAGGGTTTTTTTCCCAAGAGACGGGGCTGTCCCCACAATGCTCTGTGGTCCCAGACACAAGAATAGGCTGATGCTCCTGCAGTCAGCTTACCTGCCGTCTGGGTCACTAATGGTGTCCCAGTTCTGGGCTCTTGCTGTCAGGGGCTTTAGAGACGCTCATCTCTCCTTGAAAGCAGGGGTTTGTGCTGCTTTAAAGTAGATGGAGGAGGTGGGAAGTGAAAAGACACCTCTTTTAACTTCAGATAGACCTGGGATCTAATCTGACTCTGTCACTTTCCAGGTGTATGAGCCAGGACAAGTCATTCATCTCCCTGGTCCTCATTTTGCCTCATACGTAAAGTGATGTTTATGTATGAGAATTTAGTGAAATAAGTCTCAACACCAAACCTTACATCAAAAGGATCTGAGAGGGCAACTCTTTTGAGGGAGGGGTTGGCAGGTGTTGCAAATTCAAAGGCTTCAGGTGATAGGCCAGTGAGGAATACATGTTTCATACCCGGGGCTGAGACAATAGGGAGTGGTGGGGCCTGTGGCTGAACCAGCGAGAGCAGGCTCTGCCGAGCAATGGTCAAAGTCAACGTCATCCACAGCAACACAGAACCTGCCCTGCCCCACAGTGATCCTTCTACTCCAGATATGCCCAGGCTTCGGACCACCAGCCTGCAGCCCCCTAGGTAGAACCTGCCGTCTTCACAGATGGGAAAACTGAGGTCCTAGCTGAGGAGAATATGCCCGGCAGCCACATTGTTAACTACTAGTCACAAAACCAAAACCATCATCTTAACAAAATACAAAGAAAAAGGTGTCCTTGAATTTGGGAAATGAAAAACTGGAGAAAAAAAGCTGGAAATAACAAATATTGAGATTCTTCAACCCCCTTGGACTTTTAAAAGTTTCCTTCCAATAAAGCAACAAATGAAGTGCAAAGCTGGTTTCTCTCCACCACCTTTCTCCTGGCCCTCGTGCCTCTAAGTAATCCAAATGGAACAGACCACACATTACATAATACATGTTTGTATTTTTCTTCAGCTAGCTAGTGTTGTTAGAACTGAAGACGGTGCTAAAATTAGTGCTGTATATTTCCATCTCCCTTTAATTTCTCTTTCACTTCCCAACTGAACTTTGTGCAGTCCTTCATGGCTTATGGAAATTCCCCCATCATTACAGGGCTCAGTGGTCAGGAGGGAGTTGGGCCTCTGCAGGGTGGGGACACTAAATATGCTGAGTGGCCTCAGGGCCAGAGGTTGTGGCTTCTAGCCCTGGCAGGGCCATCACTATCCACTTGGCCTTTAGCAAGAATCCTCTGGTCCTGGGGCCTCACTCTCCCCAGTTGTGCAAAGTGGGGCTGGGAGAAGACTTCACTGGGGCCCTCTGTACACTAACATAGGTTTTTGGGTTTTTTTTGAGACAGAGTCTCGCTTTATCCGCCAGGGTGGAGTGCAGTGGCGTGATCTCGGCTCACTGAAACCTCCACCTCCCGGGTTCAAGAAATTCTTCTGTCTCAGCTTCCCAAATAGCTGGGATTACAGGCGTGTGCCACCACGCCTGGCTAATTTTTGTATTTTTAGTAGAGCTGAGGTTTCACCGTGTTGGCCAGGCAGGTCTTGAACTCCTGACCTCTTGATCCGCCTGCCTTGGCCTCCCAAAGTGCTGGGGTTACAGGCGAGAGCCCCTGCACCCAGCCAGGATTCTTGGTTAGAATGGCATCTGGGTTCAATGTAGCAAAACAGATGGAGAATTCCCATGGCTAGGCATGAGACAGGTGCCCTCCTAGACAGGGGAATTCTGGGCTCAAAGGAGGTGGAGAGGCTGGTGCAGGGAGGGTGGCGAGGGGGTGACAGCTGGGAGGAGCACATTCCCCCACACCCATCCATCTTTCCTGGTGTCACATCACCTACTCTGGTTTCCTCCTTTCACAGTGAAGAGTTTGAAGCCCAGAGAGGGTCAGGGCCTTGTTGAGGCTATACAGCAAGTCAGTGACAAAGCTGGAACAAGTCTTGGCTTTCCCAGCACTCAGATCATGAACTGAGACAGCTGTGTCCTCAGATCTCAGATGATGAATGTCAGAATTGGGCTGTGACATTGGTCTCAAGCATCATGTTGGGTTCATTATGCCTCCCAAGCTGTTCCTTATAACATCAGGTCTCCAAAACCTGCTCTCTCCTGGCCCTTCTATCAGAGGCAGCACCCTGCACTCCTAAAAGCTAGTGCCTGGGAGGGCGACTGGAGAGGAGAAAGTCGCCATCTGGCCAAGGACCCCATGGTGTACGGACACTGAGGCCAAGCTTTAAACCAAAAGAATGAAGGCTTCATGGTGACATTTCTGGGATCGGGGCAGGTGGGAGCACTCTTTGCGGGGCCAGGGACAGGGAAGCGAGCCACTCCCTGCCTAATCTCACACCATTTCTACCCGGGAGCATAAAATAAGGGACCAAGAGCAACCCGGCAGGGTGCAGGGAAGAGAATCTCGCCTATGGTCAAACAACCTGTTGAACTGGGCAATAAATAAACCCAAGTGTGACCAGGCCCTGTCACTTACTGGCAGGGGGCCTGGGGTAAATGACTTCACTTCTTTGAGCACTAGCTTCATAGCTGTACAATGGAGAAAAGAATCCTTTGGACAGGGATGAGGAATAACTGACGTAATGCATGAGTGGGCACCAGGTGAGGAAGCCCTCCCTGTACCTGCACACAGGTTGAGCTCCTGCCCGAGAGATGGTAGATTTCTTCCCGGAGAGCCTGCTGCACTCCCCAGGACCATTTCAGCAGGAAGGGGCTCCTGCTCAGCAGTGAACAGCATCTGAGTTTGGCAAATTTTCCATTAAATTATCCAACTGTTTACTGCCTGCCAGCTGCCTAACCCTATGCTAAGCAAACATCAGCCTCAGCGTCACCATCATTGCCACACTTACTAACACCTGGTGTTTTACAGGCACCGTATCATCTAATCTGTCCTCAAAGCTTACCCTATAAGGTGCAAATTATTAGCCCTATTTTATAGATAGAAAAATTGAGCCCCAAAGAGCATTAAATAACTCACTAAAAATCACAGAGCTACTTGCTTACAAAACTGAGATGTAATCCTAAATGTTTTGTCTGGGATTAAACAGATTTCACTCCAAAACCTGACATTGAATCATCTCTGTGTACAAAGCTGAAGCCAGAAGTCTTGAATCAGAAAACTTCAGAGGCAGCCTGGCTAAATGAAGAGGGGAGCATCAGTCTGTGGCTAAAATTAAAGGCTCTGAGGCCAGATTGCTCCACGTCAACTTGCTATTAGCTGTGTGACCTTGGACAAGTTACTTAACCTCTCTGAACCTCAGTTTCCTGGAGATGAGAAAGGTGGACTTTGTCATAGAGCTATTGTGAAATTAAATACACATAAAATGCCAAGAAGTGCCTGCTGCGCAGCAAGTTCTCGAGAATACCAGTTCTTGCTGCTATTGCTGCAGGTCTTTTAGAGGCGTTCTATAGGAAACTGGCCACCTTGGCCTTGGTCATCTTTTTGACCTGTCTCCAAAACTCAGTGCAGGAAAAATTAAATCCTTCCAACACTTCAGAGATCAAGGTCGGGTGGGGTGAGGGGAGGGGACAGAAGTCAAAGGTTATCATGTTTTGCCCAAGAGAACAGAGAGGTTGAGCAACTGTCTGAAGTCACCGAGCATCAGAGAGGCCTCAAGTCCAGCCCAGGTTTCCTGTTCCCCATCCAGCGCCTGAGACCCAAGAGAAACAGTGACACTAGGGCCAGGTTCAAGAGTTTGGGGACTGGAGCCAGGTGCCTGAGCCCGAATTATGGATGGTGTGTGATTTGGGGCCAGTTATTCACCTCTCTGTCCCCATCTTCCTCATCTGTAAAATGGGAATCACACTAGTAACTGCCTTGGAGGGTTATGAGGCTTAATCACGCACTGAGCTTAGCCGTGGCCTGGTGCAGAGCGATTATTCAGGAATGCCAGCTTGAGCCCTGGGTGACAGTGCCCCTCATAGCTTCCTGTCCTCCACTGGGACAGGAGGGCCCAGAGGTCCACGGTGCATGGGGAGGCCCATTTTGATGTAAGGCTGAGGCCTGGCACAGGTCTGTTCCTGGTCATATCTGGAGGGGATGGAGAATGTGAGCCGGCGTTCCTCCCCACCCCTCTCTGGACCTTAACCTCCTCATCTATAGAAGGGGAGAAAGATGCATGCCCAAGCAGTAGGAGAGGTGGTGAGGCTTATAGGAGACAACAGACAGGAGCCCCCGACAGACAGAGGAGCTGTGCAAACAGAAAGAAATGGCTGCGCTTTGTTGCTGTTGCTGTATCTTGGCTGGTGTCCCCCATCCTGGGGTGCCAGGACTGCAGACCTAGACACCCTCATCCACTTCTGCTTACAGGAACCAGTGTATCCACCAGGAGGTACCGAGGGGGGACCGGGCAGGACTGGGAAACAGGACACAACCCTCATGGCTGCTGTTATTATGAAAATAGGAGCTCAGCTGCAGCCTCTCCATCTGCCCTGCACCTCAGCAGGCGGATACCCACTCCACAACCCCCCTCCTGCCCCAGACCTGCTGCCTGCCTGGGCCATGGGGAGCTCAGAAGCCTCTCCAGAACCCCTCGCAGTGAAAGGCATACTTACGATTCACTGTCCCAGGTCAGTGGTGGTGCCTGAAGCTGAGGAGACAGGGCCCTGTCCTCGTCCGTATTTAAGCAGTGGATCCAGAGGGGCAACGGGGGAGGCTGCTGGTGAATATTAACCAAGGTCACCCCAGTTATCGGAGGAGCAAACAGGGGCTAAGTCCACTGGCTGGGATCTGAGTCGCCCGCCTACGCTGCCCGGACGCTTTGCCTGGGCAGTGTACAGCTTCCACTGCACTTACCGAAAGGAGTCATTGTACCTGGCTCAGAAACCACAGCGTCCTGTGTCCAAGGTGGAGGGGGTGGCGTGAGTCAGACAGTCTCTGGGAGAGTACCACTTAGCTGGCCCTCTGCTCTCACTGCAGAATCCTTAGTGGCTGTTCCACTGGTAGCAAGATCTACCATTTACTGAGTCACCCCAAAATGCCTGATGCTGAAGACTTACTGCCGCCCTGGGAGATCAGAGTGGGTTAGAGCCCATTTGACAGATGAGGAAACAGGCTCAGAGCGGAGAGACCGCTCATCCAAAGTTACCCAGTCAGCCTTAGACACAAACACCCTCTTGATGGTCCCGATGGAAAAATGGAGCATGACTGAGGCAGACACAACCGTCAGGCTGGCATGGGGGGCCGTGAGACAGGGTAGAGGTGGGGAAGCACATCTGTAAAGAAGAGCTGTGCTGCCTCAGGCAGGCCGCTTCACCTCTCTGAACCAGGAACTGTTTCACCTGCATCCCAAAGAGTTGGAAGTTTCATTCCCAAGCATGCTTGTGAAGTGCCTCGGGTGAAGTGCCTGGCACACAGTAGGCTCTTTATGTGGGTCTGCACAGCCGTCTGCTTAGTCTGCCCCCCAGGCTGCTCAGAGCAGGAGGAGGTTCAATTTTGACCAGCCTCAGGCCTGTTTCTGTTTTTGCTCCTGGAAAACCAGTGTGATCCGTATACAGCTTGGAGTTTCTTTGGATACATGGCCCCCACTCTGGGGTTGTTGGAGGCCTTTGGAGACTGCTGGGGGTGGAGGGGAGGGGAGGTACAGGGTTGAGGCTAGTGGGGCCCCACTTGATTGCAATCCCTTTAAAAGCCTAAATCAGATTGCATCGCCCGCTGTGCAACCCGCAAACCTGCTTGGGAGCTGGCGTACGTGCCGTAGATACTTGCAGAGTGAATGGATGAGTGCATTTTTGCCCCTTCTGTCATTCACCAGTCCCATTTATGCCTCCACCTTGGGGCTCTACCAGGCGAGTGACCCACAGGATCCTCCAGCACACACATTCAGACCAGGGAACCCACTTACTGGCTGTGAGGCCTCAGGTGAGTTGTTTAACCGCTCCGAGCCTCAATTTCCCTATCTGTAAAATGGGGATGGTGACGGTATGTACCTTGTTGAGCTGCTGTGAGGATTAAAATGCAACAGTTCAAGGAAAGCTCAGAGACGGGTACTGGGTGTGCCCAGAAAGCCCCTCCTGATGCTGCCCTCCCTCCCCCGTGTCAGGGGCTGGTGTCACTGGGGTGGGGTGGGCCACACTTGAAGAGCTTTCCTCCAGGCAGTCTCTCATTCAGTTACCCTGTGAAGGGAGTAGGTACCACCCTCCTTTCAGGCAGCGGGAAACTGAGCTCAGACTCCCCTCCCCTTCTCTCTGAGCTCCCTTCCCTGCAGCTCCATCCCCTGGCTTCAGGGCCCCTGTCCTTCCCCTGAGCTGGCTGAATGGATATTCCGCTGCTCTACATCCACTCACAGCTCCAGCACTGGGCTGTGGTTGAGGTCGCCTGCCCTCGGTAGCTCCTGGGCATTTCTTCCCCTCTCTGGGCCTTTGTTTTCCCATCTGCACAATGACCCCCACTCTAAGCCCTGCTGTCCCTCCCACCTGTGGAACTGAGTGAGCAGCAGCAGCAATGTCCCACCTTTCCTGCTCTCCTCAAGCTCTCCTCAAGCTCTGTCTCTTCTGGCAGGCACAGGAGAGTGGCCTGAAGGCTGGCAGGAGGTTGCCGCCCCTCCAACCTGGAATTCCTGGCAGCAGCAGCGGCTAGGCCTTCCTCGGAGGCCCGACCCCCTCCTCCTTCTTGGTTCAGCTCAGGACTCTGAGGGTTGCTGCGTGGAGGCAGTGCATGCCCTGGGCACAGTGCCCAGTTCCTGCCCACCCAGGAAGTAGACTTCGGGTGGAGGCAGTAGGCTGGGGAGGGGCGGGGAGCTTGGACAGGAAGGAGCCTTGCTCATTGCCCGGCAGACACAAGACTGGGCCCTCATAAACTCAGACAGCCCGGCATGTCACCTGTTGTACCTGCCCTTTCAGCTCTGTGACCCGGGACAAGTCACCCTCTCCCTTTGAGTTGCCGCAAGAGGTACAGTCACACTGCCCAGAGGATTACTAGAAATGACAGGCCTCGCCCTCCTGGCACAGACCTGGCACCAATAACTGGCAGGTTTCTGGGGCCAGCTGCAGAGGGAAGAGGACTGAGCCACCTATGAAATGCCCAGTGGGCAGCCCCACAGTTGGGCAGGTCTGTGTGCACTGGGGAGGTGTGTGTCATAGGACCTGGCTGGGTGCAGAAGGGATTGCAGTGGGGAGCTGGGGCTTTTGGAGGAGGAATGAAGAAAGCATGGGTGGGAGCAAGTGAGGCAAGTAAGGGGCTCAGAATTTGGGGTCCTGCTCTTTTGGCAGGGCTCTAGGCTCAGCCCCCGCCCTGCTCTGGACATCCATCCTGGGAGGAAGGGCTAGGATAATCTGGAAAAACGCACCAGGACAAAATCCCGGGGGTTGTGGTGGGAGGGGTGGGAGTACTCAGTGGCCATTCACAAGGATACTGTGCCCCCAGGAACCCCAGGACATGAGGGGGAAAGTCTTGTCCACCTGGTTACTTCCACAATTGTCTATTGCAGCATCTGGGCTGATCCCCCCAGAGGAAATGCATCATGGGAAGATCCTGTGAGCTGGTCATGAGTAAGGGGCATCTGGGGGAGGCCCTGCCCCACCACAGGGCCCTGCCTGGAGATGGGAGCCTCGTGGTATGGGCTGGATAGGGATGTGAGAGTCGAGATTTGGGGTCTGCAGCAAGGAATCGGGTAAGGGGGTGAAGTGTGCCAGTGGCCCTGGGCCAAGTAAATCAAGACTGAGTGGCTGGTCAGGAGAACAACAGTGGACTTCATGGGAGCTGAACTCATTGGCAAAGTGCCCCCGGAGAGTGCTGGCCACCCCACAAACACACACACCCCATGCACACCCTCACTATGCACCCTCCTTCCCAGGCACCAGCTTCCTTCTTTGAGAGTCAGTGCAGGTCACTGGTTAAGGCGTGGGTTCGGGATCTAATATCTGGGGCCAAGCCTTAGCTCCATCGCTCTTTTTGTGAGCTCTTAGACAAGCCACTTAACCTCTCTGTGCCTCGGTTTCCTCATCTGTGAGATAGGAAGACTCTAAGAAGAGTCACTTCCATCAGGACTGTGAAGATCGAATGAGATAATAACATTTAAGCACTTCGGGCAGCCTCTGGCATGTGATGGGCCCCAAGTCAATGCTAACCACCAAAGGCCATGACCTTTGGGGATGTGTCCTGGCTCTGAAAAACCATATAGATGGGTCTCAGGGGTCTAAGTGGGGGAACAACTGCTGCGTTTGGCCCCAGATTTGGGGAGCAGCACCTGTTGTTGAGGGACACCTCCTCAGATTCAAACTTCCATTTTTTCCAGAAAAGGCTGTCAATCCCCTCTTTAGGGGCCGTGCTCATTTTGGCTTTCCGAAGGTGAAGGGCCAGGTGCCTTCAGCATCTTTCTGAGCACCTGTGACATGCAGAGGATGTGGGGTGACTGCAGCTAGGTGGACTTGGATCCGGGGGAGGCCCTCAGTTCTCTGAGCCTTGGTTTCCTCATCTATAAAATAGGGATAAAAGTTTCTTTCCCACATAGCTCTTCTGAGGCTTAGATGAGGCGATGCTGGTGGGGTGTTTAACACAGAGCTCTGTTAGCATAATGGACACTTGTGTCTGTCTTCTTATAACTCATTTAATGAATGAATGAAGTTTGCACCATTTTTTCACCTCCTCCAGTCACCTTTCAAATTAGCCAACTTGCAAAACCCCAGCAGACACACTTTCCTTCTGTGTGTAATCTCCTGAGCCACTTCCTGTGTGTTGGGGAGGGGAGGGGGGATTTCTGCATTTTCTGGAACTATGTGGCCTACTCACAGCTTCTTCTTTTTTTTTTTTTTTTTGAGACAGAGTCTCACTCAGTCACCCAGGCTGGAGTACAGTGGCGCAATCTTGGCTTACTGCAAACTCCACCTCTCGAATTCTGGAATTACGAGCGATTCTCGTGCCTCAGCCTCCAGAGTAGCTGGCATTACAGGCATGTGCTACCAATTCCAGTTAATTTTTGTATTTTTAGTAGTGACAGGGTTTCACCATGTTGGCCAGGCTGGTCTCAAACTCCTGGCCTCAAGTTATCTGCCCGCCTCGGCCTCCCAAAGTGCTGGAATTACAGGTGTGAGCCACTGTGCCTGGCCTTTACTCTTTATCCTTACTCAGACAGAGAAAAATAAGGCAAAGCTATACATTATAAGGGGCAACATAGTTAAAAGAAGGAATAAAAATGCATCTATAGCTTCATCCCCTTCTTGTTAAAATTACTAAAACTCATGTTTTATTGCAGCTAACCTTTTCTGAACTTTATTTTAACTTTACTCTTTTGAGGTTATGGGCCTTGATGGTCATTACGGATTGGAAGCTTTTAAGAGACTCAATGTGTCCTATTGAACTATAATTATGATTTGATTTTAGATGGTCAACTTGTCGCATTTTGGTCAATAGGAACCCTTTTAAGTTATCTCTTTATCCCTTTGACAATCTCTGCTGATGTTTCAGCAACACACACTTGCTTTCTGGCAAGGCCACCATGTTCATGTTCCAGGTCTGTCTTCATTTTCTCTTGCCCCAAGACATGGCACTGGGGTATCTTCCCTGGGAGAGAAAGCAAGCACGCAGTGACAGAGGCCTTCTGGGAACCACAGGCAGGGCTGAGCGTGCAAGACTCACCCTTGCGTGGGGACTATGGGAGACCCAGCAGGACTTGAGGGCTTATTATTCAGAAATACATGCCCTGCGTGGGTGGCTTAGATAACAGAGAGCAATAGGGCTCTTAATTTGCCCAACTCCGACCTTGGCTTCAAATTGTTCGATTTACCCTGTTGACTCCTTCATGTTGATTTTGAGCATTTCTATTTGCTTGGTTTTAACAGGCCTCTTGCTTCCGAAATTTTATAATATAAATCTCCAAATACTCCAGCGGTGGTGTGCCACCCCCTGAATCGCGGCTGAGACTCCTTGCACATGTGGCCTCTGCCAGGCCCTGTCTTAAACACTTCACATGCATCACCTCACTCTATCCTGTGCAGTGAGTACCACTGTTACTGCCTTAGAACAGATGAGGAAACTGAGGCAGAGTGTTACCCTGATGCTGAAACAGGTACCTCCCTCTCTCCCTTCCTCTCTTTCTCCCTGCTTGCTGCTTCCCCAACACTTCCTACACATCCCTTTGTAACATTAGCATAATAGGTAACAGTGAGCACGTGGCTCATGCCAGAGCCATTCCAAGCATTGGTTACAGATTAACTCCTCGTCCTCACATCAAGCCTATGAAGTCGATATTTCTGTTATCCCATTTTACAGATGAGGAAACTGAGGTTCATAGACGTCGAGCACCTAGCCCTGGGTCACAGAGCTGGCAAGTGGTGGAGGGCAGATTCTAACCAGGCTGTGAGGCGCATGACCCCAAAGCTCGGTGGCATCACCAGGCTGCAAGTAACCGGAGGGCAGGGACTGTGTTTTTTCCATCTCTGTGGCTTTGTACTGAGCACAGAATAGGTGATCAAAGGTTGCTTCATGAACTGAGTTAATCAAGGGTCATGGAAATGGAGCATTTCTTTAATCAGATGGCTGAGGTGTCTTGCCAGGGTGAAAGTGTGAAAACCTCGCATATGCTAAAAATTTGTGTGA